>NC_000011.10:74692059-74995089 GCF_000001405.40 Homo sapiens
AAACATCCCCAGGAAACCTGGAGGCCAGGCCTGGCATTGTGAAGGATGATCACATATCAGGGCCAGAAAGCTACCTGGGAAGGTTGAGTGGAATGGGGACTCTGAGCCCAGGTCTGTGATGCCTGCCCCTGCTCAGGACCCGGCCCCTTCCTGTGCTCTGGGACCCATAAGGATACAGAATCCTATCACATAAAGGTAGAGAGTGGAAAGGTAGATGACAGAGACTGGGAAGGGTATGGGGAGCGGGAAGATGAAGAGCACTGGGCTGAAGGTACAGACATGCAGTAAGACAGAAGGATTCTGTTCAGTGATGGATAGCACGGTAAGGTGATTGTACTTAACAAAAATGTATTCAGGTGATGGACACCCTAAATGCCTTGACTTGATCACTGCACATTATACACATGCAGCAAAATTTCTCGTGTACCCCATAAAGTTGCACAAAAAAATTTAAAAAATACAATTAAGACTTTAGGATATAGAATCGTAGACCCCAGTTGGAATCCAACTGTCCATTTGTTATTGTGACCTTGGTGAGTGACCTTCTCTCCCTGGAGCCTTAGTTCCCTTGTCTGATATGGTTAACAAGCCCCACCTCACTGGGCTGTGCTAGGGATCAGATGAGACAATGGATTTGAATGTGCTTTGTTAACCAGTGGCCAGGAAGGATATCACTACCTCAGTGGGAGCTCTGGCGGTGCCCAGCCTGGCCACCAGTGGGACAGTGGATCCCATGGGACTCCCTGCTGGAGCCTTGGGGAGCCCCATGCGGGAGCAGGGCTGGTCAGCCCTGGGAGCCCCCCACTCCCCTCTCCCTCATCACACTCATGGGGAGATGAGTAGGGTTATGCAGCAGCTTAGAGGCCAAGGAAGAATGGATTTTAACCCATCCCTAAATCTTGCCTTCCTCCATCCTCACTCCTGTTTCTCCTGATTTTCCCTCTCTTGGGGCATCGCCTCGTCACCGAGACTTGCTCTCAGCCAAAAAGCTGTCTTCTTCAAGCCCATGTGCACAGCCAGCCACAGCCCTGCCTCTCTTCTTCTTTACTGCCAGCTTTCTTAAAATGCTTGTCTGTTTCCTCACTTCCCAGAAACCGTCTCAGCACCTAAAACTCAGCTCCCACCTCTCAGCTCTCCTGACTGTGCTCCCTGCTGTGGCCATTGGAGCCTCCTTGTTTCCACGAAGGTCTCTTTGCCAGCCTCACCCTGGCCCTCTCAGCACCCTGCTCCCCGACCTATTCCCTGTCCGCCATGCTGACCCTTTGCTGATGCTCTGGGGTCCGTCTTGCTCCCACTCTGTTTACTCCACCATCTCTCCCAGGCCAGTGTCACCCCCTCTCCCAGCTTTAGTTACCACCTACAGGTCAACAGCTCCCAACTCCCTGCCTCTAGCCCAGCTTTCTCTCCAGACCTATTAAACCCAGAGGGCTGTGGATACCTCCTGAGCCTCAGCGTGTGCTCAGCTGAAACTTCTGGCTTCTTCTCCCAGAAGGTATCACCAAGTGAGACACCAGGTACACACTTGCTCCTTGCTCTCCCTCAATCCTGAGTCTAGCCAGTCATCCGTTGTGCCTTGCCCATGACCTCTCTCCTATCCAGGCCAGAGTCATCCTCACGTGGATCCCATAACAGCCACCTCCTACCTGGCCTCAGCCTCACTCTGCCAGGCCATTCTTCACCTGGCCGGTAGAACCAGTGTTCTCAACCACAAATCTGACCAAAGTATTGAAACTCTCCTGGGGCTACCTGCTAGCCTTCAGGATGCAGTCAGAGCTCTTCAGCTAGCTGTGCAGCCTCACCTCCCTTTGCTCGTTGCCTCAAATTATCATCCAGTGACAGTGAGCTATTTGTGGTTCTGCCGTAACTTGCTACTTTTCACCGTCTACCAAGTTTTCTCTTCCTGTACCGTCACCCACCCTCCTCTCTCTCTCCCCCTTTTTTTTTCTACCTCCTGCTCACCTTCCGAGCCTGCTTGAGTGTCGTCAGTCTGGGTTGGGGCTGTGCCCCCTTGGTCCCTGCCCTTAGCACTGGCAACACTGAGGGGCTCGGATGCTGCTCCCTCCTCTATCTCCTCCTCCAGACTTGAGGCTCTAAAAGCACAGGAAGGGCAATTAGCTCCCTGCACTGTGTTGGTGCTCGAGCATAAAGCCCACCCGAGAGCAGCGCCGAAGCTGTTTTATGAATGAATCCATGAAAGAGAAGACAACATGGCAGAGCTGCCTGCAGACTCACATAGCGAGCCCATGTTTACACACACAGAAAGGTCTGGACCAAAGTCAGGAGAGGGCAGTGTGCTGAATGTGTCCCCCTGGTGGAAAAGCGAACCTCAGAGGCATCCCATAAGCCCATCAGAGAAACCAGGAAGGCAATTTGGCCTGCAGCATCAGGAAACGTGTACAGCGAAGTCCACTCCTGTCCGGAGACCCTGGAACTGCCTCTGATGACAGAGCCCTGTTTCCAAACCCCATTTTCCAGGAAAGGAGCCACGGTACAGGGCACAGATGTGTCAGGGAAAGTATCACTGAAGACATCTGAGATAGGCTGAAGGATGACCAGAGTTTATCCTGTGAATGGTTAAGCTTTCAGATTCCTGCACTTTAAATGAGGCAAGCTCAGAACCCATCCCTGGAGCTCCAAGTGAACCCTCTGTGTGAGCAAGCCAGGCCAAAATTGTGAGTCATCTTGAGGAGGGACAGGTAGAGGCTGTGAGGGGAGAAGGTGAATGTCTTCTGACTCAGGGGATGTTGGTAGATTCCAGCCTCAAACCCCAAACTTTCAAATCCAGACCCCTGGGAGCTGGCAGAGGAGTTAGGGGAGGGAGACACTCATCCCTGCTCAATAAGGGTGGCATCAGACTTCCCAAACCTTAGCAGACTTCCCAAACCTTAGTAACCCTAGGTTCAAGATTAGGGCTGTGGAGGCTGGGCTTAGTGGCTCATGCCTGTAATCTCACCACTTTGGGAGGCTGAGGCAGGAGGATTGCTTGAGCCCATTAGTTCTAGACCAGCCTGGGCAATATAGCAAGACCCCATCTCTTAAAAAAAAAAAACAAAAAAGGCCAAGGCTGTGGAGACAATGGCCAGAGCCCTCTGAGTGGCTGCACAAGTCCAGTCAACAGACTACTGTCCACCATTTCTCTGGAGCTTTGATCAGGCTTGGGTGGGGAGGGGATGGAGGAGCCGTGGTTGTGAGAGGATTGAGACTAGCTGTCCTGAGGAGAGAACCCCGCCTGGGGCCGGGAGCCTGAGTTCTAGCCCTGGCTTCAGCATACCACTGTGAGGCTTTGGGGAAGACATGTGGTGGTCCTGAGCCCATCTCCTCCTCTAAAATGTGGGTAGTGCCTACACCTTTCACCTTAAGTGAAATCATTGACATTAAAACATCTTTGAAATTATAAGGATTTGTACATGTGGGCAGGGTAAATAATTGATGGTGTCTTTATTTTATTATTATTATTATTATTATTATTTGAGATGGAGTCTTACTCTGTCACCCAGGCTGGAGTGCAGTGGCACAATCTCGGCTCACTGCAACCTCTGCCTCCTGGGTTCAAGCAATCCTCGTGCCTCAACTTCCCGAGTAGCTGGAATTACAGGTGTGTACCACCATGCCTGGCTAATTTTTTGTATTTTTAGTAGAAATGGGGTTTCACTATGTTGGCCAGGCTGGTCTCGAACTCCTGGCCTCAGACGATCCACCCCCCTCGGCCTCCCAAAGTGCTGGGATTGTAGGCGTCAGCCACCGTGCCTGGCCCTAATGGTGTCTTTAATTGCTAACTGTTGGGCCTTCTCAGAGCATGGTGCCAGGTTAGCAATCTGACCGCCCAGTCTTGGAAATCCTCTGAGGTGAGGCTATCTGGGCTCGTGACACTGGCCACACTGTGGAACTGGGGAAGGAGTGCTAGCCTGGAGCGAGAGATCTGGCTTCCAACTCCAGATCTGCTACTAAGCAGCTCTGCGGCTTTGGGCAAATGACTGCCTGCTGCTCCTCCCTAACTGGGTTTCCTCATTGTAGGGTGTGAAGACAGTGGTGAGGATCCCAGGAATACTTGCTGGGAAAGTGCTTTAAGGCTCCATTAACGCCCTCCCCTGGCTAATTAGAGTCATTCCTCTTTCTGAGGCTCAGTGTCAAAGAGCTGTGGGAGGGGGGCTGCCCGGAAAAGCAGGAGGTGCTGCAGTGGGGGGCCTGGGTGAGGAGGCTGGGGGAGCTAGCCCTGGCTGTGGTGACAACTCACTGTGAGGACTGGGACCATTCTCTATCCCTTCTGGATCTTGGTTTCCACCCCTGTAAAATGGGGATAACCAGGTCTGCCTTGTGGAGTTGCTAGGAGAGCATGCAGGAGACTGGATATGAACCCAGAAGGCAGGGCTGAGGGTAATGCAACTTCTTATTTATTAATATATAATAACAACAATTATACAGCTCATATCTGCAACTGTTAGGTCTTTGTTATGTCTTGGTCACTTTGTCTGGACTGGCCGTGACCTTCAGCTCCAGGGTCTGGGCTAGGAAGACGTTCCAGTGACCTGCATGGAGGAGGGCAGAAGAGGGAAGAGGCGTATGTGTCTGCACGTGCACAACAGAGGCAGCAGCTGGGGGTTGGAAAAGCCTTGGGCCAGGAGGAACTGCAAGGGCCAGGGTTTGGAGCCCACAGGGAGCCTGGAGGCGAGTGTGCCATCACACTGGGTGTGATGGGGCACATGACCCAGCTTTCAAACAACCTTGGGGGACAGAACTGGTTTCCTGACACCTGTTGGTAATACTCCCCTCTGTGACCTCCCCTCCCCGACCTGAAACCCCACCTGGGTCCATCTTCCTAAAAGTAAGGTATAGAAGGAAAGTGGAAACATTCCAGTAGAGAGGGAGTGGGCAGTACCCAGGTTTGGGGGCTCAGACCTCCCCTCTCCACAGCCCTTTCTCCCTCCACCCTCAGAACCAAATCCAGCCAGCTCTGCTTCACCTTCCCGCTCTGGAGTTAGGAAATCTCTGGCGCAGACACCCGCTGGATTCCTGTGCTGGGAACTGACGTCTGTGGCTGACAGCCCCTCCTCCCGGCACCAGCAGCCTGGGAACTCCCCGAAAGGCTCTGGCCCGTGTCCTTGCCTTCTTCCTGCCCCGGCCCCATTCCTCAGCCCAAGCTCCTACCTTCGTGGGGGCCAGCGAGCAGTCGGAAGTGCTGTGCCTCTTTCTGGAAGTCTTGCTTCCTGACTTTCTTGATCTGAGTCAAGTGGAAGATTCCTGAGGGCAGAGACAAGGATGTGAGCAGGCAAGGCAAAAACCTACAGTCGGTGAAAAGTGAAACAGGGTGACTTAGCACAGAACGGACCCAATCACTCCCTCCCCCACCCCATTCTGATCAGACACAAAATCCTGCTGATGACATTTCCTCAATATTTTGAATCCATTCTCCTATCTCTCTGCCACTATCCTCACTCAGGCCCCTGTTGTCTTGTCTGGGTCACTACACTAGAGTCCTAACCCCTTTCACTCCCCCTCTAATCTGCAATCCTAGCTCTGGTCATTAGAACATGTATACGTCACCCTGTCATTCCCCTTCCCTGACGTCCTGTCGCCTCCACAGTGAAGCCTGTTTTCTTCTGTCTGTTCTCTTTGCTGATCCTGCTCCTGTCACCTGCACCATCCTGCTCTCACAACACCCACCTGTCCCCAGTGCAGGGAGGGAGGGAAGTGGAAGGCAGGAGGGAGAGGAGGAAGAAAGGAAAGAGAAGGAGGGAAAAAGGAAAGGAGGGCAGGAAGGGAGGAAGGAAGGTTGGCTGGCTCATGTGAACTGGTCACGCTTTTCTCAGGGCATAGAACATATGATAAAAATCAATAGGTGTGTTTATTCAGATACCAAAGAACTAGCAAGTGGCAGAGTTACAGTGGCTTGCCTGTGCCCTAGCCCTAACCAAGTACTTGACGTCCCCTGAGGAGGCCAAGCCTTTTCAAATGCCGTTCCCTCTGCTGGAATATCTTCTACTATTGCCTTCTATTTCTACTTTTTTTTCTTTTTTTTTTTTTTTGACGGAGTTTCACTCTTGTTGCCCAGGCTGAAGTACAATGGTATGATCTCAGCTCACTGCAACTTCTGCCTCCCGGGTTCAAGCGATTCTCCTGCCTCAGCCTCCTGAGTAGCTTGGATTACAGGTGCCCGCCACCACACCTGGCTAATTTTTTTTTTTTTTTGTATTTTTAGTAGAGACTGGGTTTTAGCATGTAAGCCATGCTAAACTCCTGACCTCAAATGATCCACCTGCCTTGGCCTCCCAAAGCACAAGCTGGGATTACAGGCGTGAGCCACTGCACCTGGCCACGACTTCTACTATTAGCACCAAATGAACTCCTACCTGTGCTCCAAGCCTTAGCTGGGAAGTCTTCCCTAATCCACCCGAGGCAATTCCTCCTTGGGGCACCCACAGCACCTGGCTTCCATCTGTGATTGTGCCTGTTTCTAATGTGCTCTCATTGTGTCTACTCCTGCTTCCTCTACCAGACTGGGGACTCCCAGAGGGCTCTCCTCTCTGGGTCCCTTGAGCCTGGCCCACATTTGGCATGTAGAATGAATGAATCCCTGGATGGATGGATGGATGGATGGATGGATAGATAGATGAACAAATACACACACACACACACACACACACACACACACACACACACACACACCCCACATACCCAGTCTAGGCCAGGCCCCAAGGGGGAATGAGGTATTAGCTGGATCCCCTGATGTTTGCATCTCATGGGGTGCTGGCCACTGGCACCACACATGGCTCTGAGGCCCTGAGCACATGGGCTGTGAGGCTGCACCAGCTGTTACCCACCAAGGTCTCTGGCCAGAAAGAACAGATGCAACCAGCAAGGCCTCTGCTAGGCCAGCACTGCCTTTAAGAAGACCAAGAACTGGCCCTGCTTATGGGAATCAGCGTGGGATTACCGCCAAGGGGAACAGAAAACCCTAATCCTGGGACTGAGTTCCAGGAATCAGGAAATGTCCAGCACTGTCCATGGACCCCCCCAGCCCAGATGCCAAGGACCAGGATATGGAAGAAACTCCAAAGGCCCAGGGATTATATCATAGCGGCAGGCAACAAGCATGAGATGAGATGGGGATGGGTCCTTCGGCACAGGCCTGCCACTGCATGCTCCCGAGTTACAGAAAAATTGGAGAGAAGGTGGCAGGGATGAGGGCGGGTTCCCACACTGTGGTCTGTAAAGCATTAAAGCATAATTGAAAGGACTGGGTCTCTGGCCTGGAATCAAGAGCTAGCCTGAGGGTCATGGTTGTGCCTCTTGCCCTTTGAAGGGCTGTGGCAGGTCTGAGGGCAGGTAGGCTCTGTGGATCCTCAAAGCAGAGCTGGCACCAATGGGCAAGTCCAGGGACACAGGATAGGCTCAGCTCAGTGTGAAGTCAGATGCCCTTTGGGCTGAGCAATTCACAGTGTTGGAAGTGTGTCACCTATCTGGAGTAGGAGTGGGGGTATGTACAGTCAGGTGCCAGATACCATCAAGCCATCAGGAGGCTGCAGGGGGGCTTCCTTCCTAGACAGGGCTTGGAATTGAGACCCCGACATCCTTTCTACTGTGAAACTTTAGAATCTAAAAGGCCCTTAACCCTAAGCCAACTATCTGGTTAGATTCCTGTGTCTGGGGCTGGCCCCTCGTGGTGTGGCCTCACCTAGCATCTGCCTGCTCACTTTGTTTCCGTTCCTTGGACTGGGGAAACAGTGAGTGGTTCCCACTGACAATCAACCCTGGGTAGTGTTTGTTTTAACTCCCACGGTCTGGGACAGGGAGGGAACAGGGAGGCTGATGGGGCATTTAGGCAACCCACAGGGTGAGGAGATGGGGTGCGGTTTGCTAGTGACAGGATGGCAGGGCCTGGCATTGTGAAGTTGTTTTTCCTTTTCTGCTGGGCCTGGTGACAATGAGATTGGCCATGAGCTATGCCCCCACTGTGCCATCCTGGCACACCTTGGCCATCCTCCCTAAAAGCACGAGGTCACCTCTGTGGAGGTGGCACTGGGGACAGTCAGAGCTGGATTTGAATCTTTGCTTTACTGCTTAAACTGTGTGACTTTGAGTAAGTCATTTGACCTCTCAGACTCAGTTTTCTTACCTGCAAAATGGGGGCATTAATACGTGCCCCTTAGGTTTCTTAAGAGGATTAAATGAGATACATTATACATAGTGCCTGCTACACACCAATCACAGAGCACAGGGCATATGGGCGTGAGCTCTGGAGCCAGCGTTTGAGGCTCTCACTGTCATCCTGGCTGCAGTGTACCCTTTTTGCCTCTTTATTTATTTACTTACTTATTTTAATTTTTAGTGACACTATCTGTTCATTGGCTCTTTACATCATTGAGGCCCATCCTTCACGAAGCCTTCCCTGACCAGCTCAGCTCCCAATAAGCTCCACTGCACCCAGGTCACTAAGCCTCCTAAGGACAGAGGCTGGGGCCTATTATGCTCCATGTCCCGGCACTTAGTTGGGGGCAGCGGAGAGAGAGAGGCCCAGAGTAAACATGTGGCCAAAACCTGCCCAGGGACTGATGGAATCTTTTTTTTATTATTATTATTATTATTATTTTTTTTTTTTTGAGACGGAGTCTCACTCTGTCACCCAGGCTGGAGTGCAGTGGCACGATCTTAGCTCACTGCAACCTCCTGGGCTCAAGTGATTCTCCTTCCTCAGCCTCCTGAGTAGCTGGGATTACAGGCGCCCACCACTATGCCTGGCTAATTTTTGTATTTTTAGTAAAGATGGGGTTTCACCATGTTGGCCAGGCTGGTCTCAAACTCCTGGGCTCAAGCGATCGCCCACCTTGGCCTCCCAAAGTGCTGGGATTACAGGTGTGAGCCACCAGGCCCAGCTGGGACTGATGGAATCTTAAGGCTCAAAAAATTTTAAGGGTTACTGAATCTAACTCCCCAGCTGCAGACGGAATCCCCACCAGCCCCTGCTTGCACGCTTCTCGTAAGTGGAGCTTGCTCCCTCCCTTCCACTGGCAGAAGCCTCTAAGTGTGACAAAGTTCTTCTTCTCTTGGAGCTGAAAGCTGCCTCTCTGCATTTCTCACCAACCTGATATGGTGGAATGAGAAGACTGATATTTTTAGTGCCTCGTGTATGTCAGGGGCTGCACCGATGTCATGTCATTTAATCCTCTAAAAACCCTCTTCCCCACTCTACAGAAGAGAAAACTGAGGCCCAGAGAGATCATGTGACTGCCCAAGGCCACACAGCTAAGATATAGCAGAGTCTGGATTCAAACTGGCAGAGTTAGGATTCGAACCCAAAGCCCCTGCTTGTTGTTTGACTCTTGCGGTCACTCAGAACACAGCTGCTCCCTCTGCCTGGGACAGCCCTTCAGAGCCACGAAGCCAGCAGTCCTGTCCCCCTGAGTCTTCTCTTCTCCAGGCTGAACAGCTCCACTTTCTTCGTCCATTCCTCCTACGACAGGGGGCAGAGTAGAGCAGGGAAAGAGCCGCATCTGACGCCACAAGACATGGGCTCTAGCTCCCGTCCTCCACTTACTGGCTGTGTGGCCTTGGGCCAGGTACTTCACCTCTCTGAGCCTCAGTTTCCTCATCTGTAAAATGGGGATAATAATATCTAACTCTCAGGATCGTTGAGGATCAAATGAGATAGTGAATGTGAAAGCACTTTGTAAACTCCAAAGTGCTACACACATTGGTTATTATTATCATTGTCATTTTTCTTATCATCATTCCCTCTTCCACCCCCACCCCGCCAGCCAAAACCATCAGTAGAGGAAAGGAACTTTAGAGCTAATTCACACTTAAAAGAGTTTAATTTGGATCATGGCTTAACAGTTCACTCTACCCAGAGGACTTATGTTTTACAAGAAAGGCCACGAAACTGAACTTTCAGCAATTTCCTTATCGATGAAAACCTGCTGGGTGTCGTGGCTCACGCCTGTAATCCCAGCACTTTGGGAGGCTGATGCCGGAGGATTGCTTGAGTCCAGGAGTTCCAGACTAGCCTGGGCAACATGGCAAAACCCCATCTCTACAAAAAAAATACAAAAATTAGCTGGGCGTGGTGGCTCATAACTGTGGTCCCAGCTACTCAGGAGGCTGAGATGGGAGGATCGTTTGAGCCCAGGAGAATGAGGTTGCAGTGGAGCCGAGATCATGCCACTGCACTCCAGCCTGGGTGACTGAGACCCTGTCTCAAAAAAAAAAAAAAAGTAGAAAAAACTCCTCTTGACCTTCAGTTGGTGATAGCAGCAGATTGTTGAAGAGGGTGGGTTTCTCACAGAATGAGAACTGTGGTTCTGATGTCCACTTACCTGGGAGTGATAAGATCCACCACCTTAAAAAGGCTGAACACAGCCAGCCTCCAGGCCCTCCTACTCTGAGGATGCTGTGAGGGCCCTCCTGCCTGAGAAGACCCCCGCTCCCAGTGCTAAAATCCTGCCATTAGACATCTGTCTATTTCTCCCTGCCTGGCTCCTCACAAGGTGCAACAGCGCCTTCCCCCCAGGAGAGGGAGCACTATCGAGCCTTGGCATTAGCAGGAGGAGCTTATCAGAATTGTAGAGAACCAGTCAGGCTCACTATCTTCCTGCATCTTGGAATCAGGGGCTCTTAAACCTGGCGGGGCAGCCAGAGGCACCTGATCAGCAAAACGTCCCTAAGGCCCCTGTGGGGTCTGGGGCACGGGAAGGGGGACTGGCCAGAGGTACACCCCACTGGGAGTGGGCCAGCACTCACCTTTTACCAGCTTCCAGAGGTAGATCTCCACCAAGTCCGAGGCCTCGTGTTCCAGGGCAAAGCGACGCAGGTTGTCTGGGCTTGGGGATACCGATGTGTGGACGAGGACCCGGCCCGGTGCCTTGGGACACCTGGTAGAACTGATCTCACTGTGGCCAGGGTCTGCTTTGTCCTCTGGAGAGACAAGAAGCTCATGAAGTGTTCAATAAACGTTGGCTGTACCTCTTCAAAGCTCTAATATTCTAAAATGTTGTGACTTCATGGAATCCGGAACATTACTGATTCTATGTTAACAACCTCTGAATCTATTATCCTGACACCGCATGGTTCTATCCATTTAATATTTTCATCTGACATTTTCCACTCCTGTGTGTCTGACATGCCCTGCATCCTGTGGCACCGATGCATGCCCTTCCATGTCTGAGATGCTCCAAGTGTCTGTGGCCCTGGGGAGAGAGACCCAGGGCTCACTCTGGCCAGCGCCCTCCTTGCTCCCAGTGCCCCTGTGTACCTGGGCAAATCTTGCAGCACTTCCCAGCCACTTTCTCGGGGTGACGGCAGGGGTACTCGGTGGGACAGGTCACACGCTGGCAGTCCTGGCGGCCATCCTCACAGGTGCATAGGATGCAGGGCAAGGGGCCGAAGGCACGGAAGGCCGGGTGCCACACCTCCCCGTGGGAGTACGTCTTCCCGCCATGCACACAGGCTGAATAAGGAGGGTGAGAAGGAAGGAGGATCAGGGCCTCAGACCTGGCCAGGGCCTCTGGTCCAGCAGCGGGTGGGGTGGGCCCTTGGGGAGCCCTCACTTTACCAGTCCTGCCTAGCCACACTGCCTGCAAAGCATAGGCCAGGGTATAAAACCTGTCCCCTCTCCCTGACACTGCCCACTGCAGCACTCAGAGCTGAGATGGGCCCAGAAGGAACTTACTGAAGATGAAGAGTCCTCCCTCACCCTTCAGGGCACTTCTGCGGGAGCAAGGAGAGTGCTGATCTTGTGGTAGGAGAACTGAGGTCAACTTTCGTCATCACCTGGTCATGTGAGCCCTGGCAGGTCCCTTTCCCCCCTCTGCCTCAGTGTCCCATCTGAACAAGGCAGGGCCAGGACTCAGTAGCCCCATAGCTCTTCCTTCTCCAGCCATCAGGGCACCCTGCAAGGAGGTCTCTTTTCTCCCCTTCTGTGGCCATGGCTGCCCATCTGGCCACCTTCTCTACTTCATCCCCACTGTCCTCCTGCAGCCTCGCTCTGCTCCCTCCTTCCTTTGTCAAAAACTGTCCCTCAGCACACTTCCTTATATTAAAGTCATTTATTTACTTGTCTGTCTTCCCAACTAGTCTATGAGCCCCTCAAGGGCAGAGACCATTTTCCATTTCCCATCTATCTGTTCTGTCTGCCCCTCTTCCCAGCAAAGACTCGGTAGATGCTAAAAAAAATCTTGTACTGTTCCAGAACTAGTTGTCTCTTACTCAATACTCTGAACCTCAGTGTCCTCATCTGTCAAATGGGGGTTTGAACCTGATGATCTTTAAGAGCACCCTCATTCAGTTTTGGCGTTCTCCGAGTCTACAAGCTCATGGCCAAGTTGGAATTAGGGAACTGCTGAGGAGAGGGTTCAGGGGGTTGGGGGTGGGAGGTGGGAGCAGTCAGGGCCCCCCTTCCCTGCCTCACAGATTGGAGGAGGGTCCAGTCCCCACCTTTCTTATGTTTCTCCTTCAGGACGATCTTGACAGTTGTGCTGCCTGCTCCCTTGGGTCTGAAGTGGCGAGGGATGAAGCTCAGAGGGGCGCTGAGGCCAGTGGGGGCTGGGGTGCCCGGGCCTCTCTTTCTCCCAGCATCACTGGAACATGGATCCTGAGGATGTCTCTGCAAATGGCAGGAAGGATGAAAGTCACTGACTGAGCATAGCAGGCCCCAGCTGGAGCCAGAACAGCAAGACAGGCTGCAGCAAGAGGCTGTGGGGAGACCCCAGCATGACTTCCCAGAGAAGAGAAGGTAGAGACCAGGGATAGAAAGATCTGGATGAGGTCTAAGATGTTTTCAGACAGTTCGATCTTTGAAAACTCTCAGAGGATAGTGATTTGGAAATCTGGCCTCCACGAAGCCCTTCTTGGGCCTTGTCAGAGCCAGGGGCCTTGGGGTTGGGGTGGGCAGAGGGTGCTGAGGTCTTGATCTGACAGACGTAACTGATCAGGGAGAACTTCATATTTGGGAAACAGAAGGTGAGCATGCAGTGAGGATGCACGGCAGGCAGTTCTCCTTTGCGGAGATTTAGTTGGTGGCTGGACAAGGGGATGGCCCTCTGAAGATGGCATCAGGCAGGCCCCAGAATCCCATGGGGCGTGAAGACCAAGAGCAGGCCCCATCCAGAGACAAAGGGTCTCTGAAGCTTAGGCTCTCTTTCCTGAACCCCTGGGATCCAAAACCCCCAGACCCTGTCCCTCCAGACCAGGTCTTGAGAGGGCTGTCAGTGACAGCAATAGGAGTGTGGCGAGGACAGCTCAGAGTTTGGGGACTGGGCAGCTCCCGGCCACAGGAGAGGAGCAAGTGGGCTTGGGGCAGGGACCAGAGCCTATTACCTCCCTCGCTGACCTGGAGCCACACACATTCCTTCTTCTAGAGCCCATTCCTGCCTGGTACAGTCCCTGCATCAGTTCTCCGATGGCCCAGAGCCTGAGCTCACAAGAGCTCCCAGAGTGGAAACTGTCCCAGGCCCCAGCACGGGCTCAGGCAGATAGGACACTCCTGGGAGATGTGTGTTGAGTGGAATAAAGGCAAGAGGGAATCAAACAGCTCAGTCTCCTAATGCTTGCTCCAGTCACCCAGCCCGTCAGTAAGTAGCTGATCAGAGCCTGGAACTCAGCCTGGGTGGGTTTCACTTACGCACTGCCTCCTAGGAAGAGGACAGGAAGGAAAGTGGAGGGAATGGCTTAGGTCCTGTGGTACCCTCAGCTCTCAGGTCTCAGGCCCCCACCTGAGAAGGCCTTGCCTGGGTGGGGAGGGCAGCAGGATGAGCTGGCAGAGGAGAAGGGTGTGGACATGGGCTCAGGCTTCTGGGGAATCTCTGGGAAGGGGAGGCAGCCTCTAGTCTCCCGGAGACCAGGAGACCCAGGCTGAAATAGCAGGTGGAGTTGTTCATGTGGCAGACATAGCAGAGAGGACCCATCAGGGACTTGAATCAATGTGTGATTCTCTATCTCCTTCCTCTCAGATCAGAGACAGCTGTCCAGCTAAGCCCATCTTAACCTAGACCAAGCTTGAGAGGGGCCAAGATACAGGGGGGTACAGAGAGGCAGGCTCTAAAGAGCCAGTACCTCAGGAACTGGGTGGGGAAGGCTGGCCCAAGTTAGAGGCCATTCCCTGGGAAGAAGGTTGCCTGAATTAAGGGGAGACACAGGCTGTAGATGGAACAGTGTCAAAGTGTTTCTCAAGAGGAAAGTGAGGAAGTTTGGGGCCTGCTGCTGCCCTGCGTGGTGACCTGTTTCCCCCAGGCCACTCCTTATCCATCAACCATGATGGGACCCATGATGGGAGGCTAGGGAGAGGGGCTGGAATATAGTGGATGTTCATGTAGCCAACCCAGGGGACAAACAAGAAATGAGGACAATAACTGGTATTGCCTGCCCCAGAGTCACGAGATTTAGGCCCTGGATCCCAGCCCCCTGTCCCGCACCCCGTCAATAAGGCCGTGCACTCACCACCCCATGGAGCGACTGCACACTGTCCTCTTCATCCGATTGCTCACTTGCCTCATCTGAAAACTCAAAGGGAAGCTGGGTCAGCCTCAGGCTCCCCAGCCTTGCTGGCTAGAGCCCTGAGGCCTCCACCTATAGGCTCTGTCCATTCCCAAGGCCTGCTGTCCCATCTGCAGCCCCAGCCCACTAGCCAGCTCCTTTGCCCCAGTGGGGACTTCTTCCACTTCCCATTACAGCCTCTCTTCATCCTGGTTGGGTTGATGAAGTCCCCTACAACTGGGTTGCTGCCTCAGTTTCCCTGTACTGACCTCCTGGTAACCATTAGGACTGAAGTCCTTGAAACAGAGCATCTTGTTTGGTCCTTACTGAAACTCACCTCTCTGGGACACTGGGCCATACCTTTCAGTATTTACCATGGATGGCCCAAAGGCCCAGAATCCCATCCCTGCAGCCTGCATAGATGCAGTTTCCTGGGCAGCCACACTTGAAGTCAGCAGGCCTTGGTTTACACTCCCAGGACCCTACACTCCAGCCCCTTCGCCCCTCCAGCCTGAGCACCCTGCCAGTCCCTATTCCCCTGGGAAACCAGCACACAAAGCCGTTTGGAGCCCTGCAGCTTCCTAAACCCGAGTGGGCCTCTCTCTCCCTATCTCTTGCCTCACTCCACAGTCTGATTCCCACCAATCATTCCCGTTTCAAAGACCCAGAACATTGGAATTAGACTGTGTTAGAAATCACAGGGCACAACTGAGGCCCAGAGAAGGGAAGGAATTTATGGAGTTAGCTGGAAGAACCAGGACTAAACTGGAGTCACCTGATTCCTAGTCCAGTGCTCCTTCCAAAATGCAAACATCTGGGGATGCATCCACTGTGGAGCACTCCCCTACCTGAGTGCCACCTCCTCCAGGAGGCTTTCCTTGACTACCTCAGCCTGCAGGGAACAGTCCGACCATTTCATTCTGCTCACGCTTAGCCTGCCCTTTGCTAGCTGATGTGTTGCCTCCCTGCTTTATAAGAGGTTCTACCTGGGTTCTGTATAAAAGACATGTTCTGAGCCCTGGTGAGCCCAATACTGTGACCAGCTCTGCCGTCAGGAAGGCAGGATGAGACGTAGTCCTTACCTGTACTAGACCCCTCTCACGTGCCACTTATGGTTCTCTCAGCTCATCTGCTTGCAGGGACTTTGTCCCCCCATGGCAGGCACTGCAGCAGCAGCCCCCCTGCACGGGCTCCCCAACACTTCCCTCAGGCTCAGCCTCACAGTGCCCCTCCCTCAAGCCCGCAGCTCCTGTCCACATCCCCTGCGCCCACTCCTTACCCCAGCCCACTCCTGCCTCTGCTCCCAGGGCTACTTAGCACCCACCCATGCATGCACAGCAGGGAAGTCCCACACATGGATGAGCTTTGGGCTCAATGGAGAGATAGTTGGTGGCTGGTGGACACATTCTTACTGCTTCCTCTACCACGCCCAGACTTTTCTGAGAAGCAGAGACTACTTAGAGCAATAGGTCACTTTTGCTTGGTTAGCAAGCAGAGGCCAGCCCCTGGACATATTCCTGTATTGCTTCTCTCTCTTTACCTTCTTCACTCTGCCTTTCCCTCTTTCCTCCCCCAATGACTGCAATAAAAATAAGTAACACATCAGCTTCTGCCAGGCTCTGCTTTCTGGGGGGTGCAGGCTAAGCCACACCCTGGAGGAAAGAGCCGTCTGCTACATGCTGGGTGTCACCTGCAGTTCCTCACGGCTCTCACAGTCCATGGCTAGGCCCATGGAGTGGAGGGGTGGGTGAGTGCTGCCAGATGGAGGGACAGACTCACCTTTGCAGGCCTGGCAGCAGGAGTCTGGCAGCGGGAGGGGTGCTGGGCAGCCTGGTTCGGGGCAGGTTGTGAGGCCGCAGTAGATCTGGCCCTCCTGACAGATAGAGCAAACCAGCTGGGAAATGAGCTCTGATAAGGGCTAGCCTTGGGGGCTAGGAACACCCCCTTCCCTGGGAGCAAATGGCCTTGAGGTCTCTCCTATGGTGGGGAGGGGAAGCAACAGCATCTCCACAGCAAGGCCCGGCCAGCTCAGAGGAGGGGTCCCCCGTGCCCTCCCAGCCCCACTTCCAGGCCCTGCAGGTAACATCCAGCCTTCAGCTTCTGACTCACTCACAGCCAGGCTGTCCCTAGCTGCTGCCTGGTAAGGCGGGAATCTCCCTATCCTACAAATGAGGAGCCGGAGCGGGGCCTGAGCCATCTCAGGTTAGAAAGACAGTTGGGGCCCAGTCTTCAAGCTTTTCCCACTGAAATCAACATCATGGGAGGGGGACAGGTGGGTGATACCTGGGCTCATCTTGCTCTTTACTGAAAGCCCTTGGTTTCCAACTTTGGGATCCAGCCTTGAAAGGCAAGACTGCAGGGGAAGGGGCCTTCTGGGGGTCAGGGGCCAGGTGACCATTGGTGGTCACTTCTTTCCTCTGGGCCTGAGATTCCTCCTCTGTGAAGTGGGGTCACACCCATTTGGGGTGTGAAGATCCAGTGAGGGAATGGCTGTGAAAAGCACAAGGCACAACGTGCCTGGGGGGAAGCACTATTGCCCTGAGACCTTTCCCTGTTCCCTTTCCAGAGGGTCTGAGAAGTGAGTGTTCCGGTCCCTCGGGTGAGGCCAGAAGAAAAGCCAGCCTCATATAATCAGGGATGAGAAGGAAGAAGGGGAGGCCCAAGTACCCAGGGAGAATGAACAGAGGAATCCTGGGAATGCTCTCACCACCCACCACCCAGCATTTCTGTCTCTCGCCACAGCCCCCTCCTCATCCAGGCCTCATCCCTTCAGGGGAGGCAGCAGGACACAGGGAAAAGAACATTGGCTTTGGAGCCAGGTGGCCTTGGGTCTGAATTCTGGCTCTGTCACTTACTAGCTGTGTGATCTCAGGCAAGTCACTTAACTATTCTGAGCCCGTTTCCTCATCTGGAAAACAGAAATAGTGATATCCTTCTCCTAGGGTCATTCGGGTACTGTCTATAAACCAGGCATTTCTATGAACCTGGTGACACAACAGACTAGACCACTGCAAAAGGCTCACACCCTGCAAAAGGTAATTGCTTACTAGGTTGATTTATAAGTAGTCACTCCTCATTATTTGCAGGCTGTTTGCTCTGCAGCACAGAAACTTTAAGATTCAAAGACTCAGACTGATGGGACCCTGTCACTGAAAAGATAGGGAGGCAGGCCCAAAAGAAGTGACTTGTTTGAGGTCACACAGGGAACTGGGACAGTGCTGGAGATCAAACACAGGTTTCTGATACTAGTCTGGAGAGAACATTAATGATCACTTGGTCAGACTCCCTTACGCACTCAGAGGAACTGAGGCCCAAGTGTGGTGATCAGGTAGTAAATAAATCGGGAGGGCAGGGACTTCTCCTGCCAATTCACGGATGAGTTGCCAAGCCCAGGGTTAAAAATGACATGCTGGGCTGGGCGCGGTGGCTCACGCCTGTAATCCCAGCACTTTGGGAGGCCGAGGCGGGCAGATCACGAGGTCAGGAGATCGAGACCATCCTGGCTAACACGGTGAAACCCCGACTCTACTAAAAATACAAAAAATTAGCTGGGCGTGGTGGTGGGCGCCTGTAGTCCCAGCTACTCGGGAGTCTGAGGCAGGAGAATGGCATGAACCCGGGAGGCGGAGCTTGCAGTGAGCCGAGATCACGCCACTACACTCCGGCCTGGGTGAAAGAGCAAGACTCCGTCTCAAAAAAAAAAAAAAAAAATGACACGCGGAAAGCCACCTGCAAACCTATAGGAAGGCCATGCCTACACCCCAGTTCCCTTACAAGGAGGAGGCTGAAGACTTTCCAGAGGAGGCCCTGCTTAGCTTCAGTCTCTGTCCCATGATAACACTGCCGAGTCAGCCCTGCCTGCCCGGAGGTCCAGCTCTAACAATAGGCAGGAGGAGTTTAAGTAGCTTCAGATTAATTTCCATTTGCTACAGATAATCTGGCCCTGTCTCTGTCCCCCAGGACTGATAACTGATCATTTGCGTATTCATTCTCTCATTCAATAATCATTACAGATGTCTTTTGTGCTTTAGGCCCTGGACTGACAGCAGAGGATAAAGAAATGAAAAACATATGTTTCCTCCCCTCAAGGAATGCAGCGTCTACTGGGGGAAACAGAAGGCTCAGGAAGGTGTGGAAGCTCAGAGAATGGTCACCTGACCCAGCTAGGGACAGGACATTCCAAACCCCAGATATTCCCTTTCCCCTGAGCCCATTCATTTTGCTTTGGCCAGGAGGAACAATCCCCCCAGTCCGCAGTCCAGGCTACTATGTTCTTTGCAGGCCCAGAGCGCTGGCCTGTGCTGAAGGGAAGGCAGGAGTTCTTACTGTGCAGCTGCAGAGGACACACTGGTTGGGCAGGCGGGAGGGGAACAGCTCATGGGCACTGAAGATCTCTCCGTGTTGGTACATGGTCCCGTTGTGCTGGCAGGACTTTGGTGGGGCCCGGAGTCCAGAGGGAGTGTGAGGTTCTGCAGTGGGGGAGGGGCAGGAGGAAGAAGAAAATGAGGTTTCATGTGAATCTTTGCTGAAATTAACAAGGCCACTTTTCTGATGATTTTGCATTTGACCCCAGCTTGATATTTAAACCAAGCTCTGGCCTGGGCCTTGCCAGCCATTCCCCTTATCAGCTAACTAAGAGGTCCCTCTGATACCTACATCTGACTGAGTCCCTCCCTCCCATGACCTCTACCACAGCCCTCCAGCCCCCTCAGTGTCTGGGCCAGCCCCAACCAGAGCAAGAAGGTAAAGCCGGCAGCCTCAGCTTCCGCTCAGTGGGGCCCGAGTTAGTTCATCCAGCATTTAATGAGGGTTCATGGAGCACTTCTCAGTGCCAGGCACTGTTCTAGGTGCTGGGGATACAGCAGTGAGCAAAAGAGTCCCTGCCCTCACAGGGTTACATTCTAGTGGTGCCAGCTGGCATGATTGTCCCTGTGCTTGGGTAAACTCCTGTCATTCACTGGCCCCCAGAGCCCCCCTCCCCATCACCTGCCCATCAGTCCGTCCTCATCCTGCCAGGTGGAGGGGTAAGCCTCTGGTCCTGAGAGAGCCCACTCATTCATTCAAGACCCCTTGACTAAGCACTCCTCTGTTCTACGCACCATGCTAGGCATTGGGAATGGAGCAATGAGTAAGATTTAGCCCTTGCCACCAAGAAACTCAGACTCAAAAATTACGGGTGAGGTGGCTCACGCCTATAATCCCAGCACTTTGGGAGGCTGAGGTGGGAGGATCACTTGACTCTAGGAGTTCGAGACTGGCCTGGGCAACATTTTTTAAATTTTTTTTCCTTTTTTTCTTTTTTTTTTGAGAGAGGGTCCTGCTCTGTCACCAGGCTGGAGTGCAGTGGCACGATCTCAGCTCACTGCAACCTCCACCTCCCAGCTTCAAGCAATTCTCCTGCCTCAGCCTCCTGAGTAGCTGGGACTGCAGGCACATGCCACCATATCCAGCTAATTTTTTTGTATTTTTAGTAGAGATGGCGTTTCACCATGTTGGCCAGGATGGTCTCAATCTCTTGACCTTGTGATCCGCCCGCCTCGGCCTCCCAAAGTGCTGGGATTACAGATACAAGCCACCGTGACTGGCCAGAACTTTTTTTTTAATTTTTAAAAAAGAAGTTTGAAATCTAATTAGGCAGAAAGACAAGCCACAAGCAATGATGCTGTAGCAGGTGAGGGCTAGGGTGGATGGAAGCACAGAAGTTGTGACAGCAGAGAGGAGGAGCCTCTAACTCAGCCGGGGAGGAATGGCCAGGGAAGGCTTCCTGAAGGGCCGATGGCATGGCAACGGTGAGCAGAGTCTTGAAGAACTGTGGAGCCAAGCAGGCACAGGGGCAGGGGATGGGAAGAGAGAGGGAGTGAAGAGTGTTTTAGCAACAAGAGGCCTGGGCCAAGCACAGGGGAAAATCCCAAAGTCAGCAAGGAGAGGTGAGGCCCCCCAGAGTCGGCATCAGACATGAGGACACTCCCTCACTGTGCAGGATGAAGCTGAGAGCCACTGTCCCCCCGGGGACCCACAGCCAGGAATCTCTATGACCCATGTAGGGGCCACGAGTCAGATCCCTACTGGGCTCCCCCCTGGAAAATGAGCCCCACTCCATACCAGCTCACCAGGAAAGTCCTGATTCCAGAGCCCCGACCCGAGGCCAAAATCTGGAGCCTCTTCTTCACCACTTTCTTGATGCTTCTAAACATCAATTTTCCTCTCAACCTCCCCTCCCACCTCCAAGTTGGCCTCCCCTCTGGCTGCCCCTCACTGGACACTTGGTTTTGCCAGTTTCTTCCTAGACCACCTCTCCTTTCTCTGACTTCTTCTTCCTAGAATCTTATTCTCAGAGGCTCTTAGAATCTTAAAATCATGGAATCATAGACATTTAGCATCAGGACACATAGAGTCCCTGAATCTCAGCAGTGGGAGGAATCTCAGAGAACAGGGCCTGACTCCTTTAGTCCTTCTGAGCTCCCCCAGTGGTAATTCTGGGGTCTCCCCTTAGGACCTTCAAGCCCAAGATCACTCACCTTCACTTCCCAGACTGCGCCCACACCCTCCAGCTCTGGAAGGCCCAAGGGAGACTGGAGCCTAAGTGTGCCAGTCAGCAGCCCAAGCAAGGCCCTGTTTCCTGCAGCTCCTTTCTGCATGTCCTCCCTCCCCTGCCATGCACACCTACTTAAGGACATGAAGTCTCTGCTACCCCAGCACTGCCTGGGGATCTGGGATATTTCCTCCCTTGAGCACCTTTGTGTGTCTACACCTCTGATGGGTAGAGACTGCCCCTCTCCTTGCAGGGGTCTCCCTCAGCTAGAGGGCTACACTGGGAGTAGGAGAAAGGTCCATGGACGATGGGGAGGAGCATGGCTACTTACCCACACACTTGGGACAGCATTGCTGTGGCTCCGTCACAGGCTGGGGGCAGTGGACAGGCGGACAGTGGAGGCGGTAACAACTCACATGGGCGCCCTGAAGGGGACACAAGGGTCAGCCCTGGTTCAAAGAACCATCGTCTTCCACCTGTACCTGTCCTTTCCCAAAACTCCCACCCCAACTGCAGAAGTCTGAACTTGTCGTAAGCCTGTGATTGGACTGAAAACAATTAAGTGTGCCCGGTTCCTCCCCATTCCTGCCCACCAAGGGGATCTCACTTGGCCCACATATCCATGTGCCTCCCCTACCCTGAAGGAGGTCAGTTCTGGTCATGGACTTGCTTAAACACTGTCCCCTTCCCAGAGAAAGACATGTAAGCCTAGAGTTGTTTGACATTGATCTTGATGCTTTGACTGCACTATTTTAACTCTAGGGCTTGGTCCTTTTAACTCTGGGCCTGAGCCTTGTGGTCAAGAAAGGAATGAAACATGAGGACAGGTGACTGGGAGGGGGTGTGAGACTGAAAACCTCATGTGGAGAAGACGGATGGCTTTATGATCCACCCCCTAAATCTCTGGGAGGTTTGGGTAATCCTGGACAAAGCCTTTGGAGTTGGCACCAGAGAAGGAGGGGCCTGAAGTTCCTTCTCTTTTTTAAGCATAGCAAGCGAGAGAATTGGGCAGGCGAACATACGCAGAGAGAGACAAGCAGAAACCGAGGCAGAGTGGCCACCACCCCTCGTGGGGGTCTTCCCAGCTCTCCAGGCAGTTTTTTTTTTGGCCCCTCAGCCTTCCCGCACCTTGTTCTTCACTCTGTTACAAGGGTCACTCTGCTGCATTGTGATGAACCATTTACACCTGTGTCACCGATTCAACCACGAATTCCAAAGAATGGGGCCTTGCTCCAAGTTAGTGGCTGCTGGAGTCTGAATGGATGCATGAGTGAGTGAATAAATGAGAGTAAGGAAAGGAGGGGTTGATGGTCCTCTCCTAGATGAAGGAAGCCCGCTTTGTTCACAATTCTGAAGTTGGCGAAGTTTGTTTCTAGCCCCGCTTCTCCCCCTGGTTCCTTCCTCCTGCCCTCTCCCTGGACCTGAGTTCCCTGATAGCACTTCTCCCAGAGGCAGCCTCTTGCCCCATGGAAGACCCTTGACTGGCCCTACGCCTTCTGGGGTCACTGCTTCCCAAGATGGCCAGAGGTAATCGCGAGAACTAGTCAGTGTTAAGGGGAATCCCAGAGTCCACAGAATTGGTCTGAGCTCTAATAGGGGCCTTCTAGAGGCCCAACGCACATGGGTGCTTAATAAATGTCTAGAGGATAAACCAGACACTAGACATCTGAGGTTCCCAGATGAGAAACTAGGATGGAGTGCAAGGGACTGTGTGGCCTGAAGAGTTAGAATCGGTCTCTTGATTCTGGCCTCGAAGGAGCCAAGGATGGCGATGATTATTAGCACCACGAAGCAGGAAACAGGATGGAGACAGGTTAGCGGTGAAAGGGCAGGTGAGGCACCTGGAAAAGCCCTTTGCAGTCACAGGGAACTTCTCAGGAAAGTCATAGCCTCCATTTATTGAGTGGCTACTGAGGTAGGGCCTTTACGTTATATAAAAATCATCCCACTTCGTCTTCTCAACACCCCTAGAGGTAGATACTATACTATTAGTCACACTTTCTAAATGAGAAAAGAGCCTTGAAAGGTTAAGTTGCCTGAGATCACAAAGCATGTAAAAACTGTCACCAGGGCCCGTGTACTTTCCACGATGCTGAGCTGCCTCTGGTGGGTAGACGTGGACTCATTCACGCTCAATACTTGCTGCAGGTCTACTGGGTGCCAGGCCTTCTTCTGAGCACTAGGAATTAGTGGGACCAACAAGGTTTCTGCCCTCCCGGAGCTCACATCCTAACAGTGAAAGATAGACTATTAAAGAAGTAAGCAAGGACCACGCACAGTGGCTCACGCCTGTAATCCCAGCACTTTGGGAGGCCGAGGTGGGAGGATCACTTGAGGTCAGGAGTTTGAGACCAGCCTGGCCAACATGGCAAAACCCCGTCTCTACTAAAAATACAAAAATTAGCCGGGCAGTAGTGGTGTGCCTGTAATCCCAGCTACTTGGGAGGCTGAGGCAGAAGTATTGCTTGAACCTGGGAGGCAGAGGTTACAGTGAGCCGAGATTACGACATGGCACTCCAGCCTGGGCGACAGAGCGAGACTCCAACTCAAAAAAAAAGAAAAAAGAAAAAGAAAAAAAAAAGTAAGCAAGTAGGAACAAGAAGATTTCAGATGTTAAATTTATGATATATAATAAAATAGAGGGCCTGGCGTGGTGGCTCACACCTGTAATCCCAGCACTTTGGGATGCCAAGGCGGGCAGATTGTTTGAGGTCAGGTGTTTGAGACCAGCCTGGACAACATGGTAAAACCCGTTTCTACTAAAAATACAAAAATTAGCCGGGCGTGGTGGTGCATGCCTATAATCCCAGCTACTCGGGAGGCTGACGCACGAGAATCACTTGAACTTGGGAGGCAGAGTTTGCAGTGAGCCGAGATCGTGCCACTGCACTACAGCCTGGGTGACAGAGCGAGACTCTGTCTCAAAATAAATAAATAAATAATAAATAAATAAATAGAGGAATATTATTTCATTAATAGGGGTAGACTGTTAGAAACAGCTGTCAGGGAAGGCTTTATAAGGAGGAAACATTTGTGTTATGAACTGGGAGATGAGAAGGAACTGTTCGTGAGAAGATCTGAGGGAAGAACATTCCAAGTGGAGGAAACAAGTTGGAATGAGGTTCAAGTGTTGGAAAAACCGACAGAGGTCAGTGTGGCTGCAGCAGAGTGAGCAGGTATGAAATGAAATTGGAGAATAAGGCCAGGCGTGGTGGCTCATGCCTGTAATCCCAGCACTTTGGGAGGCCAAAGAGGGCAGATCATGAGATCAAGAGATGGAGATCATCCTGGCCAACATGGTGAAACCCCATCTCTACTAAAAATATAAAAATTAGCTGGGCGTGGCAGCAGGTGCCTGTAGTCCCAGCTACTTGGGAGGCTGAGGCAGGAGCATCGCTTGAACCTGGGAGGCGGAGGTTGCAGTGAGCCAAGATTGCACCGCTGCACTCCAGCCTGGTAGCCTGGTGACAGCATGACTCCATCTCCAAAAAAAAAAAAAAAAAAAGAAAGAAAAGAAAAGAAATTGGAGAATAAGACAGAAGCAGAGCCCTCAGCGGGGAATTTGAATTTTACTTTAGGTCCAATGAAAAGCTATTAGAGGTTTTTTTTTTTCTTTTCTCTCTTTTTTTCCCTAAGTCAGAACATGACAATCAGCACACAGTCTCTGTATGTCTGTCAATGAGTTCATCATCTGTTACTGGAGGGTTTTAAGAGCAGAATGACATGATCAGTTTCATGCTGAGAAAAGACCATTCTCACAGGGCACAGTGGCTCACTCCTGTAATCCCAGCACTTTGGGAGGCTGAGGCAGGTGGGTTTCTCGAGCTCAGGAGTTTGAGACCAACCTGGGCAACCTGATGAAATCCTGTCTCTACAAAAAATAACAAAAATTAGCTGGGCATGGTGGCACACACCTGTGGTCCCAGCTACTCAGGTGGCTGAGGTGGGAGGATTGTCTGAGCCTGGGAAGTCAAGGCTGCAGTGAGCTGAGATCGCACCACTGCACTCCAGCCTGGGTGCCAGAGCGAGACCCTGTCTCAAACAAACAAACAAACAAAAAAAAAAAACCATTCTCACTGCCGCGTGGAGGATGGATTTAGGGGGGGAAACAGGAAGACCTGTTAGGAGGCTTGTGTGGCAGCCCAGGAAAGAGATGACAGATGATGGTGGCTTGGATTAGGGGGAGCAGTGATGGTGGAGAGAAGTGGAGGGATTGAGGGTATATTTTGCAGATACCAGCAAAAGTCCTCTGGGTTGAGGAAACTGTATGTGAACTCTGTGAAAGGAGAAATGAATTAACTCCAATGGCTCAAAAAACTTGGACTTTGTCAACTGGACCACATGATATGTCTGGAATTTTCTGTTATGATTTCCTTTCTGTTCTCTGGCTATATTTCATAAAGTCCTTCTTGAAAAGGCTGATTGGCCTCAGATGTGCTAAGGCAAACCGAGGGGAGGCAGTCATGGTGGGGGTTGTGTCCCCATTTCTACTTGGGGCCAACACGGTAGAAGCAGTGGTGAGTCAGGAGGAAAGACCCCAGGAGGAGTGAGACCCCAGTGTCAAAGTCAGGAGGGGGGCTAGCCACCCTCTCCGCCACCCCACAGGATCTCCTCCAGAGCTCTGTCTGCTCCCACCCCAGAGGGTTCTGTTTTAACAAGGGAGACTCTTAGAGGCCTTCTGCATTCCTCTCTTGGCTCTGTGCAGGGAAAGAGTGGGGCTGGGAGGCTGGCTCGGGCTGGGAGCTAGCTACCCCTCCCTCCAAGCACCAACACCCAGACAAAGAAAGCTGGGGACATCCACACTGGGCTCCAGGCAGCTGAGCTAAAGCCAAGGGTTTTTCAGGCCTCCTAAGCCACTTCCTCCTCTTCCGCCCCTCCAATCTCATACCTTACTTGTGAATTCTGGACCACATGGGGGTCTCATTTATTCTACCCAGTTGATTTTACAAGGCCCTGTGGAGGTGCTGGATTGTCATGGGGTGCGATGGGGTGGGAGGAGATGGAAAACAAAAACATGGTCTCTACCCCAGGTGGCTCAGCCTTTGGCAGGGAATCATGCCAGGTGTGAGTGAGGGCCCAGCAAGTCCTAGCCTCAGAGGTTCAGTCTAGGAGGGGCAGTAACTATGTTGCCTGGTCAACAATGATCAGGAGAAAGGGGCAGAGAAACTTATGTGGGATCCCAGAAGAAGAAAATCCTTCCAGGTGGAGGTCATTTTCCCATTTGAGCAAATCCTTGAGGAACAAGTAGTTGGGCTAGTGGAGGTGGGGGAACACATCCTAAGGCAGGGCCAAAGTGGCTGGAGGAAATAGTACGTGAAAAGAAGGGAATGGGAGATAAGGTCAAAAAGGCTCTGTCTTGGGCTGCGTGGGAGGCAGGGAGGCTGGCACCAGCACGAGGTGGAAAGAAGGCTGGGATGTGAGATGGGAGACCAGGGCCCTCATCCCAACCCAGCCACTAATGTTTGTGTGACTTATCTTTGGGAGGTACACAGTAGCCATCTAATCCTATATATTGAGTAGTCAGTAGTGAAGTGGCTTGTCCCAAGTCTCTCAGCTGCCGCTGACAGCACAGTTCTAGAAGGCCTGGTCCTCCTTCTGGGGTGACTTCTCTGGAGGGTTCTCAGACATCCCTGACACAGGTGGTCAGGTGGCCAGAGGAACCTACCTCTGAGCAGGTACAGCGCAGGCAGTACATCAGGCCTTGTGGCTCCAAGTAGGGGTGCCAGCTCTCGCCGGGGGAGTATCTCTTCCCATGGAAAAGGCAGAACATGTCTGGGCCTGGCAAACCGACCAGTGCCATGTTAGTCCCAGGAGGCTCCAGCCCAAAGACCCTGTCTCATTTCTCCTTCTTTCTAGCTCTAAAAGAGATGTCATCTGGGCCACTCAGGCAAAAGAGAATCTGCTAGACAACTGGGCATGCTCTCCTAGGCAAGGGGCCAGAAGGTCTGAGTTTGAATCTCGGCTTTACCACACACTTACTGTGCAACACTGGGCATGCCACTGTCTCTGAGCCTTAACGCTTATCTCACAGGGCAGTTAGGGAATCAAGCAGTGAAATGCTGTACAGATTTATATCATGGTATCAGCGTTAATTATTATGATTAGACAAATGAGGCCCAGAGAGGGTAAGTTACACCTGAGGGCCACACAGCAAGTCAGTCACCAGGCAGCGATGACAGCACCAGTCTCCTGACTCAGTCCCACGCTCCTCTGCCCTCACAATCATGCTTGTTTCCTTTTTATTTGTCCCATTTGGCTTATTTAGTACATCACCTCACCCTTCCCTCCCTTCCCACCCCTCTCTCCTCTCCCATCCCCCTCCCCTGTACACACACACACACACACACACACACACACACACACACACACGTGTACACATTCTCTGGGTCCTGTAGCCCACCTTTTGAACAAAGTCCTCCTGGTGTGAAGATCACCAGGCACCTGTGTAGAGGAGGATTGGCAGGGATGGGGCCTGAGGCCATGGCTCTGGGAGCTTTCTTGCTTTCACACTGTACTATGTCCTTATATTTTGGTGAGCCGTGATGAGAAGGTTGTTAGGAAACTGACTTTCAAGTATCCTTAAAAATGGTCGTTGCTACTACTGTGATTTGTGATTGGCACACCAATGGACTTTTTTGCAATCGCACATCAGTTGTCAATATCTGGATGAATGCTTCTAAGAATTACTAAAATCGTTTGTTCCATGGGTTGGCTATCTCTCCTACAATCCTGCATTCCTGAAACCTCTGCCTTTCTCACCTCCCATAACCCACTGATCCACTCCTGCTCCCACCTCCTACCCACTCACCTCCAGCCCTGGGTCAGACCTCCCAGCCCAGCACTGCAGCCTTGTGCCCTGCCCCTCTGCCTCCCGCCCTATCCTCACCAACCCTCCTCTACGCAGGTACCTAGCGATCTTCACGCCAGCAGGGAAAAACACTCCATTGCCTGAGCTCTTTTCAGGAGGAACTGGGAGGCTCAGCACAAGCTAAGTGCCAGTAAAGGTTTGTTGAATTAAATGAGATTGAAATATGGAGAAGGGAACCAACATTATTGACTATCTTCTCTTTGCCGAACCCCTTATAGAAGTTAATTATCTCATTAACATTATTGTTTTGACCATTAAATTAGATAACGCTTGTAAAGTGTTTACCCAGTCCAGTTTCTGACCCTTAGTTGAATGCTATTATTATGATAATTGTGGTAACAATCACAAAGCCACTGCAAAATGGACATTGTCATCTTCTGGAATAGATGACAGTATCCGTCTTGCAGTGGCTTTGGACTGTTACCACAATTATGAGAAGGCTCACAGAGACTATGCCACTTGCCTAAAGTCCTCCGCTAGGATTTCAGCCCAGGACTCCCGCCTCCAAAGCAGAGCTCCTTTCTCTTCACCTCATCTCTCATCTCCTGTGGCTTTTTACACAATTCCAGGGCCTAAAGGCCTTCTTCTCTCTCTGCCCCACCAGCCACCATCCCCGACTCCCTAGCTTATTCTCTTAGTCCCCTGTTGGTCTAAAATGGAGAAGCTGCCTCTCATGCCTCCTTCTCATTTTCCAGAGTCAAGCGTCTTAGAAACATGGGTTCTTACACTTCCTAAATCACATTCTCTTAGACTTTGAAACAGAATCGCAGAGCATTGAAAGCAGTAATGAGTTGGGTGGGGTGAGCGGGGAGCTCACATTCAGTGCAGGAATTCCCTCTCAGCACTGGGGGCTGGGCTGGCGTGCAGCCCCTGCCTGACACACGCCTCCAGGAAACAGGAGCTCATGGGCCATTCCTAACCATCAGAAGGTTTTCTTTGTAAGGAGCTGGAGTTGGCCTCTCTCGGGTTCCTCATATTGCTCCTGCTCTGCCCTCTTGGGCCTCCTAGAACAAAGATTTGAGACTGCTGTCACGATGCCTTCAGTCTGTGCTTCGAGGGTCGCTGAGAGTAGGAACACATGGCTTAGTTCCCTCGCCATTCCCTTCCCAACTCCGCAAAGTGGAGGAGCGATTAAAGTTCGCCTCTCACATTCCCAGCAAGCCAGCAAGGCCCGGCTGGCCCGTATCAAATGAGCTGTGTTTATCTCTCAGCCTCTACTGGCAGAGAGGGTGGGACACGGGCCCAGCTGGGGTGCTGGTCAGAGCCAGCCCAACTCTCCAAGGAGTGAATAATGTCTTTCTTCCTCAGTCCCCTCCTCCCACCAGGGAGGGGGTGATTGCAACACTGCCACCACCTTAGGTCTCAGCCTGTTGCTGAAGAAGCCCTGTCCTCCCTTCCTTGGGGCAGCCCTGTAGCCCAGGTCTCTGTGCCAGTTGGCACCCCCTTCACCTCACCGCCTGCTCAGAGCATGAAGACAGAAAGAGTGTCTCAGCCAATGCCCAGGCAGGAGGCCCCTTCCCCCCACCAACAGACCTGGCAGAGGCTGAGAATGTGGGGGGCCTGGCAGGAGGCCTCCAGTGGCCACAATCCCCACCCCACCATACCCTAGAAGGTGACAGGCACAAGGAAGGGTGGCATGGCCTGGAGCTCTCTCTTCCTCAAGTGAGATGAGTGCCCAAGGCCATGCCAGAACCAAGCAGGAGGAAGAACTGCCAGACGGCGACAGGCCGCCTCAGTTCCTGCAGTGCTGGCACTAGCCCCAACCCTTGAACATGGCTGGTGAAAACAGTTTTAGTTCTTTAAGCCACAAGTTCACTGTGTGACATTCAGAGACTCATCCTCCTTTCTCTGAGCCTCAGTTTCCCATCTGCAAAATAAGGGGAGGGGGTAAGCTATGATCTTCAAAGATTTTCTGCATAGATACTTTATGAATCCATGATTTCAACATTTGAAGACTCCAAAATTCTAGGATTCTAAGGTTCAGGATTTTGAGAATTCCATGTTTCTAAGAACCTGTCTTTCCTTAGAACACAAAGCTTCTAGAATTGTCCAATGTTGTGGTTCTAAGATTCGATCATTCCAAGATTCTATGATTCTTGGATGTGTTGATGGTCTCATACATCTTAGGCTCTCAGAGGCTCCAAAGTGGGTTAGGATGAAGTTCAGGGAGCCAGTAGGACCAGTCCTGAGTGACACAGGTGTGTCACCTGAGTGTGAAGGAGGTAGAGTTTGTCTCATACCTCACTCCCTTCCCATACACTCCCTTTGGTCCTCTGTGGCGTTCCCACCTCTGCCCTGGCCTTGGACCTGCCCTGATTCCTCTCCCACCCCACCACCAAGTCTCATCCCACCTGTGCCCATGCATCCCTCCCCATCTCAGAGACCAAGCATGACTTTTCTCAGGGACCCTTTGGAGTCAGATCGGCTGGGGTTCAAATTGTGGATTTGGCTTTTATTTGCAGCCTGAATTTAGACAAGTTACCTAACCATTCTGGGCCTCTGTTTCCACATCTATTAAATGGAACTAATAACAATCTTTACCTCTCAGAGTTACTGTAGAATTAGGTCAGATAATATATGTAATATGCCTAGTGCCTGACATATATTATATGCTCAACTAAATAGGTTTAAAAAAAAACAGATCTGGGCACTGACCCCAGACTTCCTTAATAGTTTGTTTCCTGTGGTGTTTCTTTGACTCCCAGAGCTCTCTGTGGTCATCCCCAGGCACCTATTAGGGGATGAACATCATAGCACACACTGAGGCCAAATCTCCCAGGTCTCATTTACTACTGCACCAATCATGATTCTGGTGGCCTCCTGCATTCTTCTAGCCCCACTCATAAATCAGATTAGTTTGCCTCAACTCACCTCAGGCCCACAGACCTTGGGCGGGGATACAGAGATGAAAGTGGCTCAGAAGTTGGAGGAGAGAATGGGAAGGCAGGAGTGAGAGGCAAGAGACCAGTCTGGAAGGAGAAGCAGAGGCTCACGGAGGTCTTTGAGAGCCTGAGAGGCAAAGGAAAGCCATGGAAAAGCTTTAAACTGGGGAGTTCCATGATCAGATTTGCATTTTAGAATCATCACTGTGCTCACAGGAATGGAGAACTGATTGGAGGGCAAGACTGGAGGCAGGGAGACCAGGGAGGGGCTGTTGCAGTCATCCTGTTTTGAGATCATGCTGGACCTGGACCAAGATGGAAGCTGTGCTGATGGGCAAAAGTACAGATTTGAGAAACACTTAGGAGGTACAATGGGCAGGCTTTGGGACAGACTGGATAGGATATGGGTGGAGAAGGCAAAGGAGCCATCAAGGTCAGGATTGAGGTTTCGGGACTGAACACATACGTGAGTGTGCGGCACTTGGCATAACAGGCAGTAAACATTATTATCATTAGTAATACAGTAGTCCCCCCTCATCCTTGGGTGATACATTCCAAGACCCCCAGTGGATGCCTGAAACCACAGTTTGTACTGAACCCTACATAGACCATGCATAGATTTCTTTTGCCTTCTTTACAATTTCACAAATAGAAGATTCATCCTTACTGTAGATCTTAGCAAACTCACTATACCATTTTTTTCCTTTCCTTATTAATTGAGAACTTTTACCTTTTTACTTAAAGAAAGCACTTTATGGCTTCTCTTTGGCATATCCAAATTGCTGGCACTGCTACTCGTGCTTTGGTGCCATTATGAAGTAAAATAAGGGTTCCTTGAACACAAGCCTTGCAATACTGCAACAGTTGATCTGATCACTGAGACAGCTACCAAGTGATTAACGGGCGGGGAGCATCTACAGCGTGGGCACACTGGACAAAGGGGTGATTTACATTCTGGATGGGACAGAGAGGGATGGCAACAGAATTCACCATGCCACTCAGAATGATGTGCAATTTAAAACGTATGAATTCTTTATTTCTGGAATTTCCAATTTAACATTTTGGACCAAGGTTAATCACAGGAAACTGAGACCTCAGAAATTGAAACCATGAATACTGGGGGACTGCTACAGTAATATTACTTCCCATTATTCATTTATTTATTGAACTTTTTGTATGTCAAATATTATACACATTCATGGGCCTGGTACATGACTTAAAACAAAGTCACCTCCTGAAGGAGCTCACAGCCTAGTGAAGAACACAGATAGATACAATACATTCAGTCTGACAAACGCTATGATGGCGTGAGCATAGGGTCTTCAGGCGAGGCTTCTCTAGGAACATGCCTGAGCTGGATCTTGGAGAAATTAACAAGATGCAGAAGGGGAAGGACTTCTCAGGCAGTGGGTGCTAGATGCAAAGGCACAGAGGTGGGAGTGGATGTGGTTCATGAAGGACACAGAGGCTTCTCTTTGGCATATCCAAAGTGCTAGACACTAGCTCCCTTTCCCACAGGAAGTGTCCACTTGGATGGGCCACAGCCAAATCTCTTTACCTGTCTGAACAGACTTAAAGTGACTGGACTTAGTTGATCTAATCTGATTTCAGGACAGCAATGTTTACCAGACAGATTCCAAATGTCACTGTGTCATCCCCAGCCTATCATGAGGTGGCTCCTGCCTGCTTTTCCAGCAAAACTTTTTGTGGTGGCCCTGTTTTCAGCCTCACCTCCTCTTGCTAAATTCCTCACTCTTCCACCAGCCCCCAGGCCTCCTCCTACTGTGCCTTCAAACATGCTGTTTCCTCCACCTGGAATGGAATCCTCCATCTCCAATGTTTGACCAACTCCTTCCCATTCTTCAAAAGCCAGCTTAGATGCTACCCTTTCTGTGAAGCTGCCCCAAACTTCCAGCCACTGGCCTTTCCTGCAGAACTGAGTTCAGCCCTCATTACAATTCTCATCACAAATGGATTAGAGGTACTTCTTAAGTAAGCTTTGCTTCCTAACCAAACTGGGACCTTCTTGAGAGCAAGGACCAGATCTCATTAAATTTTGTGCTCAAGGTAGAGCCTACATAGAGTTCGTGCCTGATGAACGAAATCAATGATGAAAGAACAGAGTTAACAAAGAGGGAGAGATTCTGGAAGAGGAGCCAATTGACGGTCCTTAGTCCTGGAAGCTTCTTTCATTCTTTTTTTTTTTTTGAGATGGAATCTTGCTCTGTCACCAGGCTGTGGTGCAGTGGCGCAATCTCTGCTCACTGCAACCTCCGCCTCCCAGGTTCAAGCGATTCTCCTGCCTCAGCCTCCGAGTAGCTGGGACTACAGGTGAGTGCCACCACGCCCAGCTAATTTTTGTATTTTTAGTAGAGATGGGGTTTCACCATGTTGGCCAAGATGATCTCGATCTCTTGACCTCGTGATCCACCCGCCAGGGCCTCCCAAAGGGCTGGGATTACAGGCGGGAGCCACCACGCCCAGCCCTGGAAGCCTCTTTCTTTAACAAAAGGAGTAGTTCATTATATGGGAAGAGGGCCAATTCCCTTTCAGCACTTTTACCTTGCCACCTAACAGAAATTAGCTTCTGACAACCCCCACTTTCCAGCTCCCTGCCATCTGAATGCTCAAACCACTGGCCAAACCAAATGACAACATGTACAAAAAGGTCAGGAGCCCAGAGTAGCTAAGGGGATGAGTGATTCCATGATCTTCACGCATAAGTCAAAATTTCCAAACTGTCTCTATCCAAGTTCCAAGCTCATCCCACAGTCTGGCTTGAAACTCTCATGCTGTGATAAAAGGTTTTTTTATGGTGGTCAGTTAGAAGGGGTTAGTGCGGTTGAGAATTCTTCCCCAATAGGAAGCAGAAAAGACAACTAGAAAGAAGCTTCTGGGCTGGAGGGGAGGCTGGTCAAGACCTTGGAAAGGGCATCAGGAGGGGCCGGGGTGAGAGGAGAGAGGTCTGGAATTGTGGCTGGCCTGTCCCCAGGCTGCAAGAACTCAGGAAACCTGAGTGAGCCAGGCTGCCCAGGAATGTAGAACGTTTACATCTCTTCCCTCACACCCACACAGCCATACTTTCTCTATTTATTTATAATCCCCTCTTCACACAAACAAACTTGCTCCCCTCTGAGACATAAGCTCTGCTCTGGGCTCTGGCACCCGGTGGGAGAGGCCTCTTAAGGAAATCAGAAGAAAAGCCTCAGCTCCTCAGTGGCTGAGCTGTGCAACCCGGAGAAAGGAACTGCATTTCTCTGAACCTGACTTTTCCCTCTGGCACATGACAGACATACAGGAACATAGAAGGGCCTCTAGGGAGAGAACTATCAAACCAGGAAAGGCAGCTCTGTTACCTGTTAAAGGGCAGGAAACAGGGTGGGGACTGTTCACATTTTTTTCTGCCTTGGACATATATGCTTAGATTCATAGAATCGTAGAAAGCTAGGGACTCAGAGACATCCAGTCCCCTGTTTCCTTTGTGGGAAATTGAGTCCCAGAGAGAGATCAGGACTTGACTAAGCTTGATTCACTCCAGCACAATCTTCAATGCCAGTCGTCAGATGTGGAGAGAATGCTTACAGGGACACCCATCCCCTACTAGGCAGGACTAGAAGAAATGGCCTTAATTTGTAAACAGAAGGCTTCTGGCGAGACACAAAAAAGAACTCCTGAGTACAAGAATGAGGATGGGGTCCTGGACAGAGGAAGGGGGACGCCTGAAATGATCTCTGTACTACACCTCCCAGGGGCACCGCTGTCATGCCAGTCCTTTTCTTTGAGAATATGAAGGATTCAAGGTCCCTCTCCCAGAGTCCGGCGCCATGGTTGGCGGCTGGGGGAACTTGAGAGGCCAGTCCTGGAACAGGTGCAACAGCTGGAGCAACTGCGCAGCTGTTGCCGGGCTCAGGCTCAGCAGCCTGTGCGCCAGTGAGTGAGGCAGAGACCTCTGCTGGTGGGAGAGGAGAGGTGCAGAACGGCCCAGTCAGAGATCCAGAGAGAAGTCAGCCTGGAGCCGGACTTCAGGCCTTCACTTAGGTGCTCCCCACTGCCTCATGCACACCTGCACAGGTAGATGGGGATGCGACTAAGCTGGACAGACAAGCAGGTCCCCTCTGGCCGGTCTCCCACTACCTTCACTGCCCCAGGCCATCCAGGCACTTTTTTCTGGTGTCTGAGGGTCTGCCTGTCCACTCCTCCCTGGCAGGGCAGGAGTACCACCCTCCCACATCCCTATTCCAAAGGCCAGAGTGGACTCGGAATCAAGGCAACCACACCTTTGGGTTTTGGAGACTTAGAATTACGAAGTGTTAAAACTAGAATGGTCCTCAATAATCATCCACTTGAGTCCAACCATCTCACTTTACAGGGGAGAAAACTGAGAGGTAGAGAAAGGCAACCTGTCCAGGGTCACAGTTGGAATTGATGGCACAGCCAGGGCTGGATCCATGACTTTCTGATTCCAGGTTTGCCCTCCACATCACATCCTACCAGCGGAGCTCCCTTCCTGTCCCATGCCTGCGTCTAGGGTCCGGAATTCATCACCTGGGAACGAAAGCTTCGATTCCCATAATAAACAAAACCCTTGAAGAAAAAAAATACATGGATTGTTTTTTTCTCAGCAGGGTCTCACTGTGATACCCAGGTTGGAGTGCAGTGGTGCAATCACAGCTCACTGCAGCCCCCATCTTCTGGGCTCAAGCAATCCTTCCACCTCAGCCTGCCGAATAGCTGGGACCACAGATATGTGCCACCATGCCAGGCTAATTTCTTTATTTTTTCTAGAGACAGGGTCTTGCTATGTTTCTCAGGCTGGTCTCAAACTCCTGGGCTCAAGTAATCCATCCACCTCGGCCTTTCAAAGTGCTGAGATTACAGGCGTGAGCCACTGCACCCAGCCCCATGTTTTTACTTGGTAACTGACTCTCCTGAAAGCAGGATTGGATGGAGGGAGGGAAGAGAAAGCAGAGCATACTAGACACCTACAAGGGACAATTAGGGAAGAGAACCAAAGAGAGGAGCTGAGAGGAGTAGGGCAGAAAGCACTGAAGAGGGAGGTAAGAAGATAGTAGGCCTCTGGTGGACACTCATCCACAAAGAGCCGAGTGTCTAGAGTGACCAGCATCACACATGTCTGTGGCTCAGCCTGGGGCTGGGACCAGTACTGGTCAGTAACCAGGTCAGGGACCCAGCCTGGGTAAGGGGTCTTGTATAGGGGTGGAATTGGTGTTCAACCTGTGGCCAAGGTTGGAGGACTAGGGCTTGGCTTGTGGCTGGAATTGCAACTTAGTCTGTATTGGGATTAGGGCTCAATCTATGGCTGGAAATAGAACCAAAGAGAGAATACTTTTTGTTTGAATAGCCTGAGGAGCAAACTGTTACCTGTGTTCACAGGCCCTTGGCATTCTTCAGGGCTCCGACACCTCAGGAGCCTGATACCACACAGACTTGAACATTTCCATCCGTTAGCACTGTTTCTGAAAGCACCTAAGATATCACCAGATTTCTGACCCACAACAGGCTTGAGATCTCACTTAAACTAAGATGAGGACCTTTGTAAGAGACCTTCAAATAGCATCTTGGCAAATGACTATAGGATCCTTTCTAGATTCATAGGCTGTCAGCACCAAACAAAATGAGGCTCAGATAAAGAAGTGGTCTGTCCCAACTCACACAGCCAATAAGTGACAAATCAGGGTCCAGGACCCAGGTCTGTTCTGTTTTTTGTTGTTGTTGTTGTTGTTGTTTTTTAAGAGATGAGGTCTCACCATGTTCCCCAGGCTAGCCTTGAACTCCTGAGCTCAAGGGTTCCTCTCCCTCTCAGCCTCCCAAGTAGCTGGTGACTGGAACTACAGGTGTGTACCACTGTGCCTGGCTTTTGTTCTTTTCTTTAATAAATTTGCTGTGTGACCTTGGGCAAGTCACTCTTCTCTTCTGGGCTTCAATTTAACTCTAAGTATAGGTATATTGATGGGTAGAAGCAGATGGTTTTTGATAGTTTCACCAGCTCTAACATCCAGGAATCTTAACATTCTCCAATGAGTGCCAGTCCACCTCACCCTAATGAGTTGGCTCCAAGTCTTTTTCTCACATGTCTGGAGATCTGTATTTACAAGGCTGTAGGGAAGATGGAATACTGGCAGGACCTGCTGAGAGGTACAGAGCTGAAGGCCAGGGAGGCACAGACGAGGGAGATCAGAGTGGATCAAGTCACCGGGGAGAGTTTGCTTGAAGAGGTGTGACCTAGGCAAGGCCATGAAAGGCTGACAAGATATGGGAAGCAAAGAAGCAGGGTGTGGGTAGGATAACAGTCTGGTTCTAGGACATCTTTCCAAGATGCATCAAGGGCAATGATATCTGGAGAAAAAATTGCAGGGACTAAGAACAAGGTGTCAAGTGGATGGGAGGCAGGCATGGAGGGCATCCTGTGCAAAGTCTCTTTTAAGAAATAGGAGGCAGGTGTTAGGAGGAAACCCTCAGGGTTCAAGAAAGCGGAAGAGACATTTATTAAGTACACAGCATTGTGCTGGGCACTTTAATCCGTTACCTCCTTTAATCCTCCCAAGAACCCTGCAAGTTCTGGATTAGTATCTCTCTTAGACAGATTAGGAAATTGAGGCTCAGAGAAGTTATGACTTACAAAAAGTCACACAGCTCTAAGGGGCACGGCCAGGATTTGAATACAACACTGAGCTAATTCCATTACTTGTTCTATGTAATGGAAAGACTTATGTGAGTCTCATGCTGCTGGCAGGCCAGAGACACTCAGCCTGCTCTCATGAGCAGAAACAAGACCGTAACAAAGTCCAGCACTACCAGCTCCAGAATGTCACGTGCAAAAGAAAGGCATAGATGGAGGAGCTGAGCTGGGGAGAGGAAAGAGCACCAGACTAGGAGTTGGGAACGCAGGGTCTTAATCCCAGGCTGTGCCATGTATGTCCTGGAGAAACCCACTGCTTGAATGAAGCTCCTTTCTTCTGATTAAGAGAATGTGGTTTGGTTTTCCATCCTCACAGCATTCTAAGAGATTGGCTGGGCATGGGGAGGGGGGACCACCAGCCTATTGTGGGCGCAGTGAGGAAACTGAGGCTCAGATTGATGATGTAACCTGTTTGATGTTACACTGTATCTATGTGGAAAAGCATAATTGGGAACTGATTTTTTTTGGAAGCTATCAAGCACCAGTCTTGTGCTAGCTGCTTTACCTCTTTTCTCTAATTTAATCCTATCAACTCTCCTAGGATTTTTACTTCCGCTTTATAGATTAGGAAACCCAGGGTCAGAGAGGTGCACTCTGTGACGGCCTCCCAGCAGCTGGCATTCAGCGGGGCTGGGATGGTGAAGACGCTGGTCTATCTCACTGTGCCCTGCCGCCTCCCAGAGTCTCACACTGCAAATTCAGGGTTCCTTCTAGACAATGTGAGGCAGGGAATAAAGCATGGGATCTGGAACTAGAGTTCTGGCTTTGGATGGCTTACCCGCTCTGTAAGTTTTAGCAAGTTCCTCCTTGCTCAGCCTAAGTTTTCTCATCTGTAAAGTGCGAATGATAATACCCACCTCACTGGAGAGTTGCGAGGATCAAAAGAGAGAAAAGAATGGGAAGGTTATCCTAATTACCTCTCATTTCTGTCCAATGGCTCTTTCCAAAGGCAAAAAGCCTTTTCTTCTCCATCACACTCCTTACCTGTAGCCAGACATACCCGACTCCCTCCTAGGAACAGTAAGTCCTCCCCCAACCCAAAACACAGTGCCCTGCCCTCTCCCCCCGCTGCCCTTGGTGCCCCTCCTCAGGTCCCTGGCAGCAGCCCTCTCTCAGTTCTGAGTTGTGCCGAGTTCCTCCGGTCCCCCGGCCCATACTGGTCCTCACGGAGTCTCCACCCCTCCGGCACAGGTGCTGCCTGGACGGCTGTCAGAAGAGCTTGGGGTCCAGGTCCTGGCGCTGTCCCTCACATTCCAGGGGCCGCATCCCTCCTCTGCCCACCCAGCCTCCCGGTCTACTTACGGGCTCGAGCGTGGGAGTCCAGGGGGAACCAGAGCAGCGCGAGTCCCAGCAAGGAGGAGAGGACCCTCACCTCGGGAACCATCCTTTCCCCAGGGTCAGGCCGCTGGTCCGGGAGCGGAGTCGGGAGGAAGGGAGACGAAAAGGACACGGAGGCACAGGGGCCACAGATCAACCCACAGACCCCAGGAGGTCTGCTGCTAGAGCGGGGTCGGAGAAGGGCCAGGAAGCAGCGGTGGGCAGGAAAGGAGGGCAGGAAGGGAGGTCTAAGGTGGGAAGAAGAGAAAGGTGGAAAGAGAACGCGGGGAAAGGAGGGAGAGATGGAGAGACGAAGGAAGGTCCAGCAGAAGGGAGAGGCGATCAAAGAAAGGGGGAAGGTGAGAGGGAGAGGAGGAGAAAGCAGGGAGAGGACCGGCGTCTGCCGAGCGCGCAGCGCCGGGCGAGGCGCGCGGGACCAGCGGGTGTTGCGGGCGCGCGGGCTAGAGGCGGCCGGCGCCCCCTGCTCGGTGGGCTCGGGGTCGGGCCGCGGGGGCCTGGGGCCCGGCGGGGCGGCGGTCCCAGCAGCGGCGGCGGCGCGGCGGCCGCGGAGGGAGGCTGAGCGCGGGCCGGCTGTGCTCGCCAAGGGCTTCAGGCGCCGCGCTCGGGCGCATTTGTACTTTGCCGCGGGAAGCAGGCAGCCCGGCCTGGCGCTGGCCTAGCGCTGGCGCCTCCTCTGGGGCACCGCGGGCTCGGTGGATTGGCCACCCGAGAAACAGGCCCACTTTTTCCCCTCCTCTCTTGTGCGGGTCTCCGGGACGGACGCTCCAGGCGCGGCGCCGAGTGGAGGCGAGGGGGCTGCGGAGGGGGAAGGGGCCACGCGGGCCACGGGGTTTAACCCCTGACTCCCCGCGACGCCAAGAATGCAGGAGGGCAGAGTTGAGGGAGACCTCAGGTGGAACTTTCAGGTGGGGAAGGCTGAGCTGTCGGGGCTGCGGGTACCGGGAAGGCTCAGGGTAAGGCGCTCGGCGGTGCGTGCCCGGAACTCCGCAGATGGATGGAATCAGAACACTGGCGTTCTTAATTCAGTTTGTGGTCTACAGCACGCCACCGGAGAGTCTGTTTTCCCAGCTTTAAAATGGGCATTTTAAGATCTTAAAATATCTCTACTATCTTCCCACGAGTGTTGCTAAGATGAAATAAGGTAATGAACGTCGAAACACTCACCCCACAAAGAGAAGGGGTCCTAATTCCAGGTGCCTACAATACCAGTGGCCCCTGTCCCCACTCCGTCTGCCCATGCGCCATTCTCAGGAAAGTCAGCCCATAGGGATCCTGTGCCTTCCCCTGGAGGTCTTCCTCTGCTCCCCGCTCCCACTCCCGAATCAAGGCAAGATCTCTCCTTTGCCTTTGCAGGTGAGGCCTGCACTTCTCTGGGAGTGATGGTCACCTTCAGTCATCTTTAGGGAGAGCTGATTGTCAAAGAGTTTTCTTTCCCACCAGAAGGGGAGCTCCCTGAGGACAGGGCCCTGACACCCTCCAGCCCTCAAATGGTGCTCCATCTCTTGTGTTGAATGAACACATGCACTAATAGGACACTAAGAAGAGAATAGCCAGCTCTGGCCAGACCAGAAACACACAAGCTCTGAAATCAAAAGGGCAGAGTCACTGTCCTGGCTCCATCCGTAACTTGTTGGGCCACTTTGAGTAAATACATCTATCCTTGCTTTGGACCTCAACTTTCTGCCCAGCTTCTCTTGAAGAGCTAATGGAGACTCCAAAGAGTGCCAGAGGAGTATGAGGTGGGAAGGGATGTTGAGCCATATCCCACTCTGGTAGGGAATCATATTTCCGGGTTTAAACACTTGGCTGGCTGGCTGTAAAGGTATCTTTCTGGGCCAAGGCTGGGCTCCCCATTGCACTGTGCTTTCAGGGTATTACCCCCAAGATCTCCACCCTCCAAAAGAGAGCAGTAGGAGGAACCAGTGATCCCCAAACTGGCCCTTCCTAGGGCTCTCAGGATCAGGGACAAACATGATCTGTCCAGTGCCCTTCAGGCTTAATTTCTACTCTAATCTGGCCAGTCTCTTCCTTTCCCCTGAGTATTCTTTATTTTAACAGATAGTGCAAGCTTATGCATGTCACCATGCTTCCCTTTTTGCCTTTGCTTCCAGGGATCTCAGAGTTAAATCCTGTGCTGCTTAATTGCATAAACAATCTCATCCCAAGGGTTTGGGACAGTGATCTTTTCCTTTCTCTTTGTTTAAAATGTGCTGTGCACATATATTCATGTCTTAGATGTAAGAAGTGGATTAAGATGGGTTCCCCTACATCCTGCCCATCATACTTCAAAAAAGGCCTCCACCATCTCAGCCCTCCTGTCCATCCCTATTATCCCCAGAGTTGAGGCCAACTTCATTCCTTTTTTTTTTTTTTTTGAGATGGAGTTTTGCGCTTGTCGCCCAGGCTGGAGTGCAGTGGCGTGATCTGGGCTCACTGCAACCTCTGCCTCTGGGTTCAAGCGATTCTTCTGCCTCAGCCTCCCGAGTAGCTGGGATTACAGGCATGCACCACCTATAATTTTTGTATTTTTAGTAGAGATGGGGTTTCGCCATGTTGGCCAAGCTGGTCTTGAACTCCTGACCTCAGCTGATCCACTCACCTCAGCCTCCCAAAGTGCTGGGATTACAAGCATGAGCCACCGCACCCGGCCATCTTCATTCCTTACTTGAACTTTCCCAACAGCCTCTTACCAGGTCTCCTCCCCCTAATCTGGATCTCTCCTATCTATTTTCCTCACACCTGCCTTGAGAACTATGCTGATCATTTCTACTGACAAATCTGATCACATCACTTTCCCACATAAAACCTATTATTCACTTCCTATCATTTATAGGTTAAAATCTAAAATTTTCAGCACTGAATTGAACACCACGCATATTTTAGTTCCAATCTACCATTGCCACCTACCCTACACTTTGGCCAACCGCTCACCTCCCCAAACTGACCATGCGTCGTCGCACCTCCATATCCTCACACATGTTTTCCTTCTGCCTGGACTCTCTCTTCCTCCATCTAGTGAATCCCATTTAACTTTCCAAAGGTCAGTTGAGTCACCTCCACTCCAAGGTCTTCCCTGAGTCCCCCAGGCAAAGTCAATGTTTAGTCTTTGTGTTTCCCATAGCACTTTGAATTGTAGCTGTTGGAGTGTAAGTATTTATTTGCATTTTTACCCTGCACTGTGAGTGCAGGTGCCTTTTGAAATTTATATCTGTAATTCGAGCATTTAGCAAAGTCCTTGACACACAGATACTGAATAAATAATTGCTACATGAATGAGTGAAGACCTCAGTGATTGGAAAAGCCTTCAGCCCACTATTGGCCTCAGCTTTAGTCAATGATTGACATAAGAAACAAACACTTGAAAGTTTCTGTGTCAGGCCGGGCCCAGTGGCTCACACCTGTAATCCCAGCACTTTGGGAGGCTGAGGTGGGAAGATGGCTTGAGCCTAGGAGTTTAAGACCAGCCTGGGCAACAAAGTGAGACCCCCCCCCAACTTCGTCTCTACAAAAAGTAAAAAAGATAGCTGGGCATAGTGGCACGCACCTGTAGTCCTAGCTACTCTGAAGGCTGAGGCAGGAGGATCGCTTGAGCCCAGGAGGTTGAGGCTGCAGTGAGCCGTGTTTGCACCACTGCACTCCAGAGCAAGACTGTCTCAAAAAGAAAAAAAGAAAGAAAGAAAGTCTTTGTGTCTTCTGTAGAAATACTATTGAAGAGAGTTGTCTATATATTATTTAATACCCTTTTAAAAAGGAGACTGAATAAATTCTTCCAAAATCTAGTCAGGAAAAAAAAATGCATCTCCCCATAGCAGTTTGTTGCACTAAGAGTTTATCTGGCATCTGCTTTCTTCCTTCATAGCGAACTTGCTCATTGCCTGCCAAGGCAGCCCATTCCACTGTTGGACAGCTCTGTTAGAAAGTTCTTTATATTAAACTGAAATCTGATTCTCTGTGACTGCCTGTGTTGCCCCTCACTCTGTCCCCAGGGCTATACAGAACAAGCCAAGTCCTTTTGTCTTTTGAGAGCTCTCTAGAGATTTGGGGCAGAGAACCCCTCTTCCATACCTTCACCTTTACCAGTCTGGGTCCCGGGACCCCTCATGCCATATTAAACATTGTCTTCAAATGTGCCAAGCTCTTGGGCCTCCATGACTCTGCAAACACTGTTTCTTCGCCCTGGAATGCCCTCTCTGTACTCACTTTGATTTGTCTGGCAAGCTTACTTATTTTTCAAGGGTTAAGGTAATTGCTAACTCCTTCACTCATGCAACAATTATTGAGTGCAAATTCTGGGCCAGACATAGTGCTAGGTGCTAGGGACACAGTGGAGAACAAGACAGACACCGACACTTGTATTCTAGGTGCTCTGAATCCTCTTTGCTGGTCTCTGAGTTAGCTCCGTTCTGCTCCATACTTCTTTGTTATAGCACTTACTACATTGTATTTTCAATAGGTTTTGTGTCACCTCCTCTATAGTGAGTTCTTTGAGAACATAGACTACTATTTAATATCTTCCCTAGCCTTCAACACACAGCTTTGCACATATTTGCTGCTAAATAAAGGTTTGTTGAATAATATCCTAGTTCCTTCAAACAGTCCTCATGTGACATGCTATTTGTGACTAAAAGGCCACCTCCTCCGCCACAGGTTGCTTAATTATGTAAAATTACCATAGCGATAAGGATCATAGGGATCAGTGTCAAGGAGAGACTTAGCCTAGTCCGCTTAATTCTGTCCATAAGATTCTAAAAGAAGATTCACCACAAGAAGATTACATAATAGAGACTCTACACCAGTGGTGTGCTGGTAAATGTTTAACAACTGGTTCTCCAGGGGAAAAAAAGTGTTGTTTTTTACAGTTGCCAATGTCTGTGGTGTAAATACTCCCACTGTGGCCAATTCATGCTACCAATGTGACATCACTGAAAGCGCAGTGGAGAAGAGAGGCACAGTGAAATACCGTTATACAGTATTTCCTCCCTATCGACATAGTAGATGTAAATAACCTCAAGAACATTGAGAGTAGTAATTAGGAAGTGATGACTCAGTTTTTATTACCTCTGTTTTAAGTGTAACTTATTTAATTATACGTTATGTTATTTAATTTTTAGGAATGATTGTGTTCAATAACCAGCTTGCAACATTTCTGAAAATTTAACCCCTGGCTCTCCTTAGCTGGTAAAAGCCCCCTCTAGTACGCTGCTTTTACATGATTAGGTGCTGAAATGCAATGAACAAATAGCCTCTTTAAAGCTGAGTTCAGCCAGTGGTGGTGGCATGTCTGTAGTCCCAGCTTCTCTGGAGGCTGACGTGGGAGGATCACTTTGAGACCAGCCTGGGCAACATTGTGAAACCCTATACCATTTAAATAAATAAATAAATAAATAAATAAATAAATAAAGCTGAGTCCAATTTATTTACATTAGGAGGAAAGTCTTATTTAAAGGACCTTCACAGTTAATTTATTTGTGAACAATTCCTACCCTACTCTCACCCCTCAACTGGGTCAGTTACTCACCTATATAACAAACATTTATTTAGAACCTACTATCATTTTTGTATTTATTTGGCTCTCCAGATGTTGTGCATATAGTTGGCCTAAATAAAAATGTCTGTAGAATGGATGAATGAATCCTCAGCACCTGAAATAGTGCCTGATGCATTGTGGGTGCTCGATCAGTATCTATGTGAGTGAATGGATCTTCTTAAAGTGAGGCTCATCCGTATTTACATAGGTTTCCATATGGCTATGTGAATATTCCCAAGTCTTTTTTCTCCCTCATTGAGCCCTCTGTTCCCAGGACAATCTGTACACAGCAAGAGGAGGAAGTATCAGGAAACCAGAATGGGGAACACATAGCCCTTAATGTCAGAGAGCCCTCATGAGGAAAACTGAGTGGGGACATGGTGTCTTCAGCAGAAGACATGGAGTGGGATCATCATTCTTCTAGAGTCTTAAGCCCTGCCACTGGCCAGAGGCCTCCTCTACTGGGGCATCCTCACTTACCAAGTATCAAAGAGAGTGGACCTTGTTCTCTCACCTCCTCCACATTCAGGGGACTTTAGAAAAGCAGTTTGTTCTCAGAGACTTCTTTCAATAGGTCTGTGAGGATGCAGTTAGAGCACCAGAAAACAGTGCCATACAACTTGGGTCACGCAGTTGGAAGGTGGCAGGCACTGTGTCCACCTAAAGGTGGGAATGAAGAGCCACTAGAATTATCTTTTAAAAATGTAAATCAGGCCAGGCGTCATATGTCATGCCTGTAATCCCAGCACTTTGGGAGGCTGAGGTGGGAGGATTGCTTGAGCCCAGGAGTTTGAGACCAGCCTGGGCAACAAAATGAGACCCTGTCCCTACAAAAAACTTAAAAATTAGCTGGGCATGATGGTGTGTACCTGTAGTCCCAGCTACCTGGGAGGCTGAGGCAGGAGTATTGCTTGAGCCTGGGAGGTCAAGGCTGCAGTGAGCCATGATTGCACCACTGCACTCCAGCCCGGATGACAGGGTGAGACCCCATCTCTGAAAAAAAAAAAAAAAAAAAAGAAAGAAAAGAAAAGTAAATTAGTGAAGTCCCTTCTTTGCTTAAAACCTCTCCATTGCACTTAGAATAAAATCCAAAGGGTGGGTGCAGTGGCTCACACCTGTAATCCCAGCACTTTGGGAGGCCAAGGTGGGAGGATCACTTGAGTCCAGGAGTTTGTGACCAGCCTGGCCAACATCATGAGATCTCATTTCTACAAAAAATTAAAAAATTAGCCAAGCGTAGTGGCACAAGCCTGTAGTCCTAGCTGCTCTGGAGGCTGAGGTGGGAGGATTGATTGAGCCTGGGAGGTGGAGGCTGCAGTGAGCCAACATCGCACCACTGTATTCCAGCCTGGACAACAGAGCAAGGCACTGTCTCTAAATAAATAAATAAGAATAAAATCCAAATCATTTGCCAAATATGTAAAGCCTTCCATGCCCTGGCCCTGTCTACACTCTGACTTCAGACCACTCTCCCTGTGCTCACTATGCTCTAGTACACGGGCCTTCTTTCTGTCCCTGGGATACATCAAGCTGCCTGGTCCCTCCTCAGGGATTTTGCCCTTGCTAGTTCTCCTGCTTGGAATGCTCTTCCCTCAACCTTTTCTACAGATAATACTTCATTCAGCTCAAATGTCACTTCTTTAGTGATGTTTCCCTGGTCCAATCTATGTAATGATGCCTGCTTTTGAGTAATTTTCTATCTTATTGCCTTGTTTTCTTTCCTTTCTTATCATTCTCTGAAACATATTTTTCACTTGTATATTATCTGTCTCCCTCATGAGCACAAAAGCTCTGCAACAGCCTAGACTTTAATTTTTTTTGTTTTATTTTCTATTTTTTTTTTTTTTTAAAGACAAAGACAGCATCTCGCTATGTTGCTCAGTCTGGTCTCAAACTCCTGGGCTCAAGCCATCCTTCTGTCTTGACATCCCAAAGTGCTGGGACCACAGGTGTGAGACACTGCGTCTGGCTGTGGACTTTAATTTTTGATCACTGCTATATCCCTAGCTCCTGGAACAATGCCTAATACATAACAGATTTTTTTGTATGTGTGTGTGAACCTAACTTCAATATTTTATTGTCTTCACAATTAAAAAAAAGATGAAGCTTTGAACTAGGTCACTTGGCCCTTTTCTTCCTATCTCCCGCCAGTTTAAAATGCTTGCATCTCTTAATAGTCAGCCTTCTCTTAGCTCTGCAATTGGGCTCAATGCACTCAAGGCTCAGCACAGTCTTTTTTGTGGTTTTAACCTTTTTCTGGAAAATTGGCTTAGTCTGCCCACCCTAGCCACTCTGCTTCTTGTTATAATGCTGCTTTCCCTGGACATACAGTGGATCCTTACCCTTCTTGTACTGCGTCAGTTTGTGGGGTTGGTGCTTGCCTCACTTCTTACGGAAAGTCTGGCAGGTTTTAGGAATGTTCACCATGTTTGTAGGTGTGCTATTGATATAGAAAATGAATTTAAAAAAGAAAGAAAAGAAATGGAGGATGGAATATTTATCTGTGTTATCTGATTCATATGAGTAATGAACCCTAGATTCAAGACCCCAAATCCTTGGAATTCACCCACATTAGTATTTTCATCATCATTATTATTCCCCTTACTTTTATTATCATCTCACCACCATCATTATCAATAACAGCACTGCACGGCACATGGGAGTATTTAACGTTGTTGAATGACTGAATAAATGAATAGCAACTTTACAGCTGACCTCGGACTTCCTTTTTAGTCTTATTTACTCCTCCTCCTCTGCTTCAGTCCAACTTCTTATCTATACTGTGTGTAGCTACTCAGAGTCATTTTCACTGAACACATGCCTCCATGCCTCCTTGTGTTGGCTTATTCTGCTATTCTTTCTATTTGTAATTCCCATTTCCCTTCTCTGATGAGTTCTCATTCTTCCTTTAGGACCTAATTCTGTATTTCATCCAGGTACATAGTCACTTCCTCTTCTGTGCCTCCATATTGCCTTTTCTACATCACTGTTAAATGCTCATCTCTTAAATTATAGGTGTTGTTGTATCTGTCTCCCTCCCTAGATAGGGAGTATCATGAGGGCAGAGATGGTATATTTCATCTCTGTGTTATCAGGAACCATTATTGGACTTGCCATATAGCAGTTTAACAATATTTGTTGAAATCTTCCTTTTTGTATTGGGCATACAGGTTGCCTTGCAGAAGAGTGTGCTAGAGGAGAAGATGTACAATGTTGGTCAGAACATGGTCCCTTGCCCCAAGTTCTTACAATCTAATTGGGAGAGAATCTTTTCATAGAGATATAGCATTAAAACTCGATGTATTCTAGAATTAAATATGAGACTGGAGAAAGCTTGGTGTGGAACATGTGTAGAACTGGAGTAGTGAGTCAAAAGATTTGTTTTCTAGTTTCTACTTTACTAGTCACTCACTATGTGGCTTTGGCAAATTATTTCCCCTCTTTAGACCTTGGTTTTCTTCTCTTGAAACAAAAAGGTTTGATTAGAAGCCTTGGATGGTTTTTTAAAGCCAGTTATAGCTCTGACATTCTGATTCTGGAGTTTGGAAACTGGGTGGAGGAGACCGCGTAGGCTCAGTTTGCCCCCTGGTGGTCAAACTGAGCAACATCGCAGACCTAGGAGACGCCTGCAGGCATTTCCCAGGGATGGGATTGCAGAACACAGAGCCAAGTAAACAAAGAACAGTGGGACGATGACCATTCTAGTGCAGAACCCATCAGGTTTCTCGTTGATCACTAGTAGATTGGTATAGAAGCCTGTCTTCCTTCAGGACAAAGGAACTTGGGAGATCATGCTTTCTGTTCTCAGCCTCCAGCTGAACCCATCTCTCCCGTTTCTTTCCAAAGTAGACAAAGTCAATCTCTGAGAGGCTATTTTGTAGCTCCCCTGACTTTTTCTTCTGCTGCAATCACAGTGCTCTCTTCTGAGGCAAATCCTCCATTCTGCTCAATGTAACTATTCGTCTATTTATTTATGACAAGAAGAGGTTTTCACTCTTCTCATTCTTTTCCTGGGACAGGTCCATGACCCACTCCTTCTTGGAGACTTGGACCAAAGTGAAGGTAGTAGGATATCTTTGATGAGACTGGGAAAATAGAGACTCTGTGAGAATAAGAAATGTGATTTACGCTATAAAAGGTGAGCAATACTAGCAGAGAAAGTTTTGTCTTTTAGATATTTCACTCTGAGTGCAGTTGGGTAAGGCCATTTGCCCATTTCTTTTCCCTCTTATTCTCTATATCTTGAACCTAAGGGATTTCTTTTTTAAAAAATTTTTTAATGATAATTAATTCTCATCTTTTTTTATTATTATACTTTAAGCTCTAGGGTACATGTGCACAACGTGCAGGTTTGTTACATATGTATACATGTGCCATGTTGGTGTGCTGCACCTGTTAACTTGTCATTTACATTAGGTATATCTCCTAATGCTATCCCTCTCCCAGCCCCCCACCCCACGACAGGCCCCGGTGTGTGATGTTCCCCACCCTGTGTCCAAGTGTTCTCATTGTTCAATTCCCAACTGTGAGTGAGAACATGTGGTGTTTGGTTTTCTGTCCTTGCGATAGTTTGCTCAGAATGATGGTTTCCAGCTTCATCCATGTCCCTACAAAGGACATGAACTTATCCTTTTTTATGGCTGCATAGTATTCCATGGTGTATATATGCCACATTTTCTTAATCCAGTCTATCATTGATGGACATTTGGGTTGTGAACCTAAAGGATTTCTTAAAGCCACCTCTATCCTCTTAAAAAACAAAAAGAACAACTCTACACTATAAATATATACAATTTCTATTTGTCAATTAAAATTTAAAAAACAGCTGGGCATGGTGGCTCATGCCTGTAATCCCAGCACTTTGGGAGGCCAAGGTGGGCAGATCACGAGGTCAGGAGTTTGAGACCAGCCTAGTCAATGTGGTGAAACCCTGTCTCTACTAAAAACACAAAAAATTAGCCTGGCGTGGGGGCACGCACCTGTAGTCCCAGCTATTCAGGAGGCTGAGGCAGAAGAATCGCTTGAACCCAGGAGGCGGAGGTTGCAGTGAGCCAAGATCATGCCACTGAACTCCAGCCTGGGTGATAGAGCTAGACTTCGTCTCAAAAAGAAAAAAAATTAAAAACAACTAAATCAAAGAGGAAACTAATTGCTTGGAACTTGGGGCCAGAGCCTAGAGGAACAAGAATAGGGGCCCTGAGTGCAGGGAAAAGAGGAAGAAAGACTGAGGCGAGGAGAGGGAGGTGCAGAGAGGAGTAAGACTAGTTGCCAATTCTAAGTGGATTTATAGGCATCTGGAGGGAAAATGTAAAGCAATTAAAGAGGCCAGGCATGGTGGCTCACGCCTGTAATCCCAGCACTTTGGGAGGCCAAAGCCGGCGGATCATGAGGTCAGGAGATCAAGACCATCCTGGCTAATACGGTGAAACCCCTTCTCTACTAAAAATACAGAAAAATTAGCTGGGCATGGTGGTGGGCGCCTGTAGTCACAGCTACTCGGGAGGCTGAGGCAGGAGAATAGTGTGAACCTGGGAGGTGGAGCTTGCAGTGAGCTGAGATGGCGCCATTGCACTCCAGCCTGGGTGACAGAGCAAGACTCCGTCTCAAAAAAAAAAAAAAAAAAAGAAAGAAATTAAAGAACTATTTTGCCCCACCAATGTGCTTTTTTGTTAGTTAGAATATTTTTCTGACAATGAGTACTTTGAAAGTCACTAAACATAAAAGTGTAACTAAGGCGATAACATTCATTCATTCCACAGCAGCTGGAATATGTCAAACACTGTACCTAATGCTGTTCCTGCTCAAACTGGTCAGCATCTAGACTTTGTCTTCCGTGTTTGCTGCTGAATTCTTAGCACTTACATAATCCTGCCACATAGTAGGTGCTCAATAGATATTTGTTGAATGAATGAATGAATGAATGAATGAACATTAGCTGCACCATACTTTCTCCAGTAATATCTCAACTCTGGGGGTGGGATGAAGCCTGCTTAGATTCTTTTTGTTATTCACTGATAATTATAGAATCGAGATTTATCCTTATAGAATACAAATCCAGGCTAGGCATAGTGGCTCACGCCTGTAATCCCAGCACTTCAGGAGGCCAAGGAGAGTGGATCACTTGAGGTCAGGAGTTTGAGACGAGCAGGCTGGCTAACATGGTGAAACCCCGTCTCTACAAAAATACAAAAAAAAAAAAAAAAATTAGCCAGGTGTGGTGGTGCATGCCTGTAGTCCCAGCTACTCAGGAGGCTGAGGCAGGAGACTTGTTTGAACCCAGGAGGTGGAAGTTACAGTGAACCAAGATTGTGCCACTGCACTCTAGCCTGCGTAACAGAGCAAGACTCCATCTCAAACAAACAAACAAAACCAAAACAAAAATCCATATGTACCAATCCCTTGGGCCAAATATTAAATCTTTCAATTACTTTAGGTTTAAATGAGAGAGGTATATGGTTGCTTAGCATGACACTTGGCACGTGGTAGTTGCTCAATAAATTCTAGTTTCTTTTCTTCTCCAGTTTTCTAGTCTCATCTCCAACCTGATGTTCTAGCCACATCAAATTCTTTGTCAGTCCCACACAGGTCCCAAACTTTTATGCCTTTGTGCCTTGGCTCTTATTTTCTCTCTGCTTTCCGTTGTATCCATGTGGTGAACTTCCTTCCCTCAGTCTTTAAAAACGAGCTCAAATGTCCCCTCTTCTGTGAAATCTCCTGAACTTCCTCTCACCTTTGCTCCCTGCTTCCATGGCATTCTGTTTATGTCTGTTGTAGCCCTTGCAATTCTTCTATAACTCTTCTGTTTTCTGCTATATTTTTTTCTACTTTTGCCCTTCTGTTAGGTTTTGACTTTGAGGGGGCAAGGACCAAGTCTTATTTGTATTCATAGAGTGTTTGGAAAGAGTCTGGAGGAGGCTGGGCAGATGACATGACAAACACAGATGGAGGGATTAGATTTGCAAAAGAATTACCTAGGCCGGGCGCAGTGGCTCACGCCTGTAATCCCAGCACTTTGGGAGGCCGAGGCAGGTGGAGGTCAGGAGATGGAGACTATCCTGGCTAACACAGTGAAACCCCATCTCTACTAAAAATACAAAAAATTAGCCGGACATGGTGGCGGGCACCTGTAGTCCCAGCTACTCGGGAGGCTGAGGCAGGAGAATGGCATGAACCCGGGAGGCAGAGCTTGCAGTGAGCCGAGATCGCGCCACTGCACTCCAGCCTGGGCGACAGAGCGAAACTCTGTCTCAAAAAAAAAAAAAAAAAAAAAAAAAAAAAAAAGAATTACTTCTTCCTCTGAAACAAAAGGGAAGGAACTGAAGATGAATAAAAGTAAGAAGGTAGCAAGAATCTTTAAAGCAAAATGGAAGGGGCCAAATCTCAGGGGGAGATCTGACTTGAGGGAGGAAGAGCACAGGAAGAAGATGCTATCCAAAGAGGACAGGTGGCACTGGTGTGGTCTGAGGGGCTTAGCCTTCTCCTTTTTAGATGTGTAAGGTCTCAGGATGGACTCAGCAGCACTTAAGCTGGAAGGAGAGGTCTTGGGCTTGCAGGAAGAAACAGCCTTGTCTCCACCTGGAACTAGGCTGAATGGCCTTGCTCATATCTGAGTCTTTCAGTCCAGCAAGGAGAAGCTGGAGCCATCAGCTAGAGGGAAGTTTTGTAGTGATGTGGATGAGGAGTGAGGAAGGGGTAGTGGTGGGGTGGAACCATGCAGAGCTATCTGGGTAGAGGTGCTATGAGAAGGATGGTAGGGAATTCTGACAGCAATGCAATCCTCAGAAAGCAGCTGGAGGGGAAGCATTGGTACCTGGGGCTGCACTGCCATTTGTTCCAGTTGGCATCGTGCATTAAAGGGAGTCTGTGAATCCTTCTTCCCATGGTGGTCTGTGGTGCAGGTGGGGCCTTAGAGAAAAGCTATTTGGGCTTGTTCTACTCTAGGCTGTTGGCTTAAGCTTCTTGTATCATTTTATAATCTACCAAGCACCCTTGACAACCATTTTTAGGCGACACTTCAAAAACAACAAGCTAATGTCTCAGTTAGAGTACTTTGATGTAAACAACAGAGACTGTGAGTCATTTAAGAAAAAATGAAATTTACTGAAAGGATACAAAGAGTTGACAGGAAAACTGCAGCATCGGATATGGAAAATGGGCTGTAACCTAGGCAGGCTCGGCAACGGGAACCACAGCCAAGTCTGTGTCTCAGGTACAGCCTGGCATGGCCACCCTCATCATGGCAGGGCCACCCCCCTCAAACCCCACCAGGGCCCCACTGCTGTTGCATACCTACTGTCTCTGTTGCTATGAATAATTCTAAAATTGTCTCTATGTTTTCATGTCACTTGCTGAAGATGCCAAGCTCAGAGAATAGTGGCCAGGTGGCTGAGCCTGGGTCATGTGTCACGTCCTAACTGTTAGGGGGCAGGGAGAAGAATATCCCTTCAGGTTCAGCTTCCCTAGCCTCATCAATACTATATAGAATGGGGAATTCCCTAAATAGAAAGGAGGTTTGGGCCAGGCACGGTAGCTCATGCCTGTAATCCCAGCACTTTGAGAGGCCGAGGCAGGTAGATCACTTGGGCTTAAGAGTTCAAGACCAGCCTGAGCAACATGGTGAAACTCTGTCTCTATAAAAAATATAAAAGTTACCTGGGTGTGGTGTTATGTGCCTGTAGTCCCAGCTACTCAGGAGGCTGCGGTGAGAGGATTGCTTGAGCCTGGGAGGCAGAGGTTGCAGTGAGCCGTGATTGCTTACTGCCCTCCAGCCTGGGCAAAAGAATGAGACCCTGTCTCAAAAAAAAAAAAAAAAAAAAAAAAAAGAGAGAAAGAAAGGAAGGAAGGAAGGAAGGAGGGAAGGAAGGAAAGAGGTTTGGATGCATTTTTGTCAGTTTTCAATTTTCATCACAATCCCAGGCTGCTAGGCTTGAAACTTTAGAATCATCCTCATTGTTATTAGCTTCCCACATAGTGAGTGGCTCTCCAGATTTCTTAGGTGTGCCTTGCTCTCTGTCACCACTATTGCTTTTAGTAAGATTACTCAGCAATGGCATAGAGGAGAGAAGAGGCTGGAAATTGGAAGTTGGACTTCTACAATGTTAGTGCTGGAATGGTCCTTTGAATTTATCTATTGTAGTGGTCTTACCTAGGAGTATTCATTAGAATTCTTATGGCACTAAAAAAAAAAATACACAGCCTGGTATCCCCCACCTGGGTTTCTGGGTTCACTAGATCTGAGGTGGGACCTTGATATATACAGGTGTTTCTGAGGTGTGTCCCAGGTTGAGAACTGATGACTTTCTTTTTTTTTTTTTTTTTTTTTTTTGTGAGCCAAAGATTTATTTCTTCATTTCTTGCATTTGAAATACTCTTCGATGACATCCTTGGCCTGAGACTCCTTGCCATAGTCCTTAACTACTACACAACTGTAACCAACCACTTTATGGGGTTTCCCCTCTCTGTCAATTTTACAGAGGCCTACCCATTCTCCTAGTTTCTTGTTGTCATCAACCTTAATTAGGTTGATTTGGTGTTCAGCACAAAGGGCCTCCACCAACTTGACATACATAGGCTCATCACAGTTGGATGCAAGCACACAAAGATGGGCTTGGCGCTTGTCTAAGACTTTGGCAGCTTCGCGAATTCCACGTGCTAGGCCATCGTGGATGAGGGCGGTCTTCAGCACCTCTTGTAAAGCAGTATTAACCTCCATTACACCTCCAGCAGCAATGCCTTCCTCGGCCATGGCAGTGGGTTACGGGTGAACCTGAATCTTGAACGCACCCAAGCCTCCGCCTCCGCGCGACTCGGCGGCAGGAGGGAAAGGGCGAGAACTGATGACTTTCAATACTCTTTTTTTTTTTCGAGATGGAGTCTTGCTCTGTCGCCCAGGCTGGAGAGCAGTGGTGCCATCTCGGCTTACTGCAACCTCCGCCTCCCGGGTTCACGCCATTCTCCTGCCTCAGCCTCCCGAGTAGCTAGGACTACAGGCGCCCGCCACCACGCCCGGCTAATTTTTTGTATTTTTAGTAGAGACGGGGTTTCACCGTGTTAGCCAGGATGGTCTTGGTCTCCTGACCTCGTGATCTGCCTGCCTCGGCCTCCCAGAGTGCTGGGATTACAGGCGTGAGCCACAGCACCAAGCCTTCAATACTCTTGTTTTAAAAATGAGGAGATTGAGGCCCAGAAGGAAGTTAGCTGTTTGAAATCACACAGTGAGTTAGAAGGGGCCAAGACCAACCCCAGATCTCCTGGCTTCTGGTCCAGTGCTACTCAGACCTCTTGCTTTTTCCCTCTGCTAAAGGAAATTTTCTATATTTATTTGTATCCAAGAAAGCATGCTATGTTTCTGTGGCTCAGCTCCTCCAACAGTAAACAGATTAAAAGATCCAAACCATCGAGAGTGAACAGCCTGCACAAATGGTCCCATTTCTAATGATGGTTGGCTTGATCTCTGGATCACAGATCTCCTTTGTCAGAATCCGGGAAAAATGTCCTCAAGAACCTTAAGTTGGGATGGAAGTGGGCAGGACCCATGGATAAAGGATAGCCTAGCCAAGGCCATACTTCTGTGTCTGGCAGGATTCTGTCTGGGTCTCTATGCAAACAGGTCTTTGTTTTAATCACCCATTGGCCTTTCTTCAACTCTTGACTGTCCTTTAGCCATCTGGTTCTTATCTTGGGAATCCATCACCTTTTTTTCCCCCTGCTCTCTGAGTTAATCAATCACTCGGCACTGGATTGGTTTACCGCTAGCTCTGGGCAATCTCATCAAAACCCAGGGCTTCTCATGCCTTCTATTATATTATGTTGATTTTTTTTTTTGAGACAATGTCTCATTCTGTTGTCCAGGTTGGAATGCAGTGGTGCCATCACGGCTCACTGCAGCCTTAACCTCATGGACTCCAGTGATCTTCCTGCCTCAGCCTCCTGAGTACAGGTGAGTGCCACCATGCCCAGCTAATTTCTGTATTTTTTGTAGAGATGGGGTTTCACCATGTTGCCCAGGCTGGTCTTTAACTCCTGAGCTCAAGCGATCTGCCTGCCTCATCCTCCCAAAGTGCAGGCGTGAGCCACCGCCCCCAGCCTATGTTGCTTTTTTATTTTTCTCTCTTTACAAAACTCGTGTTATCCTATAAAGGTTTCCACTAAGAAATGCCATTTATTTAATGCTTCCCATTCTTTGCCCTGCTCCAAATCTATCCCAGGGCAAAGAAAGCAAAGAATGGGAGAACTACTGTAGCAGAACCACCTTTCCATTAGAGAGGGGTCATTCTTTCTCCTGGAACCTCTGCATCTAGAAAGGGCACTAGCATCAAAGTCCAAGCACCTCTCCCTAGCTCAAGCAGGAGTGACACGGTCAGAGCTGGCCTATAGGAAGCAACTCGAAGAGTGTGGAGGATGGATTAGAAAAGAGGTTGGGAGAGGGGAGACAATCAATCTATAGCAGCTACTGCAGTAATCTAGATGAGAGATGATTAGACCTGAATTGGGCAGTGGGAATGGGATGAAGAGGTGGGGAAATAGTCATTTTGATAGTGGAATTGACAGGACTAAATAACTGATGGTTTGTGGGAGATAAGGAAGAAGTTCAAGATGACTAGGTTTGGAGCTTGAGTACCTGGGAGGATGGGACCTTTCATAGAATGAAGGAAATAAGAAGAGCAGTTTTGAAAGGAGGATGGGAGACAGTGACATTAGTTTTGTACATGAGGAATGTAGGGATCTAAGAGGATGTTTCCATCAGGCAGTTGAATATGGAGGGCTGGACTCAGGAGGCCTGGGCTGCAGACAGCAATCTGGGAGCTCCTGAGGGAAGAAAATGTGGACCAGTGCAGCACGCAGAGTGAGAAGGGGACTGAGGCCTAAGCCTAGAGGAACACCCACATGGAAGCACCAAACACGGGAGACTGAGAAGGAGCCAAGAGCCTGGGAAAAAAACCAGGAAAGTGTGGTTTTACCAGCCAAGGGGGGCAGTTTCAGGAAGGGACATGGGGAGAGAGGATGAGGAGGTAGGATTGACAAGAGGCTGCTCCTTTTGGCAGTTAGTTACCACGGTGGGCCTGGTTTCAGTCACAAAGCTACCCCCATCCTTAGGAGAGAGCTCAGGCCCTCATATCAAATGAACACTAAGGCAGGTTTCTGAGTAACTCACATATTCCCCACTCACTTTCTCCTCAGTTATCAAGGCATTACAGGATAAGTACGTGTATCAAAGTTTAACATCGTTCAGAATTGCCAGTAAAGCCCCTCAGTTCCCACCTCTTTCAGTTCAGTAAGAGGAAACTGCAAGGACTTTTCGAGAGTGCGGCTGATGACCGCATAATAAAGAATAACTAATAAATATTAATGAAGTATCCCCTCTGGCCAATCAGGTCTGAGGAGAACCCTCTTTGGGCTCACAGAAGCCTCGCCCCTCATGAATATGTAGATAGCACTGCCCACCGCGCGTACTGCCCCGCCCTCCACTCTTCTCCCTCGCAACCGACTCTCCCTTCAAACGGGAAACAAGATGGCGGCTGCAGGTCCGAGTACTCGGGCCTCTTCCGCGGCGGCAGCAGCCGCTCTGAGTCGGCGGGGCCGGCGGGGCCGCTGTGACGAGACGGCGGCAGCTAAGACTGGGGCCCCAGGCCCGGCTTCTGGACCTTCGCTGTTGGTGTTGTCGCCGCCGTTGCTGCAGCCGCCGCTGCCGCCGCGGCCGGAGGAATCGGGCTGCGCCGGGTGCCTGGAGCCCCCCGGAGAAGCAGCGGCCCTGCCGTGCGGCCACTCGCTTTGCCGAGGCTGCGCCCAACGCGCCGCCGACGCGGCGGGCCCGGGTTGCCCTCGCTGCCGCGCCCGCGGCCCAGGCTGGGCCCGCCGTCGGGCCCGCGACGACGGCCAGGCCGACTCAGAGGTGCTGGGCGAGTGCGCCCGCCGCAGCCAACCCGAGCGCTGCCGCCCGCGCCGGGACGGGGGCGCGGCTGCCGCGGGGCCCAGGCCAGAGCAGGAGCCGCGTGCCGCGCCTGCGGAGCCAGGTGGAGCTTCCCCACTTCCCCTTAGGGTCTGGAGCGAGGCCGAGCGCGCCCCGGCCCGGCCTGGTGAGGGGGTGGAGAGTCCCGGGCCCTACTCGGGCGGGTGTGGAGAGTTCTCGTGGGATTAGAACCCGGGCTCTACCCAGGTGCAGTGTGTTTGTGAATTTTGAACTTCAGAGTGAAGGACAGGCACGTTGCATGCGGAGGGGCGGTGAGGGCACCCTGTGCCTTACGTAAGTCCGAAGTTTGGAGGGAAACAGAATTGTTGGAACAAGTTAGGGGCAGGTTGGAATTGGTGTGTGGGAGTGGGAGGGGCCTTGGATCAGAGAAGTGCTTGGTTTAATGTTGGATGAAGAGTTTGGGGGTCATATTGCTTGGAGAGATGTGGCTCCTGGCCTTGAAAGGGTCAGTGAAGGGTGTGGAGAATCCGGAGTTTAGGGAACAGGTTGAATTTGAGGATGTGAAGGGAGCTTTTCAGACTCGAGAGCAGAGGGGGTTGGGAGCACACTTGTGCAGTTGTTTTCATACATTTTGGAAAATGTATGCTTAGCACAGAACTTGGCACATAGTGAGGAAGCAGTAAGTGACTGTCGTTTATATTTGTAATACTAGTACTACTAAGTCCAGTAGTGCCTGACAGAAAAGCTGGCTTGGGTTTAAAAGTTTTGGAAACAAAGGTTGGGTGGCAGGGGCTGCTTCTATCTCCTTGGCAGTATGGGTTTCCTACTGGCTTGCTGGCAATTAAAAGTCTGTTGTAGGACTCTTGCCTTGAACTTCTTTCCCCTAACACCAGCAGCCTGCTATTCCTCGGTTCTGAGCTTTGAAATGCAAAGTGCCCTGTATAAAATAAGACTGTTATAACTTAGGATTCTTTTGGGGACACACCCAGTCAACATAACATCTGCAGCTCTGTTTGATAAAAAATGCTTACCTAGAATGAGATTTTCAAGAAACATAAATCACGAAAGGCCAGATATTTGTACCTTCTGTTTTGGGAATTCTGCCATGTGTTTTTTTGGGTAAGGAAAGAGAGGCATTGCTTGTGTATACAAGTGCAGCTTCTAGAAACCACAGGTTCTAGAATGCACTCTGTTTTGATTCAAGCCGCCAGAGACACCTGTCACTGTCCTAGGATATTGGGCTATTTTATTCCTGGGGTTGAGGGGGACCTGCATCTTACTTTCTATGTTCCTTGTCACTCCCCTCACCTTTTTTTTTTTTTTTTTTTTTTTTTTTGAGATGGAGTCTCGCACTGTCGCCCGGGCTGGAGTGTAATGGTGCGATCTCCACTCACTGCAGCCTCTGTGCACCACCCCTTCAGGTTCAAGCGATTCTCCTGCCGCAGCCTCCCGAGTAGCTGGGATTACAGGCGCCCACCACCACGCCCGGCTTTTTTGTATTTTTAGTACAGATGAGGTTTCACTGTGTTGGCCAGGCTGGTCTTGAACTCCTGACCTTGTGATCCGCCCGCCTTGGCCTCCCAAGGTTTTTTTTTTTTTTTTTTTTTTTTTTGAGACTGAGTCTCACTCTGTCTCCCAGGCTGGAGTGCAGTGGCCAATCTCTCAGCTGACTGCAACCTCTGCCTCCCAGGTTCAAGCGATTCTCCTGCCTCCGCCCAGTAGCTGGGACCACAGGCACGCGCCACCACACCCTGCTAATTTTTGTAATTTTAGTAGAGACGGGGTTTCGCCATGTTGGCCAGACTGGTTTCGAACCCCTGGCGTCAAGTGATCCGCCCACCTCTGCCTCCTGAAGTGTTGGGATTACAGGCGTGAGCCACTGTGCTCAGCCCTCGTTATTCCTTTTAAGCTTCACAACATCCCTATGAGATAAGTACTTTTATTTCCATTTTATAGATGAAACTGAGGTCCAGAGAGGTTAACTAACTTGCCTAAGGATGAAAACCCGATTCTATCCTATTCCTGCTCAAATCAGGGATGAAACGTCTTTAATTTTGTGGATGTGGTGTGATGGTTTCATATGCTACTTAATTTGCTTTATAGTCTGAGATTATGGTCACGATATAAGACAGTATTTCTCTGGTCTCCCTATTAGTACTACTGATTATATGGCCACATAGGATAGAAATTTTCATTTTGATTTCTAAGCTTGGAGACTGTTGTGAAATACCAGTTCTGAATTTGAACCATGAGAGGAAGTTTGGCTTGATGATTTGTGCAAACTTTTTCCCTTGAAGATGTTTTTGTCATAAAATTTATCAGTGATTAAGGGAAATTATCTAAAATGAGATTTCAAATTAGAATCTATTGAGTCACTTAGTATTCATTAATTACTTTATATGTTTATATGAGGACCAAAATGAAAAATGGTTTTCTTAAATGTTCTTGTTGTTGGATTGTTTTGTATATACAGTTATGTGCTTATTCAGTTGAAAAATTTTAGAATACAAAAATATTGCCAAAAGGCTTAGGAAGTATCTCTTAGCTTCAGTGGGTTGTCTGATCCTCTTGTAGTTATATACAGTATTTTTAAATTAAAATTTTTAATAGGCAGTGCATTCACAGGATTCAAACAAAAATGTAACAAAGTATACAATGAAAAGATTCCCTTTGGCCAGGCGCGGTGGCTCACCCCTGTAATCCCAGCACTTTGGGAGGCCGAGGTGGGCGGATCACAAGGTCAAGAGATGGAGACCAGTCTGGCCAACATGGTGAAACCCCGTCTCTACTAAAAATACAAAAATTAGCTGGGCATGGTGGTGTGTGCCTGTAGTCCCAGCTACTTGGGAGACTGAGACAGGAGAATCTCTTGAACCCAGGAGGCGGAGGTTGCAGTGAGCCAAGATTGCACCGCTGCACTCTAGCCTGTTGACAGAGGGAGACTGTCTTAAAAAAAAAAAAAAAAAAAAAAAAGGGAAAAAAAAGAAGTGATTCTCTCTTACCCCCTTATTTCTCACTCCCGTCAAAGATTCTTGGGCTGGGCATGGTGGCTCATGCCTGTAAATCTGGCACTTTGGGAGGCTAAGGCGGGCGGATCACTTGAGGTCAGGAGTTCAAGACCAGCCTGGCTAACATGGTGAAACCTTGTCTCTACTAAAAATACAAAAATTAGCCAGGTGCGGTGGCACACGCCTGTAGTTCCAGCTACTGGGGAGGCTGAGGCAGGAGACTCGCTTGAACCTGGGAGGCGTAGGCTGCAGTGAGCTGACATCATGCCACTGCACTCCAGCCTGGTGGCAGAGCAAGACTCTGTCTCAAAAAAAAAAAAAAAAGATTCTTGTTTGTTCTTCCACAGTTTATGGATCTATCTACATGAAAATTCAAGTATGCTTATTTTTTGCCATTTTTATACAAAAGGTTGTACATTATACACACTGTTCTGTAACTTGCTTTTTTTTTGGTTTAAGAATACATCATCAAAGTCCACAGCAGTATGTTGTATGGAATTTTACTGAGTGGATATAGCATAATTAACCACCTATTGGTGGACATTTTGATTGTTTCCTGTCTTTTGCTATTATAAATAATTGTTTATAAAATCATTATGTAAATGCATGTGTGCATTTTTATGGAGAAGTCACCAGTAGCTTTCACCAGAATCTGAACCATTGTTTTATTTTATTTATTAATTAATTAATTTATTTTTTGAGACAGAGTCTTGCTCTGTTGCCCAGGCTGGAGTGCAATGGCATGATCTCGGTTCACCGCAACCTCCGCCTCACCGGTTCAAGCGATTCTCCTGTCTCCATCTCCCGAGTAGCTGGGATTACAGGTGTGCGCCACCACGCCCGGCTAATTTTGTATTTTTAGTAGAGACGGGGTTTCTCCATGTTGATCAGGCTGGTCTCAAACTCCTGATCTCAGGTGATCCACCCACCTCGGCCTCCCAAAGTGCTGGGATTACAGGCGGTGAGCCACCGCGCCCAGCCTTGAACCATTGTTTTAATCTATGTCTCTCATTCTACAGAAGAGAAAACTGAGGCCCAGAACAGATAAGAGAGTAAGAGTTTACATGAGTTGATAGTAGATGAAAAAGGGTCAACAGAAACAGCCTAATTCACAGTGAAATGTTCATAATAGCTTTAATAAGGAAAACTAATAATACCAGTTTTATAAATATTTACATTGTGCTTTTATGAGTGGAAACAGCAACAGGATTACTAGGTTGGCACAAAAGTAATTATGGTTTTTGCCATAACTTTCAATGGCAAAAACAGCAATTACTTTTGTACCAGCCTAATAGCAATTTTAGTAATATTCAGAGATATATTGCTTAGTTGTATTCTCATCACATAGTTGGATCAATTGATAAAGGAAACATCAGGCCTGCTGGAAATGAAATTTTGTAGTAAATGCACTGGTATTTAAGTGACGTTCTTAATTTTTTTTTTATTTTGTTGAAGTCCAGTGCCTCTTTAGGAATTGCTTTGTGGAAAAAGTGTAAAGAGTTTGTGTTTTCTTGAAAATTTTGGTTGCACTGGTGACATTTTTGTTCTTTGCCTGCTTTTTTGGCAAGCTTTAAGGTTCAGAACCTTAATGACCCCTGTGTACATGTTTTATTTAATTCTTTTATGCATTCACGGTTTGCTTTTGGATATAGTATCAGTTTTTGTTGATTTGTGAAACTGTGTGTGTAAAGGCTACATCAGTGATCATTTCAAAATGAACTCAGAGTTCAACTTCATATTCTTTGAGGATCTGCAACTCGTATATATTGACATATTAAATATTTGGACCATTTTGAGCAATATTCAGGAATTATGTAATATGTGTCTACTCTGTGCCAGGTCTTTGGGAAACATTAGTGAATGAAATATTAAAGATCTCTCTCTCTCATGGAGCTTATATTCTAAATTTAGAGACATTCCTTATCTGTTGATTTAAAAAACATACTTACCATACAGGCTTACATAGGTAGATTTTGAACTATACATTGCAGCCACACTTAAGCATCATTTAAAAATGATTAATGAATTTTAAGAATTCATTTAGTCTGTTTGAAATCAAGGATGGTTATTCCAAATCATACTGCTTTTAGATTTGAAACCGAGACCTTTTTACTTTTTAGGATTCTTTTTCTTCGGCTATGGGTAATGACTGAAGAAAAGCTAGACAAAGGCTGGTGAATCTTTTAAATTGGCAGTTTAAATTTTTTTATCTTCGTGGTGTTAAAAGTGCTTTTCAGAAATTGAATAGATAGGCCAGGCGCGGTGGCTCACATCTGTAATCCCAGCACTTTGAGAAGCAGAGGTGGGCGGATCAGTTGTGGCCAGGAGTTTGAGACCAGCCTGGCCAACATGGGGAAACCCTGTCTTTACTAAAAACACAAGAATTAGCCGGACGTGGTGGTGCACGCTTATAGTCCCAGCTACCGGGAGGCTGAGGCAGGAGATTCGCTTCAACCCGGGAGGTAGAGGTTGCAGTGAGCCGAGATTGCGCCACTGCACTCCAGTCTGGGCGACAGAGCGAGACTCTCTCTGAAAAACAAATAAACAAAACACGAAAATTGAATAGATAAACAATTGAATAGTGCCTTACTTATCCCTTCTCATCCCATCTCAACTTCCCTGTTCACTTAGGGTTAACATTTCTGCATTTAAAAAATTTCCCCTTTCTGTGAAAAGCAAGTAGTTCTGGTTTATTACTCAGTTGACAGACAATGTTTGCTATGTGTGCAGCCTAAATTACATTTAGGACTAATGAATAATGAAACCATGTGATTGTAGTGCAAGAGGACAGGAATTCCCTAGTCTGTAAGGATTTGTTTAAAATATGTAAAATGACTCATTTCTTTATCCTTAATGACACATATCCGAGAATTTGAGAGTGTCCTTATGTGTTATACCAATACAGGAAACATTTGCCTTGTGCTAAGATGTTTTTTAAAGCTCTTGATGAGATTACATGCACTCTACCAACTAAACAGTAATTACTATTGAAGAATAGCTCCAATGTATGAATTCAGAATTGAACAGCAGGAATTTAGGAGGTATTTGTTTATTCATATTTTCACTCCCTGTCTTCTAGTTAATCCTGAAAGAGTTGCCTACCTTGAATTAATTTGTATCTGAGTTGGCTTGAGTATATGATGTAGGATATGTTTGTTAAATTTCATTCCACTAATTCAGTGAGCATTTTGAGGGGCACACATTGTGCAAGATGATGCAATAAAAAAAGATGAATAAGACATGGTACCTTTTCTTTAAGACTCCACAGTGTGGTTGGGGAAACACATACTCAAATAACAATACAACGTGTTAAGTGAGGTAAACAGACAATGCTAACAGAGTAGAGGAATGGGCTGACTGACAATTTGCAGGAAGCCTGAGGAAGGCATTTGAATTGTATGTTGAAGAAAGAGTAGGAATTCACCAGATGAGGAAGGAGGGGATGTCCATTCCAGGTAGAAGAGCCTGCATGTAGAAAGGCTTGAAGGTGCTTGGGATGTTCAGGGACTGGCAAAAAGCTAAATATAGGTGGAGTGTGGACTGGAGTGGGGAAGTAGAGAAGAGACTGAAGTTAGATCATGAAGGCCATTGTGTATTAGGGTAAAAGAATTTTGGACTTTATCCTATAAAGCTCTTAAAGATTTTTAAGTGGTGGAATAACATAATCATACTGTGCTTTAGAAAGACAATATATATTGGTTGGAAGAGGAAAGATGTGAGTAGAAACTGGAGGTGGGGAGTCGTTAGGGGACTGTTTTAGTAGTTCAGGCAAGCGACGAAGAGGGCCTGGACTAAAGCATTGGCTGTGGCAGTGTTAACTTCAGTCATTCATTAATTTAGTAACCATTTGAGGGTCTTCTGTGTGCTAGGTCTAGGCACTAGAGCTGCAAATAGAGGTAAAGCATGGTTCTGTCCCAAAGTGTAGTTGGGAAGATTGGGATGTAAATATGCAACTGAAATGTGGTATTATAAGTATTATAATAGCTGTTATGCAAGATATAATTGTAGAAGGCAGTATAGTATATATTAATAGAGCAGGCTAATAGAGGAAAACCTGGAGACAGACTACCTGGGTTCAAATTCTAGCTTTGCTATTTATAGCTGTATGTTATTGGATACTCTCTGTGTCTTAGTTTCTTCATTTGGAAAATGGGAATAGTAATAGTATTAAAATCATAAGGTTGTTGTTAAAGACTAAATGAATTATTACAATGCTTGGTATATGAAGAGCTAGGTCAACAAATGTAAGGTATTTTCACAAAGAAGATAATCTAGTTTGGATGGGTCAGGAATGGCTTCAGTGAATGCCAGACATTTGACCATCAGTATTCATTAGGTGGATGAGGTCAGAATAAAGATGAGAGAGGGAAATAGTACATTTAAAGGCATAGGAACATGAAACAAGGAGCGTTCTAGGGATTGTAAACAGAAGTGGTTAGAGTATAGAGTGCATGTGGGAGAGTGGAAGCATGTGGGACTGCAGAAATTGGCAGTTGCTGAATAATAGTGGACTTTGAGTGCCATGCTAAGGAATGAGGATCCACTGAGGAGTTTCAAAGAGGAATTCATCTTTGAACTTTAGAGAGATCACTCCCATGGGAGTGTTGTAGCAAATAGATTGGAGAGCCCAAATTCTCTTTTTAGCAAGATGGCTAAAACTGACACAAATACTCAGAAAAACTGCATAATAAAGAACGGCAATTCTTTTATTTATTTATTTTTATTATACTTTAAGTTTTAGGGTACATGTGCACATTGTGCAGGTTAGTTACATATGTATACATGTGCCATGCTGGTGCGCTGCACCCACTAACTCGTCATCTAGCATTAGGTATATCTCCCAATGCTATCCCTCCCCCCTCCCCCCACCCCACCACAGTCCCCAGAGTGTGATAGTCCCCTTCCTGTGTCCATGTGATCTCATTGTTCAATTCCCACCTATGAGTGAGAATATGCGGTGTTTGGTTTTTTGTTCTTGCGATAGTTTACTGAGAATGATGGTTTCCAGTTTCATCCATGTCCCTACAAAGGACATGAACTCATCATTTTTTATGGCTGCATAGTATTCCATGGTGTATATGTGCCACATTTTCTTAATCCAGTCTATCATTGTTGGACATTTGGGTTGGTTCCAAGTCTTTGCTATTGTGAATAATGCCGCAGTAAACATACGTGTGCATGTGTCTTTATAGCAGCATGATTTATAGTCCTTTGAGTATATACCCAGTAATGGGATGGCTGGGTCAAATGGTATTTCTAGTTCTAGATCCCTGAGGAATCGCCACACTGACTTCCACAATGGTTGAACTAGTTTACAGTCCCACCAACAGTGTAAAAGTGTTCCTATTTCTCCACATCCTCTCCAGCACCTGTTGTTTCCTGACTTTTTAATGATTGCCATTCTAACTGGTGTGAGATGATATCTCATAGTGGTTTTGATTTGCATTTCTCTGATGGCCAGTGATGGTGAGCATTTTTTCATGTGTTTTTTGGCTGCATAAATGTCTTCTTTTGAGAAGTGTCTGTTCATATCCTTTGCCCACTTTTTGATGGGGTTGTTTGTTTTTTTCTTGTAAATTTGTTTGAGTTCATTGTAGATTCTGGATATTAGCCCTTTGTCAGATGAGTAGGTTGCGAAAATTTTCTCCCATTTTGTGTGTTGCCTGTTCACTCTGATGGTAGTTTCTTTTGCTGTGCAGAAGCTCTTTAGTTTAATTAGATCCCATTTGTCAATTTTGTCTTTTGTTGCCATTGCTTTTGGTGTTTTGGACATGAAGTCCTTGCCCACGCCTATGTCCTGAATGGTAATGCCTAGGTTTTCTTCTAGGGTTTTTATGGTTTTAGGTCTAACGTTTAAATCTTTAATCCATCTTGAATTGATTTTTGTATAAGGTGTAAGGAAGGGATCCAGTTTCAGCTTTCTACATATGGCTAGCCAGTTTTCCCAGCACCATTTATTAAATAGGGAATCCTTTCCCCATTGCTTGTTTTTCTCAGGTTTGTCAAAGATCAGATAGTTGTTGGTATGCGGCGTTATTTCTGAGGGCTCTGTTCTGTTCCATTGATCTATATCTCTGTTTTGGTACCAGTACCATGCTGTTTTGGTTACTGTAGCCTTGTAGTATAGTTTGAAGTCAGGTAGTGTGATGCCTCCAGCTTTGTTTTTTTGGCTTAGGATTGACTTGGCGATGCGGGCTCTTTTTTGGTTCCATATGAACTTTTTTTTTTTTTTGAGACGGAGTCTCGCTCTGTCACCCAGGCTGGAGTGCAGTGGCGGGATCTCGGCTCACTGCAAGCTCCGCCTCCCGGTTTCACGCCATTCTCCTGCCTCAGCCTCCCAAGTAGCTGGGACTACAGGCGCCCGCCACTACGCCCGGCTAATTTTTTTTTGTATTTTTAGTAGAGACGGGGTTTCACTGTTTTAGCGGGGATGGTCTCGATCTCCTGACCTCGTGATCCGCCCACCTTGGCCTCCCAAAGTGCTGGGATTACAGGCGTGAGCCACCGCGCCCGGCCGTCCATATGAACTTTAAAGTAGTTTTTTCCAATTCTGTGAAGAAAGTCATTGGTAGCTTGATGGGGATGGCATTGAATCTGTAAATTACCTTGGGCAGTATGGCCATTTTCACGATATTGATTCTTCCTACCCATGAGCATGGAATGTTCTTCCATTTGTTTGTATCCTCTTTTATTTCCTTGAGCAGTGGTTTGTGGTTCTCCTTGAAGAGGTCCTTCACATCCCTTGTAAGTTGGATTCCTAGATATTTTATTCTCTTTGAAGCAATTGTGAATGGGAGTTCACTCATGATTTGGCTCTCTGTTTGTCTGTTGTTGGTGTATAAGAATGCTTGTGATTTTTGTACATTGATTTTGTATCCTGAGACTTTGCTGAAGTTGCTTATCAGCTTAAGGAGATTTTGGGCTGAGACAATGGGGTTTTCTAGATAAACAATCATGTCGTCTGCAAACAGGGACAATTTGACTTCCTCTTTTCCTAATTGAATACCTTTTATTTCCTTCTCCTGCCTGATTGCCCTGGCCAGAACTTCCAACACTATGTTGAATAGGAGTGGTGAGAGAGGGCATCCCTGTCTTGTGCCAGTTTTCAAAGGGAATGCTTCCAGTTTTTGCCCATTCAGTATGATATTGGCTGTGGGTTTGTCATAGATAGCTCTTATTATTTTGAAATACGTCCCATCAGTACCTAATTTATTGAGAGTTTTTAGCATGAAGGGTTGTTGAATTTTGTCAAAGGCTTTTTCTGCATCTATTGAGATAATCATGTGGTTTTTGTCTTTGGCTCTGTTTATATGCTGGATTACATTTATTGATTTGCGGATATTGAACCAGCCTTGCATCCCAGGGATGAAGCCCACTTGATCATGGTGGATAAGCTTTTTGATGTGCTGCTGGATTTGGTTTGCCAGTATTTTATTGAGGATTTTTGCATCAATGTTCATCAAGGATATTGGTCTAAAATTCTCTTTTTTGGTTGTGTCTCTGCCCGGCTTTGGTATCAGAATGATGCTGGCCTCATCAAATGAGTTAGGGAGGATTCCCTCTTTTTCTATTGATTGGAATAGTTTCAGAAGGAATGGTACCAGTTCCTCTTTGTACCTCTGGTAGAATTCGGCTGTGAATCCATCTGGTCCTGGACTCTTTTTGGTTGGTAAACTATTGATTATTGCCACAATTTCAGCTCCTGTTATTGGTCTATTCAGAGATTCAGCTTCTTCCTGGTTTAGTCTTGGGAGAGTGTATGTGTCGAGGAATGTATCCATTTCTTCTAGATTTTCTAGTTTATTTGTGTAGAGGTGTTTGTAGTATTCTCTGATGGTAGTTTGTATTTCTGTGGGATTGGTGGTGATATCCCCTTTATCATTTTTTATTGTGTCTATTTGATTCTTCTCTCTTTTTTTCTTTATTAGTCTTGCTAGTGGTCTATCAATTTTGTTGATCCTTTCAAAAAACCAGCTCCTGGATTCATTGATTTTTTGAAGGGTTTTTTATGTCTGTATTTCCTTCAGTTCTGCTCTGATTTTAGTTATTTCTTGCCTTCTGCTAGCTTTTGAATGTGTTTGCTCTTGCTTTTCTAGTTCTTTTAATTGTGATGTTAGGGTGTCAATTTTGGATCTTTCCTGCTTTCTCTTGTGGGCATTCAGTGCTATAAATTTCCCTCTACAAACTGCTTTGAATGCGTCCCAGAGATTCTGGTATGTTGTGTCTTTGTTCTCGTTGGTTTCAAAGAACATCTTTATGTCTGCCTTCATTTCGTTATGTACCCAGTAGTCATTCAGGAGCAGGTTGTTCAGTTTCCATGTAGTTGAGCGGCTTTGAGTGAGATTATTAATCCTGAGTTCTAGTTTGATTGCACTGTGGTCTGAGAGATAGTTTGTTATAATTTCTGTTCTTTTACATTTGCTGAGGAGAGTTTTACTTCCAACTATGTGGTCAATTTTGGAATAGGTGTGGTGTGGTGCTGAAAAAAATGTATATTCTGTTGATTTGGGGTGGAGAGTTCTGTAGATGTCTATTAGGTCCGCTTGGTGCAGAGCTGAGTTCAATTCCTGGGTATCCTTGTTGACTTTCTGTCTCGTTGATCTGTCTAATGTTGACAGTGGGGTGTTAAAGTCTCCCATTATTAATGTGTGGGAGTCTAAGTCTCTTTGTAGGTCACTCAGGACTTGCTTTATGAATCTGGGTGCTCCTGTATTGGGTGCATATATATTTAGGATAGTTAGCTCCTCTTGTTGAATTGATCCCTTTACCATTATGTAATGGCCTTCTTTGTCTCTTTTGATCTTTGTTGGTTTAAAGTCTGTTTTATCCGAGACTAGGATTGCAACCCCTGCCTTTTTTTGTTTTCCATTTGCTTGGTAGATCTTCCTCCATCCTTTTATTTTGAGCCTATGTGTGTCTCTGCACGTGAGATGGGTTTCCTGAATACAGCACACTGATGGGTCATGACTCTTTATCCAACTTGCCAGTCTGTGTCTTTTAATTGGAGAATTTAGTCCATTTACATTTAAAGTTAATATTGTTATGTGTGAATTTGATCCTGTCATTATGATGTTAGCTGGTGATTTTGCTCGTTAGTTGATGCAGTTTCTTCCTAGTCTCGATGGTCTTTACATTTTGGCATGATTTTGCAGCAGCTGGTACCGGTTGTTCCTTTCCATGTTTAGCGCTTCCTTCAGGAGCTCTTTTAGGGCAGGCCTGGTGGTGACAAAATCTCTCAGCATTTGCTTGTCTGTAAAGGATTTTATTTCTCCTTCACTTATGAAGCTTAGTTTGGCTGGACATGAAATTCTGGGTTGAAAATTCTTTCCTTTAAGAATGTTGAATATTGGCCCCCACTCTTTTCTGGCTTGTAGGGTTTCTGCCGAGAGATCCGCTGTTAGTCTGATGGGCTTCCCTTTCCCGACCTTTCTCTCTGGCTGCCCTTAACATTTTTTCCTTCATTTCAACTTTGGTGAATCTGACAATTATGTGTCTTGGAGTTGCTCTTCTCGAGGAGTATCTTTGTGGCGTTCTCTGTATTTCCTGAATCTGAACGTTGGCCTGCCTTGCTAGATTGGGGAAGTTCTCCTGGATAATATCCTGCAGAGTGTTTTCCAACTTGGTTCCATTCTCCCCATCACTTTCAGGTATACCAATCAGACGTAGATTTGGTCTTTTCACATAGTCCCATATTTCTTGGAGGCTTTGCTCATTTCTTTTTATTCTTTTTTCTCTAAACTTCCCTTCTCGCTTCATTTCATTCATTTCATCTTCCATCGCTGATACCCTTTCTTCCAGTTGATCGCATCGGCTCCTGAGGCTTCTGCATTCTTCATGTAGTTCTCAAGCCTTGGTTTTCAGCTCCATCAGCTCCTTTAAACACTTCTCTGTATTGGTTATTCTAGTTATACATTCTTCTAAATTTTTTTCAAAGTTTTCAACTTCTTTGCCTTTGGTTTGAATGTCCTCCCGTAGCTCAGAGTAATTTGATCGTCTGAAGCCTTCTTCTCTCAGCTCGTCAAAATCATTCTCCATCCAGCTTTGTTCCGTTGCTGGTGAGGAACTGCGTTCCTTTGGAGGAGGAGAGGCGCTCTGCCTTTTAGAGTTTCCAGTTTTTCTATTGTGTTTTTTCCCCATCTTTGTGGTTTTATCTACTTTTGGTCTTTGATGATGGTGATGTACAGATGGGTTTTCGGTGTGGATGTCCTTTCTGTTTGTTAGTTTTCCTTCTAACAGACAGGACCCTCAGCTGCAGGTCTCAGATGGAAATGCAGAAATCACCCGTCTTCTGCGTCGCTCACGCTGGGAGCTGTAGACCGGAGCTGTTCCTATTCGGCCATCCGACAATTCTTTTAAATGCATCTTTGAATATACAGGAAAGATAGGAAAATCTCCAGTTTCCAAAAACAAAAATGGAACTACAAACCAAAACTGTAAGCCCAAAAGCTGCATAATAAAGAATGACAGTTCTTTTAAATGCATTCTTGAATATACAGGAAAGATAGGAAAATCTCGTTTCCAAAAACAAAAATGGAACTACCGACCAAAACTGTAAGCCCTTGAACCTATGCTGTATTGCCCTGGAGCAGAGTGAGGAGTGTAGAGATGGGTTATTTCAGGTGTTCTCTTCCTAGCAGGTTGAGTTTTACCATATGCAAAAAGGAATCAGAACTAAGATTTCTGCATAAAGTTGAGATTTTTGATGTGCTGCACTCTAGGTGAAAGGGTGGGCTAGAAAAAGAAAATCTTCCCTATTACACAAGGAGACGACAAGAAATCTTGTCTTGATTTGCTTGAGCTCTATGCAAAGAGAAAATGAAAAAAGTTTGCCTGAGAAATTGAAGCACAAGATCTATACTTTGCTTACATTTGGGAACTGGGTTTATATTATATGGCTCAGAAATTAATATACAAACAGGCTTCAAGCTAGTGAGACAGGAAAAGACTCTGAGAGGTACGTCCATACCTTAGACCTCAAGGGATTCTTACAGAAGAAATAAGCCCAACTGAAGATGAATTTATGATTAAAAATGACACATGAGGAAATGGCTTTGTACCACAAACGAGAGTCAGCAGATAGAACAAGCAGGAGGATTATAGCTCCAAGAACTCGGATAAGAGAGTGACAATTTGAGAGAGAATTTAAATTAGCATATTTTAAGTGGCTAAAGACTTTAAAGAATTGACATCCCAAGAAATGAATAAAGCATTATGAAACACACACATTTGAAAAAGAATGAAACATAATGAAAAATGTCATTGAGGTTAAAAATCTCAGTAAATAAGTTAAACAATAGTTTACACAGATGAAGAGAGATTAGCAAGGTGGGACATAGACATGAGGAAATTCTCAAGAATACAAATAAAGCAAAATATGAAAGAAGGTGAAGAAAAAGGAAAAGGACAAATCAAGAAGATCCAACATGTAATGGTACTTCCAGGAGAAAAAAAAATGTGGAGGAGATGTGGAATTTGAAGAGAAGATGACTTGAGAATTTTTTAGAATTAGTAAAAAGTCCTGAATCCTTAGGTTCGAGGCTCATGAGGCCCTAGCAAGAGGTTTTTTGTTTTTGTTTTGAGACGAGGTCTTGCTCTGTAGCTCAGGCTTGAGTACAATGGTGTGATCATAGCTTGCTGCAGCCTTGACCTCCCAGGCTCAAGTGATCCTCCCACCTTGGCCTCCCAAAGTGTTGGCATTACAAGCGTGAGCCACTGCACCTGGTACCTAGCAAGAATTAACAACAGAAAAGCAGCAACAAAACCACAACTAAACACATTGCAGTGGAACTTCAGAACACCAAAGACTATTAAGTATAACCAAAAATGAAAGACAGAGGAGCAATAATCAGACTGAGAGCATATATCTTTTAACCTACAAGAGAGACCAGAAGAAAACTGAATAATTTCTTCAGCCTTGAGAGAGATCTGAATTTCATACTCAGGTGAGTTATTCAAGAGTAAGGGCGCTGGGTGCGGTAGCGCACGCCTATAGTCCCAGCACTTTGGGAGGCCGAGGTGGGCGGATCGCTCAAGGTCAGGAGTTCAAGACCAGCCTGACTAACATGTTGAAACCCTGTCTCTACTAAATACAAAAAATTAGCCGGGTGTGGTGGCGCATGCCTGTAATCATTGGGAGTCTGAGGCAGGAGAATCGCTGAACCCAGGAGGCGGTGAGCCAAAATCCTACCATTGCACTCCAGCTTGGGCAACCATGAGCAAAACTCCATCTCAAAAGAAGAAAAAAGTAAGGGCAAAAATAAAAATATTTTCAGACAGGAAAAAGAGAATTTACCACAGTGTTTCTAAAAGAACTTATTATAAACCTAAAGCATATAGTGCAGGAAGAAAGAAATGTAACTTAGGGGAGAAAGTAGGATATAAGAAGTTGTGATGAAGAAAGAAGTCAGTAGGTAGACTAAGCCAGTGTTGACTGTATAAAACAAAATAATTATCACTGATTTGTAGGGGCTAAAACCAAGGTAAAACTAAAATACTAGGCAAAGATAAAATGTAAGCGGGGAGAAAAGTGATTCTCATTACAGATTTCTAAAGTTCTGTCTATACGTAACGTAGTTCAATAGGAAGACAGAGATATTGATCAACTTTAGGCTTTAAGTCAGATGCACATTAAACATTTACAGGTAGACTGGACACGGTGGTTCATGCCTAATCTTAGCACTTTGGGAGGCCGAGGTGGGAGGATCATTTGAGTCCAGGAGTTCGAGATCAGCCTGGGCAAAAAAATGAGACCCTGTCTCTACTAAAAATCAAGTTAGCCAGATGTGGTGGTGTGCGCCTGTGGTCCCAGCAATACAGGAGGCTGAGGCAGGAGGACTGCTTGAGCCCAGGAGGTCAAGACTGCAGTAAGCTGTGTTCGTGCCACTGTACTCCAACCTAGGTGACAGAGCGAGATCCTGTCTCAACGAATGGGGTTAATCCTGAAAAGAAATACAATATATAACTTGATCTCTACACATATGTAGAACCATACACTTAAATTAGAGAACATGCATCCTTTTTAAACTAATATGCAACATTTACGTAATTTTCCTAGATTCATTTAGGCACAAAGGAAGTTTCGACACATATGAAAGATATATAAGATATCTTATCTGACCGTAGTATAATAAAATTAGAAATTAATAGTGAAAATATAACCAATTCCCCCTCCAATCCATGTTTGGAAATTGAAAAAAACAAAATTTAAATAACGTGGGTAAAGAACAAAACCAGCCGGGTGCGGTGGCTCACGCCTGCAATCCCAGCACTTTGGGAGGCCAAGGCGGGTGGATCACCTGAGGTCAGGAGTTTGAGACCAGCCTGGCCAACATGGTGAAACCCCATCTCTACTAAAAATACAAAAAATTAGCCAAGTGTGGTGGTGGGTGCCTGTAATCCCAGCTACTTGGGAGGCTGAGGCAGGAGAATCGCTTGAACCCAGGATGTGGAGGTTACAGTGAGCTGAGATTGCGCCATTGCACTCCAGCCTGGGCAACAACCGCAGCCTGGGCAACATCTCAAAAAAAAAAAAACAAAAACAAAAACAAAAAAACCCAAAACCAAGTGGTCAACTGAAGAAGTTAAAAAAAGTAACAGCAGATTAACCCCAAAAGAAGTAGAAGATAGGAAAGAATAAAGAGCAGAAATTAATGGAATAGAAAACAAAAGAATTAGCAAGGCCAAAATCTAATTCATTGAAAAGATTAAGATCTATAACCCTAACCTCTGGCAAGATTGATCAAAGAAAAGGCATAAATATTAGGAATGAAAAAATACAACTATAGATATAATGAAGATTTAAAAAAACCTATAAATATAGAATATGGAAAACTTTCTGCCCATGAATTTGAAAAATTGGATAAAATAGTTTTGTGGAAAAGTGTAACATGGCAGCTGACTCAAGAATAAATAGAAAGTATGACTAGAAATGTAACTAATTAGCAAAGAGTAAAATCTCCCCACAAAGCAATACCACCGCGTGGACACAATGAGCAAAATGCAGAATATGGGAAAACTGTGGGACAAATGGCCTACTTTCTTCCACAAATAAATTAGGAAAAAAGCAACAGAGGGGTGATTCATGGATTAAAAGATACAATCAGTTTAAGTGTATGAACTTACTTGGATCCTGATTTGAAAAAACTGTATGAAAACATTTGATGAGAATTTGAATGCCGGCTGGATATTTGTTGGTATTAAAGACTTATATTTTTAGTGTGACAATAGTTTTCTGGTTATATATTTTAAAATAATCCTTCTCTTAGATGTTAAAAATATTTATAGCTAAGATGATATGATGCCTGGGATTTGCTTCAAAATAACTTCAAATTTGTTCCAGGAGATAGGGAGCAGGTATTGATTAGGGGAGGATAGAAAATAAGATTGCTAATGATTGATTGCTGAAGCTGGATGATCTGTGGTAGTTCATTATACTGGTTTCTCTAATAATATATTTGAAACTTTTCCATAAAAAAAGCAAGAAGAAATTCTGTCCATTGAAGAAGTACCAGGCACAGATGGTTTTATGGGTTACCCAAATATTGAAGGATGGATGGTTCCAGGGAATAAATAAAACGTTTCCAGACTTGTTTTGGGGGCTTTTACAACTTGATAACAAAATCACACAAGTTAACAAAATCACACAAGAACTGTATGAGAAAGGAAAAGTACAGGCCACTCTCATGAACACAGATTTTTATTTTTTGTCTTTTTATTTCTTTTTTTCTATTTTTTGTGGAGATGGGGATCTCACTGTATTGCCCAGGCTGGTCTTAACTTCTGACCTCAAGCAATTCTCCTGCCTCTGCTTCCCAAAGTGCTGGGATTACAGGCATGAATCACCACACCTGGCATGAACACAGATTTTTAAAATCTCAGGTGAAACACAGACTGAATCGAGTAGTATATTTTTAAAAAATCACAACCAAGTAGCAGTTATTCAAAGAATAGGAGTTTGGCTTAACATTAGGAATCTAATGTAGTTCCCCATATTAATAAACTAAAGGAGAGTAAAACTATATGGTCATTGCAATAGATGGCTTAAAAAAGCATTTGACAAAATTTATCATTTATTATTTAAAAAAAACTAGAACATGTGGAATAGGAGAAAGTTTCTTTTTTTATTTTTATTTTTTTTGAGACAGAGTCTCACTCTGTCACCCAGACTGGAGTTCGGTGGCGTGATTTTGGCTCACTGCAACCTCCACCTGCCAGGTTCAAGCCTCCCGAGTAGCTGGGACTACAGGCACGGGCCACCACGTCTGGATAATTCTTTTTTATTTTTATTTTTATTTATTTTTTGAGATGGAGTCTCGCTCTGTCGCCCAGGCTGGAGTGCAGTGGCGCGATCTTGGCTCACTGCAACCTCCGCCTCCTGGGTTCACGCCATTCTCCTGCCTCAGCCTCCCGAATAGCTTGGACTACAGGTGCCCGCCACCATACTTGGCTAATTTTTTGTATTTTTTTTTTTTTAGTAGAGACGGGGTTTCACCGTGTTAGCCAGGATGGTCTCAATCTCCTGACCTCGTGATCCGCCCACTTCGGCCTCCCCATTCTTTTTTATTTTTTAAAAATAGAGATGGGGTTTCAGTATGTTGCCAGGGCAGGTCTTGAACTCCTGGCTTCAGGATATCCCCCTGCCTTGGCCTGTCCAAGGTCTTGAGATTACAGGTGTGAGCCACTGTGCCCAGCCACTGTCTTTGCTTTTTAAGTGGAATTTATCAATAAGGATGATTAGTGGCCAAGAATAGTCAAGACCATTTTGAAGAACACGATGGGTGGATTTGCTTTCTCAAATATCAAGCTGTTTAAAGCCATGTTAATTAAGACAGTGAAGTATTGGTATCAGGGTGGTTGAATAATTAATGTTAAAATTAAAGAGCATAGAAACATGCCCTCATATATTTAAATTTGGTGGATAATGAGTGGCCATTACAAATCACTAGGGTAAAGGTGTCATTTTTACTTTTCATGGGTGGTTAGCTAACCTTAGAGAAAAAAATAGATCTTTAGCACCATATGCAAAAAATTATTTGTAGAGCCAGGCATGGTGGCTCACGCCTGTAATCCCAGCACTTCAGGAGGCTGAGGTGGGCGGATCACTCAAGGTCAGGAGTTTGCGACCAGCCTGGCCAACATGGGGAAACCCCGTCTCTACTGAAAATACAAAAATTAGTCAGGCGTGATGGCGCATGCCTGTAGTCCCAGCTACTCAGGATGCTGAGACAGGAGATTCGCTTTAACCTGGGAAGCGGTGGCTGTAGTGAGCTGAGATCACGCCACTGCACTGCAGTCTGGGTGACAGAGCTAGACTCTGTCTTAAAAAAAAAAAAAAAAGGTTGTAAATGGATTAAAGGTCAAACTGTAAAACTTAGAAAATGCTAGGACTATCTCTATGAAAATGGAGTAGAGAAAGGCTTTCAAACAAACAAAAAATGTAAAGATTGATAATTTGACCACATTAAAGTTAAAAATTGGGCCAGGCGTGGTGGCTCATGCCTATAATCCCAGGACTTTGGGAGGTTGAGGTGAGAGGATTGCTTGAGGCCAGGAGTTCAACACCAGCCTGGGCAACATAGGGAGACCTTGTCTCTACAAAAAAATATAAAAATTTAGGCAGGCATGGTGGGGTGTGCCTGTAGACCCAGCTATTCAGGAGGCTGAGGTGGAAGAATACTTTGAGTCCAGGAGTTTCGGGCTGCAGTGAGTGCTCTAGCCTGGGTGACAGAAGCGAGACCCTGCCTCAAAAGAAACAAAACAAAACAAACACACCAGAAACAGAAAAAGAGATTAAGTAAGAAGACCAACCAGAGGCTGGGAGAAGATAGTTGCAGTGAAGTAACTGACAAAAGATTGATATCCAACATATATGAACTACAAATCATTATGATGACAGATAGCTTATTAGAAAAATGGTGAGAAGATTTGAATAGGCATTTCATAGAAGAAGGAAACTGAAAGTCTGGTAAACATCTAGAATGATACGCAACAGCATTAGCAATCAGGGAAATGCAAATTAAACCAGTGATATGCCATCAGACTGCTATAATTTGTAATTGATTAATTATAAATAATGAGCACCTATATACTGCTGGAGGAGTATAAGTTGCCATACAACCACGTTGGAGAGCAGTTTGGCCATATCTAGTAAGGTTGAAGAGATAGATTCCTTGCTATGCAGAGATTCCATTAATAGGTGTGTGCCATAGTGAAACTCTTGTGTACATATGCACACACACAATGATGCTCACATTACAGCACTGTAGTACTAGAAAATGTAGTAACAGTTGTCTTTGATAGGAGAAGGGATAAATTAGTTTCTACAGCTGTTAGAATGAATGAACTGGGTATATATCAACATGGATAAATCTGGAAAAAATACTTGCAAAAGGAAAAGTTGCAAAAGAATATGTATCCTTTGATGCCATTTATATAAGTAAAAGTACGGAAGATAGGAGTCATTTCAATAGCTTGAGTGAGAAATGAAGAAACAATCAGCCAATGTAGACTCTACTCTCCTTGTACCCCCCAACAAGGTCTCCCTCTGACATCCAGGCTGGAGTTCAGTGATGAAATCATGGCACATTACAGCCTCTACTTTTCAGGCTGAAGCGATCCTCCCACCTCCAAAGTAACTGGGACTACAGGCATGTGCCACCGTGCCCAACTAATTTTTTGTATTTTTAGTACTATACAGGGTCTCACCATGTTGCCCAGGTTGGTCTTGAACTCCTGGGTTCAAGCAATCCTCCTGCCTCAGTCTCTCAAAGTGCTGGGATTACAGGTGTGAGCCACCATACCTGGCTTTAGACTACTGTTTCACAGTTTGATAATGAAAGGAAGGAAATAGAGTGCATGAAAAAGGGAAAGTACAATTGTAAGAACCAAGAGCAGAACAGATTTTACTCAGAATTTGAGTTCAGGGTACTCTTGGAGAGCCCATTCCTGGGCCTTGGGCAGAACTTGAGAGTCTAAGCGATAGCCATCGTATTTCTTTTTTGATGTATACTGCAGGAACAGTAAGCTGCCAGTTTGCTTATAAATTGCCACTAGCTTTTCAAGGGGCTGGAAATATTTATCTCATCTTGGTAGAAAGCAGGTTATGGATATAAGAATTATAATTCATAGGAGAAGGTAGAGGCCAGGCTTAGTATTACTGAGGCCATTTGTTCATTTTAGCTGTAGATATGAAAGATATCCCCCAAACTGTTAAATTGTGGGGATACATGGTTACTGACATCTAAACATATCTACCAGTAGCTCGCTATTTTTTTCAAAATAATGGCTCGCAGTTCCTCCATGAATAATGTACATGAGTATGTTTATTTCCTGTGTTACACAGTACTTGGCATACGTTTAGCCTCTTGGCTAGTGTGTTTTCATTAGATAAATGACTAGGAAGAACAGAATTCTATAATAAATGAATTAAATCAGTATGTTTTCACCTTACAGTTGCAGGTTTCTCTTACCCATTGTTTCTTCCTGTTTTTGCACGTTACCACATGCATTTTTCGTTTTGTTTTGTTTTTGTTTTTTTTGAGATGGAGTCTTGCTCTGTTGCTTAGGCTGGAGTGCAGTGGCACGATCTCAGCTCACTACAACCTCTGCCTCCTGGGTTCAAGGGATTCTCCTGCCTCAGCCTCCCGAGTAGCTGGGATTACAGGCCAGTGCCCCCATGTCTGGCTAATTTTTTTTATTTTTAGTAGAGACAGGGTTTCACCGTGTTGGCCAGGCTGGTCCCGAACTCTTGACCTCAGGTGATCCCCCCCGCCTCGACCTCTCAAAGTGCTGGGATTACAGGCGTGAACCACCGTGCCTGGCCTCCATGTGCATTTTTGATACTTAGTCATACTAACATTAAGGTTACTGGTTGGGGAAATACTAGTTGTAGTAATTTTTTTTGCCATCACTTAAAGTAGATTTGGGCTAGTTTTATATAGTCTTGGACTTGGCTTGCTTTTGAGTCTTTGGCTCTGTCTACTACCGATTGAACATCCCTAATTGAAAATCTGAAATCGAAAATGTGCCAAAAATCTGAAACTATAAGTGCTGACATGACATGACAAGTGGAAAATTCTACATATAAGTACTTAACACAGACTTTGTTTTATGCACAAAACTATTTTAATTATTAACTGGTCGCTATTATGGCTTGTGCCTGTAATCCCAGCTACTCTGGAGGCTGAGGTGGGATGATCACTTGAGGCCAGGAGTTCAATACCAGCCTGGGCAATATAAGGAGACCCTTGTCTCTACAAAAGTAAAAAAATTAGCCAGGTATGTTGGTGCACACCTATAGTCCCAGCTACTCAGGAGGCTGAGGTGGGAGGATTGCTTGAGCCCAGGAGTTTGGGGCTGCAGAGAGCTATGATTGCATCACTAAACTCTAACCTGGGTGACAGGGCAAGACTTTGTCTCCAAAAAAAATAAAATATACAAAATTACCTCCAGGCTGTGTATATAAGGTATATATGGTACATAAATGGGCTGGGCATGGTGGCTCATGCCTATGATCCCAATACTTTGGGAGGCCGAGGTAGGAGGATTGCTTGAGGCCAGGGGTTCGAGACCAGCTTGGACAACATCAAGACCTTCTCTCTATAAAATAATTTAAAACAAAAAACATAAATCAATTTCGTATTTAGACTTGGTTTCCATCCTTAAGATAATTAATTATGTATATACAAATACTAAAAAATCCAAAGACAGTCCGAAACACTGATGGTCCCCAACATTTCAGATAAGGGATACTCATTCTGTATTCAGCATTGTGGAAAATGCTTTGATGTATAAACTAGTCTGGAAAATATAGAAAGTTTTAACTTTCTTGATGTAATTTGAATTAGTTCTATGAATGATTCCTTTGCCTGATCTAAGGGAAAAATTGGTCTTTTTTAAAAAAATCACTTTTATTTATGCAGGTCATGTATGTCAGGGAAGGGGAGTGAATTTGAAATCAGAAAATCTGGATTTGAATCTCAGTTCTGCCACCTTTGTCTCATTGACCGTGACAAAGCTGCTTAATTAACGTCCTTGAGAGGTTTCTGTTTTCTGGTCTGTAAAAAGTAAATACTACAACCACACAGGGTTATTATAAGGCTTAAATAAGAATATGTGTGGAAACCCCTAGCACAGTACTTGGCACTTAATCCTTCAGTAAATGTTAATTTACTACTAGGGATGCTGGTTTTTTTTTTTTTTTTTTTTTACTTTTATGTATTGAGCTGTGCTGGGCCCTATACTGTAAAGCTCTTTTTTACCCTGTGAGTTGCATAGCCAACTGCCTGGTTTAAATTCTGCTCCCTCAGTTACTTAGCTATTTTTGACCTTGAGTAGAGCGTTTAGCTTTTCTGAGCCTCAGCTTCCATATTTGTAAGTGGAGATAATAATGGTAACAGCCTCAAAGGATTGTTGTAAGGTTTAAATAGGATAATCAATATTGTTTCATAGTGATATTTAAACAGTAAAATCAGATTAATGGGATAAGATTAGCATTTTTTTAAAGGAATAGAATAGATACTAGCATAATGAACCATTTGTTTCAGTTTTACATGTGTTTGATCATGAACTGGGGAGTGATGTAAAATGTATTTCTTACTGTGGATTGTACTAAAAGTTCCAAAGCTATTGGCTAGGTACTAATAGTCCATAGTATGTCATCAATAAATGTTAGTGACAATAGAAATATTTAATCCGTAATGGAGATGTACTGTCAAAATAGATATATATTGGTTTAGGAATCCAGTCATACAAATATTTTATCACATTTGCTAGTGAAAAAGTACTTGTATTTTGTACTTTCTAAGAACTTAAACTGAGCTTTTGGTGACTAGGAGATTTGTCCTGAAATGCCGAGACCTGGGGTAGCATTTGGGGAGGATTACGATTTGCTGAGACCTGGGGTAGGATTGGCCTGGATTTCCATGGTGCTGCAATATCTGGCATATAGTAGGTTCATAAATATTTGTGCGATAAATGACTTTATTGTAGCCTCAATTCAGAATTTCTCAACTAGTCAATCTTTAACACCAATCTGATCAATTCATGGACTGAGATTTACTGTTCTGTTGCATTTCTTTCTCTAATACCTCTTTAAAGCCTCTTATATGTGTTTATCAGCTTAGATGACTTGATTATAGCATTTAGGATAATATAAAATAAGATGATAATTGTATAAGCTAAATACGAATGAAAGGAGGGAGAAAGATGGTCATTTGTGCAAATGTACCACCAGGCCAGTTTTCTTTTTGAGCTTGCCTGGATGTTTCACCTACTGAATCCCAGGCACAACAATATTCTTACATGTTTATTTTTCTGATGAGGTCAGAAGGGTTGTAAAATGCCTGCAGGATAGATGAAATTTTTCACTAAATACTTCAGTGTGAAAACATTTTGCATCATAAATAGTATTCTGGAAAGGAGACAGGATTGGAAGTTAGTGGATCTGAGTTTGCATACTGGTATTCTACTACTTAGTAGCTGTGTGGCTTTGGGCAAGCATCTTAAACTCTGTGCCTAAATTTCTTCTTTTTTAGTATGAGGATAATAGGAGCTATTTTGCAGAGTTGTGAGGATTAAATGAAATGATATGTGTAAACTGCTTATAGAAAGTAAATACCTAATAAATATTAGCTGTTATTATATGCAGTCATTCATTTTGTACCCCCTCATGGAGCACATACCACATATTTGTGCCAAGCACTCTGCCAGGTGCTAGGGATACAAAGATGAGTAAGACACAAACCTTTGTGAAATAATGTTAAGCTAAAGCTGTCCAGGTGCAGTCGCTCATGCCTGTAATCCCAGCACTTTGGGAGGCCGAGGCAGGCAGATCACTTGAGGCCAGGAGTTCGAGACCAGCCTGGCCAACATGGTGAAACCCTGTCTCTGCTAAAAACACACACACACAAATTAGCCAGGCATGGTGGCACATGCCTGTAATCCCGGCTGCTCAGGAGGCTGAGGCAGCAGGATCGCTTGAACCCAGGAGGTTGAGGCTGCAGTGAGCCGAGATGACACTACTGCAGTCCAGCCTGGATGACAGAGTGAGACCCTGTTTCAAAAAAAAAAAACCCAAAAAAACAAGAAACAAACAAAAAAAAACCTGAAGCTGAGCCAGTTTATCCCAGATTGATAACTTAAATAAGGCTAGTATTAGATATTTTAATTTTAAAGTTCCCTAGTTTTTAGGCTAAGTAAAGATTCTGTTTGTATATCAGATTCAACTTACCCATTGAACTCTTTTGTGCTTATATTGTATACCTACCCTGGGGTACCTTGGACGTCTTTCTTGGTGACTTTATTAAGAGCAGTTTTGGTAATGTGGTAGGACAAAGAAAAGGTCCTAATAGAGTGGGTTAAGGTGAGAATTAGAAATGAGAAAGCAAGGCCGGGTGTAGTGGCTCATGCCTGTAATCCTAGCACTTTGGGATGCCGAGGTGGGCGGATCACTTGAGGTCAGGAGTTTGAGACCATCCTGGCTAACATGATGAAACCCCGTCTCTACTAAAAAATACAAACAAAATTAGCCAGGCATGGTGGCACATGCCTGTAATCGTAGCTACTTGAGAGACTGAGGTGGGAGGATTGCTTGAATCTGGGAGGCAGAGGTTGCAGTGAGCCGACAGAGGGAGACTCCATCTCAAGACTGGGTGACAGAGACTGGACGACAGAGTGAGACTCCATCTCAAACAAAAAATAAATGAGAAAGCAGAAACAGTGAATATAACATTTAGACAATTCTTTGGAGGAATTTGCAGTAATGGGGGCAGATAAATGGGTCAGTACCTACAGCTGGGACAAGAGCCCAAGAATGTTTTCTTTTCAAGATAGATGATATCAAGTCATGTTTGTATTTTAGATTTGCATATTATCATAGTAGAGAGGAAGAAATTGATGGTGCTGGAGAGAATGGAGGAAATGGAATGAGCTAAGTCAATGAAGAGGTAAAGGAAGATGAGGTCTGAACACCTGTGGAGGTATTGATCTTATACATTAATAGGGATGTTTCTCCCATTCTGATTACTTTGTACTCCCTCCTCTCTATTTTTGGACAATTTTTCTTTTTCTTTTTTTTGTTCTAGTCAAAGAGGAATATTTTTGGACAATTTTAATTGTTTGAAAGTTTTCTTTTTTAGTGAATCAAAATCTGCTTCCCTAGTTTCAGTATTCAAGTATTTAGAGACCATGATTACTTGTAAGTTTTTAGATTAAACTTGTCATATTCATCTCTCTGTTCTGTTTTTTTTTTCCTTCCCCAAGATTCTGGTCATACCATACTACTCAGAGTTCTTGGAATATCGTAAGCTTTTTGAAGCCTTTCTGATATTCCTCACCAATGATTATTCTGCCTGGAATATTCTTCCCTCTTATCTACCTGGCAAATTTATACTCATCCTTCAAGACCCAAATGAAACATAAGTGCTCGGTAAAATGTTTTCTCACTCAAATGTGAGTTGATTATTCCTTCATTTTTGCCACCATTTGATCATGTGAATCCCTCATTTCACTGGATTAAAGTTATTTATTTATATGTCTGTCTCTGGCACTATACTGAGCTCTTTGAGGTCAGGGATTATGGCTTTATGTATTCAGCACTTAATATGTTATCTGGAATGTATTAGACGCTCAGTAAATACTTAATGAAGGAAAAATTCCTAAAAAGCTGGAAAGTTTTTCTTTATATGTCATGATTCCTTAACCATTCTAGTCATCTTTAAATATGCCACTCAGAAAACCTGATACTTTATAGCCTGACCAGAGCCAAGTATAATATGACTTACTGTCTTCCCATCTGAGCACTAAATTCTTATTAATGATGCCAAAAGTTGTATTGGCAGGCAAAACAAAAATTGCTCTTTTTTATTTTTTGCATGAACTTCCATTATGCCAGTCTTTTTCCTCACATGTATGTACAACTAAATTTTTAAGCCCAAAGACAACTGATGTTCAATTTTGGTGTTTATGGACTTATTTTCCCTTCCTTCTGTTTTGCCATTTCTCTTGTAATTTTCTAGTGTTTAGTTCTATAAAACTATTATAATGCAACCTCAAAAGATTGGACTCTATTAAAGTTGATGATAATGAGACTTTGACTTTAATAAATTCACCTTTGCCTTAATTATAAAGAAAAACTTTACAAAATTCAGCTACCTTCAGAAAACGAATTCTTTAAAAGACCATAGTGCAAAATGATGCTGTCATGAATCTCATTGGTTCATTCAGCCAAAAAAAAAAAAAAAAAAAAAAATTTAAGCCATTGTTTGACACTGAGACACATACCTAGAGATCATCCCTAACTTCAAGTTAGGAAGTCAGAGGCAAAGTAAAGTAATTATAACACAAGTAGTAAATGTTACTGCAATTGAGATAAGTGCAGAATGCCATGAGGGCCTACAGGAAGCTAATGTAATTCTCTCTGGGTTAGTGGGAAAACTGCAAAGGAGAGAGCAGTGAACAGGGTTTTGAAGTATGAATAGCAAATCATAGTGAAAGGGGAAGAAAATCATTCTGGGAGGAGGAAGTGGCATATATAAAGTCCTAGTGGAGGCAGGATATGGCATATCTAGGAATAGGGAGATGTGTAAGGGCTGGGGAGAAAAGGATTATTGAAGGAATAGTAGAAGATTGGCTGAAGTGGCAGATTGGGTCCTGTTTACAAATCTTGGAGGCAGTGGGAAGCCAATAAAAGTTATTAAGTGGAAGGGTGGTAGGGTCAGTTCTCTTCATAAAGAAAGGGAAGCAATGTTAAAGATAGATGGAAAGACAGAGTCTAAGAGACAGGGAGGCCAGTTACTTATCATTGAATGCCCACAATCTATACCAAGTAGGTATTGGAGGATTAGGTGAGATAAACAACTGTGTTGAGGTAAGTGCTACTCCCATTTTATGAATGAAGAAACAGGCTTAGCAAAGATAAATACTGGTAGGCACATAGTCACTAGGTGACTGCAGGTCTGTCTGGTTCCAAATCCTGCATTCTTTTTAATTCTGGTATCATTCTACCTTGTGGACTAACAGGAATAATTCTTTGCCTCAAGCAGGGCAAAACTTAATTCCAAAGGATTTTGTATCATGGTGGTGGTAGATGTGGTAGTGAGGACAACCACATGGGCTTGGTCTGCCTAGGATAAAAGGCCATAAGGTCCAAAGCCTTCATCTTAGCAGCATTCCCATGTCTGTGTTTGATTCTGTGACCTCCTTTATCATGTGCCTCTTGCTGCTTTGACTGTGCTGATCCAGTGCGGATTACCTAACAACAAAGCCTTGTTGTTGGGGCCATTTCTGGATTCAACAAGAAACCTTATTCACTTTGACTCTACTCTTATACCTGCTTTTGCAAATCCTGTTGGTCTCGGTTGTCTTAAATTTTTTTTTTTTTGAGACAGGGTCTTGCTCTTTTGCCCAGGTTGGAGTGCAGTGGCACAATCAAGGCTCACTGCAGCCTTGACCTTCCGCCTTAGCCTCCTGAGTAGCTGGGACTACAAATATGCACCACCATGCTTGGCCAATTTTTAATTTTTTGTGCAGATGGAGTCTCATTATGTTGTCTGGGCTGGTCTCAAACGGCTAGTCTAAGAGATCCTCCTGCCTTGGCCTCCCAAAGTGATGGGATTACAGGCAGGAGCTACCACGTCCAGCCTCAACTGTCTTAATTTGTCTTTCTCACTAATCCAGAGATTAGCAAACTACGGTCAGCAGGCCAGATGCAGCTTCATCTCATCTTGTGAAAGCATTGCCTCTCCTTCCCAGCCCTGTTCTCTTTCTCCTGTGGATTCTTAACTGCAGTGTGTGTTTGTAAGATTCATTTGGCAGTTGTTTATTCTGTGACATTGCATCTGTCATCGTCTCCCTAGTTATTTAAAACTATTTTTAAAGCTTTTTATGATTTAGTCTTAGCTAATAAACTGCATTATAAATGTTTTGGGGAAAGAGTTTTGTGCCTTTCTTTTTATATTTTCTCGTTCTGCAGTACCTCCCTTCTTCCTCATTGCTCATTCCCTCTTTAACCTACTAATCTCTGGTGACTGTTTCTATCATTCTTACACATTTACATATGATAACTTGATATGTTATCACGAATTTTTTTTCCATTTGTGAGTTCTACGATTATGTCACTGTTTCTTTTTCCAGTATGTTATTGCTGTTTCTGTGTTTAATGGTTTTTCTTGTTTGAGATTATAAGGTATACTTAATCTGGTGATGTTGTGCCAAACCCCATCAGCTCCAGTGGGGATGGCACCAGGTTCAAGAGGCCAAAGAAGAGACTTAGCCAGTAAACGAGACATGGAGTTTTCCTGGGGGCTTTACATACAGGGAGAGACTCCAGTGGTGGCGGGCTGGGCGGGAGAACTGCCGCCACTTTCAAAAGGCCTGCAATTTCTATAGTATTTTTACGTAGCAGCCTTTATCTAACAACCGCCACCTGGCACCCTTCATTCAACTCAAAAGTCAGGACCTCTATGTCCCATATGGCCCATGTTCCACTGGACAGGGGCTCAGGTGTTCCTCATAGACAAGGAATGAATTTCTGAGTTGGCCACTCCCAGATTCCCTAGCTTGGAACACACATTCAGATGTGTCCACCATATCGGTTATTCTCAGGGTATGCTGAAGTTATTGCTATCAGGTGCATTTACCATACAGGTGACTTGCATCTTTCACTAACTTAAGCAGTTTCCCATCTTATGAAAGCAATACTGCGTATTATTAAAAGTATACAATTTTAGTGACTGAATAATAGTACAAGTGTATGGTCTGTCCATAATCAGCCTAACCATTTTCTCAGTATTGGACAGTTAAATTATTCTTGATTTTTATTTTGCAGTTGTTAACAATGTTGCAATGAAAATATTTTTATGTAAAAGTTTTGCGATATTTCAGATAACTGTCTTAGATAGATTCCTAGAAATTAAATTACTAGATCAGATGTTACATAGCATTTCATAAGTTCTTGTGTGGGCTGTGGCATTTCTGTTTGATTAGTACTTTGCCAAAGAATAGTTTAAAAACACAGTAGTAGTAGTACTACTACTACCATAGTAGTAATCGGTGGTGTAAATTATGGAACCTAAGTGAGCAGCCTTAAAATTTGATACTAAATTTTATTAGCTCAGTTCAACTTTCTTTCTGTGTATTTCCTCTTGTTCCCAGGTAAACACTCTATATTGCCTGTTGTAAACTGTTACTTGTCTTAGGCAAGGGGGTAGGTGAAAATTGCATTTGTTTAAGACAGTCGGTACTTGGCTATCATCTATATTCTTGGAGAATCAGAAGGAGTAAACCAAAAAATAGTAGATAAAATGGGAAACACTTTAGTTTGGTTTTATTTTTATTTTATTTTATTTTTTGGGGGGGTTCAATTCTAGCTGATTTGATTTTCTTCTCAAAAAAAAGTTATTTACAATAGTTTGGTTTTAGAATACATTTGTGGTTCACTCCTGTATTTCTACCTTACTACTTTTAAATGGTGCATTTATTTTAAACATTAAAGTTTCTCCTTTCACTTACTTCATTTGACAGTGGTTGTTCAAGGTTTAGTGGATGGTATCAGCAGGTAAATTTGATTGGCTGCTTTTTTTTGGAGATGGGGTTTCCCTACTTTGCCTGGGGTTGGCCTCAAACTTGCAGTCCTCCCACTCTAGCCTTCTGAGTAGCTGGGACTACAGGCATGTGCTATTGTGCCCGGCTAAGCAGGTAAATATGAGATTAATATGGATAATTGCCTTGTTTCTTGTGTATCTTTGCACTTAACATATGTTTCATTGTAAAAGATGTGCTTTGTTTCATTGCCTGCCTTTCGCTGTTGTGCACCTCCACCTCTTGCAGTACTTAGGTATTTAGTTTTATAACTCTTTTGACATTCTATAGTTGTTTCACCCAAGTATGTTTTTCCTTTCTTTGTAAGATTGTAAACTTATTTAGGACTTGAATCACCCATGTTCTGCTTTTTATTATGTCCCTTTCTTGACTCTCAAAGAATGCTCTCTACTTTTGTTTTCTTCCTCGCTGTTCATTCCCTCTTTACTCTCTTAATCTATGGTGACTACATCTTCAAATCTCATCTATCCAGCATTACTGCCCACACACCCTATTCCAGTCTATCTGACACAACATAGTCACTTCTGCCTTTGCTTGTGAAGTTTCCTTTGCCAGAAATGGCTTTTTCCTCACTAGTACTTGTTCTTAATGCCTAACATAATTCACCTCCTCCAGGAAGCCTTGCCTTTAAGAATTCAGCCTCATTGATCCTTTTTCCTTTCCTCAGATTTACTTATGTATGCACGCTTGCCTTATGATGTGCATCATTTCATACTTTAAAAAATGGTTTTAATTTTTGGCTTGTAGTTTCATCATGAAAATCTTATCTTCTCCACTGCTTATGAAATATGTAGATTTTGCTTCTGGCTATGATGAAGCAGATTGTAGCAGACAAAAACTCCTGTTGAGAATAACTAGAAAAGCTTGATTTAAAAAAATCTATATGAAGGCATTGTAAGTTGCCAAGGCAGCCAGGATTTCAGACATTTGTGGATTCTTGGCAAAATGAGAGTGCAGCTATTAAGAGGCAAAAACGTCAGTGGTGCTTTCTTCATGAGACTGAGGATACAAAAATTGTAGTTCAGAGCTGCCAAGGCAACCAGAACCTGAGGGTCCAAGATCCCAAAGAGAAGAGATGTATAGCCTCTTGCCCTCTCCACCTACTTCCCCGCTACCTAGCTCCCAGGGTGTTTGCTGATTGTTAACTGTGCGGGGTAAAAGGCTAAGAACCCTCACAGAAAGCTACTGAAAAGCAAGGCAGACTCTAACAGTTCTCCAGTGTTGAGGAGAAAAAGTTCATGATCTTTCAAGGAAGATAGGCTCGGGAAACACTGATCTCAGTTGGATCCTTGGAGGGCTACAAACTAGGGGAGAATGAGCTGTAGAAGCTTTATACTGCAGCCGTCTTTGAGTCAGCTCATGTCATGTTTGGATTGTGAAGTGATCTGCCCCCTCATTCTAACTGCCTATCAGAGAAGATGGTGGATCCTCTGTAGGAATATAACATCACCCAGGGCCTTTATAGTTTTTCATACACAATGAATGACATTCTAACAAAAACTACAGATAAACCCAGAGACCAGAAGAGGAATAAAACCAGACAGTACAGAAATAGATCCATGTGTGTCCCCATCATCTAATTAGTTAATCAATCTTTATTTGAAGGACATTTAGGTTGTTCCCAGTCTTTAGTATGGCGAGTAATCAGCAGTGAACATTCTTGTATGTATATATTTGTACACATATATATCTTTAAGATAAAGCATAGCTTTGCTAACTCTGGTCTTATGAAACTTTTTGTTCTTTACCAACTTGATACAAAAGTGTTTTGTTCTTAGTTTTTATTTTTCTATACTATGAACTGCCTATGCATGTCCTTTATCCATTGTTGTATGGGGTTGTTAGGCTCATACATATATATAAGGCATAGTGGGTAAGTGCACAGGCAGACCCTGGATCTAGATTGCTTGTGTTAAATCATAGCTCTTTCACTTACAGCAGTGGTAGCCTTAGCAAATGAAACTCTGTGTACCTCAGTTTCCTCATCTGTAAAATGTGGATAACCATAGCACCTTCCCATAGAGTCATTATGAAGTTGAGTTAGTTAATATTCAGGGCATAGAAGTGGGCCTGGCATGCTACATAACTGCCAACCACTGTAATGATGCTACTGGTGGTGGTAGAGATGGAAATTAGCCTTTTATTATATGTGTGGCAAGTACTTTTTCCAAGTTCATCTTTTGGCTTTGTTTTATTATCTTACGCTTTGTACAAATTTAAACTGAGTTTTAAGGATGAGTTGTTTTTAGCTTCCTATGAAGCGGCTGGTGGAGAGTTAAGTGTGGAAAGTGAGGGCATTTCAGGCAGAGGCATAGAGGCAGAAATAGCATGGTTTAGGGCAAGAATCATAGTTGTTGATGGAATGTAAAATAGGCAGGGCATGAAGTGGTATGAAGATGAAGAGGTAGGCAGATCCACGTCATATAGATCGGGGTCCCCAACCCCTGGGCTGCGGACTGGTACCAGTCCATGGCCTATTAGGAACACGGCCACACAGCAAATGAGTGGCAGCATTAGATTCTCATAGGAGCATGAACCCTATTGTGAACTGTGCATGCAAGGGATCTAGGTAGGCTGTGCTGTCCTATGACAAGCTAATACCTGATGATCTGAGGTGGAACAGTTTCATCTCAACCATCTGCTCCCCCCGCAACCCCTACACCAGTCAGTGGAAAAACTGTCTTCCAGAAAACTGGTCCCTTGTGCCAGAAAGGCTGGGGACCACTGATATGGATGGCCCCTTATGGCATGTTGAAATATAAGTGGTATAGCATCAACTCTTCTGATTACAGAAAATTGTCTCTGTGTATTTAAAGAAAACACATTAGTCCTCAGTTAACCATTTTATAACATATTAGTATAACTATATTATATATAACTATATATTTGTGTAGTGCTAAATAATTTGGCAAACAGCAGTTTACAAGCTTTTGAATTCATCATTAATTTAATCTTGTCTATAGTTCTGATATATGGTTGTATTATTACCAAGTTACACATGAGGAAATTCATGTGCAAAGAGGTTTTTTTTTTTTTTTTTTAATTTGTTCAAAGACAAATAGCTAGTAAGTGGGACTATTCAAATGAGTGTCTTGGTCTTGGGACTCAGTAAGTCCAAAATTCTTTTTCATTCTGCTGCACTCATAGAAAATGAATGTACAGGGGTAAAAACTCACGCATACTCAGGTACCAAGGGATGCTTTCCTTTGGATTTGAGTTTTTGGGATAGCATCTTCCCATCACAGTTGAGTGAGGTTCTTTTTTAAATTTTGCATTGAGTGTGGATGCTTTGGCAATGACACTTCATTCCTGATGGTTTAATGCAATTAGCAACATGCCTATCTTGTAGTTTGTTTTGTTTTTTTTTTTGCCTTTATTAATAAGCAATCACTCTGGCTGAGAGAAAATCCTTTTTCAGGAAGGATCTTCAGGGAACTATAGCTGTTCCTGTAATTCACATAAGATTCATTTTAGGTCACTGGCCACAGGTGCATGTCATTCTTAAGGCATCATATCCTTAGAGCGTTGCTCTTCCTGTTAAGTATAGTAATAGTCAAAGGATAGGCATTAAGAAAGTACTTCAACCATTAGATTCATTTATGAATGCTAAGATATTCAGTATCTCAGTGACACCTGAAGTAGTTTCCAGCATTTCTGTTCTGTGAGGTGAAGGAAGGGTGAGTTATTGCTTCAGTGCTACTAAACACTTAAAAATCCCTGTAAAAGCTGGTAGAAGGATTGGTAGCTTTGTGACTAACTCCTCTGGACTGAGGAAGATGATGTTGCCTTTCCTGGTTCTGACTTGACATCTTGTTGCTCTGCTTTGTGGTGGGGTAGTATTGCTTTCATTTCACCCACAATTTCCTCTTTTCGGGTGGAGGAAGCTGACATGTGACCCCAGGAAGGAAAGGGAAGTAAAGAGAAAATTAAGAAAAGTAAAGTCTCACATCAGCAGTAACAATTGTTTTATTGTATGTGATTGTTCTTTATTAAAAATCTGGGAAACTGAAAGGTTCATAATAACTGTCTTGGCATAATTGATACTGTTGAATGCATACATGTTCTCCATTCATCTTTAAGAGATGTTATGAGACTTTGATTTAAAAGGGGGAGATCTTCATTTTTCTGGCCTTTTCCTGGTTCCTTTCTCATAATAGTCCAGGTAGATTGAAACACCACATTTCACAAGGCTTCAAATAAATTATTTTGATGTTATACATACTCTTAATATTAAGTTTGAAATCCTAATAGCATTTTACCTATAATATTATACTTTAATGGAGATTTAAAAAATTTAGAGAAACATATTGAGTAGGAAATAAAAGTGAAATCAAAGTATTGTTACTGAATCACTAACTTTAGAAGTTATCTGATGTGTTGCCTTCATTTCTGAGATTGAAACTATGATCTAAAGAGATTTTCAGTTCATGACATGTGTTGTATGTGTGTGTTGGGAGGTCTCCAAGACCACCCACAGGTTCACTGATTTGCTAGGGGGACTTAAAGGACTCAATACGTAGTTGTATTCTGTGCTGTGATTTATTACAGTGAAAAGACACCGAGCAAAATCAGTAGAGGGAGAAGGTGTGTGGGACAAAGTCTGGGGAAAACCCATCACAAGCTTCTGAAGTCCTCTCTCAGTGGAGGCACACAAGGTGTGCTTAATACCCTAGCGAGGAGTTGTGACAACGTATGAAATGTTCTCAACCAGGGAAACTCGTTAGAGACTTAGTGATTGGGGTTTATATTAGCTGATCACATAGGCACCCTCTACCTAGCATGTGCTAGAATTTCAGATTCCCCGCAGGAAAGCAGATGTTTGGCATAATTATATTGTTTCTGTAGTTTAGGTACAGTGAACAACTCATCAGTTAAGGAGGGTGGGAACCCTCCTAACATCCAAGTTTCTAGGCACCAGCCAAGGGCAAGCCTTGGAAGCAGGCCTTTTTAAGGATAGACATCTTCTCCCACTGATGTGTTAGAAAGAAAGAAAAGGATAGACAGGCCTGCTGTGTCAACTCTTTGCTGTGTATGTGTACGTGTACATGTGTGCACTTGTGCATATGCATGCATGCAACATTTAGCATAGAGTGTGCTTTTCATTAAACGTTAGCTGTTTTTACTTATTTATTATGGGGATTCTTCATTGGTTACTACTACTGTTACTTTTAATTGTGCTCTTCCGCATTCCTATGAGGTAGCTTGGCCGGTATTTTGATCCCCATTTGATAGACAGGAAGACTAAGGCAAAGAGAAGCTTCAACATGTATTTTTATATATATATATATGATATATATATATGATATATATATGATATATATATATGATATATATATGTTATATATATTATATATATGTTATATATGTTAGATATATATGTTATATATATTAGATATATATATGTTATATATATTAGAGATATATATATATGTTATATATATTATATATAAAATTTCCCAAGGCTCCATCATTCAAGTTTTGACATTTCTAAATACTCTCGCTTAATTGACAGAGCAGGTATCTGAACCTAATGTTACGTTCTTTTTGCAAGCCCACAAAAAAAAAGTGAGGATTTTTTTTTTCCTTCTTAGCATTTTTAGAGGGTACAGCTAAGATAGAACGTAGGATTAAATGTTTAAGTTAATATCACTTTGGACCAATTCACAACCTTTTATGCTTAACTGTTTTAGTATTCAAGAAGTACTTTACTTTCTATGTAATTTTTGAGCTTTTGGGCACGGTGTCATTTAATATAGCACAGTCCTGTTGGGGCAAAAAATGATCCTTAAAGCATTAAACATTGTTCATCTTAATCCAACTAAACTGATTAATATCAGTACTAATTTTGGTGACTGTAAATTAGTACCCTACCTCTACCCCTGCACATCACCTTTTGCAGTCAAACAAGCCAGAGGCATAGTAAGATTTCAGTCATTATGCTGAGTTCCTCCTTGGTCTTATATGAACTTTGAGATTTCTTAATATCCCAAAGTGAATTTAACTTTTCATGTAATATATGTATCAAAGTAGTTGGAACATTATCTTTGTTTTCTTTTCTTTTTTTTTTTTTTTTTTGAGACAGAGTCTTGTTCTGTCCCCAGGCTGGAGTGCAGTGGCACGATCTCAGCTCACTGCAAGCTCTGCCTCCCAGGTTCACACCATTCTCCTGTCTCAGCCTCCCAAGTAGCTGGGACTACAGGCACCTGTCACCACACCTGGCTAATTTTTGTATTTTTAGGAGAGACGGGGTTTCACCATGTTAGCCAGGATGGTCTTGATCTCCTGACCTTGTGATCTGCCTGTCTTGGCCTCCCAAAGTGCTGGGATTACAGGCGTGAGCCACTGTGCCTGGCCTGTTTCTTTTTTTTTTTTTTTTTTAAGAGTTGAAGTCTTGCTCTGTTGCCTAGGCACAATCATGGCTCAGTACAGCCTCAAACTCCTGGGCTCGAGCAGTCCTTCTGCCACAGCCTCCTGAGTAGCTGGGACTATAGGTGTGCACCATCATGCCCTGCTAATTGTTGGGGGGTTTTTTTGTTTAATTTTTGTTTGTTTGTTTTTTGCAGAGATGAGGTCTGTCTGTGTTGCTCAGGCTGGTCTCGAACATTTGACCTCAAGAGATCCTCTCACCTTAGCCTCCCAAATTGCTGGAATTATAGGCATGAGCCACCACTCCTGGAGATTATCTTTGTTTCTTATAGATTGTACCTGCAAGTAAATTGAACCAAACCACAATTTAAAGAATGCTGTCCCACCAGTACCAGAGACAATTTTATACTCAGTAAATTCTGCTGCATGCCACTCTACTGGCTAAAATAGTTTGCAAAGTGTTTTTACTCATATTGCACTCATCTGATCCTTATAATAACCTGTGATGATGGGTATTCTGATTTTACAGAAGAGGAAGTTGAGACTGACTTATCCAAGGCTCTCAACCTTCTAAGTTGGGGATCAGGCTTACTGTGTAAAAAATGAAAATGTTAAGCTCTTGAAACATTTTGTACTAAATATCAGTGAAGTATTTTGGAGAAAGCAAATTCTCCAACAGTAAGTGAAAATTACCATTTCTACCAGGCTATTGCTAAAATATTTTTGGTTTCTTGTGTTGGATAGTATACTTATTTATAAGCCTGAATAAGATTATGCTCCTTATGTTGCTTCTCAAATAAAAATAAAGATTTAGAATTTTTAAAAAGCAGATCTGAGAAGAATCTTATGCATTCTACCAGAAGAAAATATGATGGAATTTGTTATTGTATCTTGGCCTAAAGGAAAGTCTTTCCAAACATAATAAAAAACGCAGAAGCCATAAAAGAAAAGTTTGATTAATATAACTACATAAAAATAACCACTATAAACAAAGTCAACACAATTGATACACCGGGAAGAGTATTGCTAGTCATGTAACATAAAGCTAATTTTTCTTAACAAATCAAGAAGAAAAAGTTAATACAAGTAGGAGTAAGGAAATGCATATGCATTTCATATCAAAGGAAATGCAAATTACTCTTAACCATATAAAAACACTCAATTTCACTCATAAAATATAAGCATATAAAATGCAAAATTTCATCTGTTAGATTAGCAAAGCGAAAAGGTTTCAGCACTCATGGTGTTGGAAAAGATGTGAGTAGATCGGCTTCTTGGGAGGCTTAAGGCAGAGGGATCTCTTGAGGCTGGGAGTTTGAGGCCATAGGTCACTATGATTATGCCTGTGAATAGCCACTGCACTCCCTCCTGGGCAACACTGTGAGACCTCATCTCTAAAAAAAGTGAAAAAGAGGTGTGAGGAAATGGCACTCCCATGCATTGCTGGCGGGACTATAAATTGATATAGGCTTCATGACAGAGGGGCAATTTGGTGTTCCTCTCAAAAAGCATGTATCCTTTGACCCAGGGGTTCTGATTCTAGCAATTTATCCTATGGGTACATCTGCAGACATGTAAAATGATATATATGCAAGATATTCATTACAGCATTCTTTCAATAGTCTCTGGAGATTTAAACTCACCTTGTTGCCTGTATTTAGAACTTTTTATTCTTAATATAATTTTATCTTCTCTCTTTTTTTTCTTAATCAGTTTTACTAGAGACTGATTTATTGGTTATTTCAAGGTACCATGTAAAAAATTGAATCAGCTAGGGTTGTTAGTTGCAATCGACAGAAATCTACTCTGGCAAATTTAATCAGAAAAGGAATTTATTGAAAAAGAATATTAGCCCAAAATTACCACCTTGGTAGGTAGAAAACTAGGCTTGGAAAATGGCATCCAGGATCAAAGAGCAAAGTCTGTGTAATACAAATTCTTTGAAATTTTTTGAAGCATCTTTATGACCTAATGTATCATCAATATTTTAAATTGTTTGCCTTAAGAGATATGTATTCTATTCATTGGGGGTTTATATATACATAAACATAAACACACACACACACACACACACGACCACATTAATTTTATTGTTCAATTTTTCTGTATTTTTGCCACCTTTTGGTCTGCCCGATCCATTTTGTTTTGATTTTTGTTTTTGAAACAGAGTCTCACTCTCTCACCCAGGCTGGAGTACAGTGGCATGATCTCGACTCACTGCAACTTCTGCCTCCTGGGTTCAAGTGATTGTCCTGCCTCAGCCTCTCGGGTAGCTGGGATTACAGGTGCCCACCACCACACCCAGCTAATTTTTTTGTATTTTTAGTAGAGATGGGGTTTCACCACGTTGACCAGGCTGGTTTTGAACTCCTGGCCTCAAGTGATCTGCCTGCCTTGGCCTCACGAAGTGCTTGGATTACAGGTGTGTGCCTGGCCTGATCTATCTGTTTTTAATTGCAGTGTGTTAAAAAATTTCTTACATTAATTTTTGATTAATTTCTCCATATAGCCTTATTAATTTTTGCTGTGTTGTAGGTTCATACAGGTTTTATTGTTACATCTTCTTGATGGGTTGCTCTTGTTTTAAAAAAAGATAGTAAGGAAGACTTTATTCAAGGAGGGCCACTATAATGGGGTTTGTAAAAGGGGAGAGAGTGGGCTCAACTCTAGATGGGTTGCCTTTTTAATCATTATGTATTTCCTTCTTGATTCCTGTTAAAGCTTTTCTCCCTGCTTCGCCATGCACTAGCTCTGTAACCTTGGGCTAAGTCATTTAATCCTTCAGTTTTCTTATTGTAAAATGGGCATAATACCTACCTTATCAAGTGGGTGAAGGTGATGGAATGTTTGCCTTCCAAACCTAGGGTCTAACAATTCCGTAGTGGTTGGAAAAGGTTTATGTTACTGTTTTCTATATTTGCCTTAGGTCCAGTGTTTCTATCTAAATATCTTCTACCTTACTCAGTATATTAATTAAGAGTCTTTCTAAAATAGTTGATTCCTCTGTGAGGGAAATGCAGGGAAAAAAATAAGATAGTTGAGACAACTGAAAAAGGACAAAAGGCAACTTTTTGGGGAGACTATTTTCTATAACAAGCATTTATCAACCTCAGTGGGATGTAGATTTATTAGTAAGTCTTAAAAATTAATATATATTTAGACCACCAAATATACATTGAGGGTATAAAGAAGTGTCAGAAGGAGACAGAAGTGTATACTTTCCTCTACCTTTTTGATAGTATTTAAGACTTAGCGTTTATTCTGTTCTTAGCTTTGATTTTTATCATCTATTTATATAACCCACATGTATTGTGCCTCCTGTGGGTCTTCCTAGAAAGTCATCTTAAAAAGTATTTTCTTTTCCCTTTCTTTCAGACTTTATATTCAGAGCACCAATCAAATTAAGCAAGCCTGGGGAACTTCGTGAGGAATATGAAAGCTTGAGAAAGGTATAGTATTATCATGTCATTCATTTTCTTAAAGTAGATTGAAATAATGACATTAAAGAATGCTTAGTGGGAGTTTTGACCAGGTTTTAAAAAATTTATAATGCAGAGCCTTTCTTCACACTGCCTTATACCAGCCTAGTTAGATTTGGAGCTATAATGGCAGCAGAGCAAACCTTAACCCAAGATTCCCTTTTTAGTTGTCTTTTCAAAGATGAAGACGTAGTTCACAGAGCCTGTCACATGCCAGCTGCAGTAACTGGCCACCAGAGAAGTATTCTTGGTACTTTTAACAGGTGCCCTTGCTAATAATTGCTTGTATTATTTTTCTTTATCTCACAAGTTTCTTCTAATTACATGTAGCTGGTGTTATCCATTATTGCTCACTCCATTAAATACTCCAAAAGAACTGTCTTGTAGGTCAGTAAGGAGATAGTGAAATAATTTCCTAGTTAGAAAACAATTACCATTGGGAAAGCTTTTATCTGTGTCCATATCATCTTATTTATGATGTTTTCAAACTAATTGTCTGGGAATCACCTAGAGAATTAAGACTTAAAAAAGGCTGGTAATAAGAAGTATGTTGCTAGATAGTGTCATTCTTTCCCAGCCCTCTCCCTGCACCATCATTCCTCACTCAGCTTTATAATTGATTAATCATTCTACATATGGGCATCTAATATTTTATAAATGTAAGTGATCCACTTAATCTGGATCAAGCATCATCATAAGATAGAGGTGAAACAATAATGCTATTGTCACAGGATCCTTGGGGTGTCGCTTTGCCAGCTGGAAACCTCTGTGGCTGGTGGTGCCTTTGCCCAAGTTTTGCTTGGGCCTGCTGGGCTCATTCTGCCCACTTATCCTGGCAGGCTGTGCTCAGCTCGCACTACCAGCCTGGATCTCACACCTGCTAAAGGCGAGCCAGGTGCAGAGGGGAGGGGTGTGTGAGCAAGGGAGCATGGGGTCCAGCTGCTGTGCCTTGCTGTGGCTGGGTGGGGAGCTCCAGGTGCTGGCATGGGCACTGGCTCCTGTGAGGCTGTGGCTGGACCAGGACTACTGCAAGTGGCTTCCACTGCTGGCACTGGGGAACGTGGTAGTGACTGGAAGCTTGGAGATGCCAGGAACTGCATAGCCCCAAAGAGGGTGTCACAGCCCTGGCTTGGGAGCACCTCAGTCTGGGCTCCCTGAAGGGCTGCAGCTCTTCTCTCTTTTCTTGTTGCCCACAACATGGTGAGTGAGGGACGTGTTTCAGCCGTTTGTGTTATAGCTGTTTCTGTCCTGCCATTCGGCGGGTCCCAAGTTCTTGTCCTGTGTCCAGAAAGAAAGAGGTACGTGGACAACTGGAGGGTGAGTACAGCGAAGAGAAGCTTTATTGAGTGACAGTACAGCTCTCAAGAGACTGAAGTGGGTAGCTGCTTTCCACAGGCAGGTCGTCCGGACATCTACTCAGCTCTCAGCTGAGAGGAGATCCACAGTGGGTAGCTCCCCTACACAGGCAGGTCATCCCCATGTCTGCCGGAGTCTGGCTGAGTCCAGGGCTTTTATGGGCTTCAGAGGGGAGGAAGTGCATACTGATTGGTCCATGGGCAGGCCTGGAAAAAGCACTGTAAGTTCTCACTCCAGTCTGCAGAACTGGCAGCCCAGCCCCTGGCTTCAGGTCATCCCCAGCTTGAAGGTGGATCTGCCCCTTTCTGCCCAGGAGCCTGTCTACTTCCTGTCACCATCAACCTGCCCTGTACAGTACCCACAGTGCCCGGGCTGTGCCATGGGGCACCTGCAGGCCTGTGCCAAGCTGCTCTCAGCACCCCCACAGCCTTCCTCCTGTCCTCTGGGGTGCCCAAAGTCTGGAGGGGGCCGAGGTGGCAGGGCGCTGCCATGTCAGCATCACCATGAGTCTGCTCTCACCCAGCTGGGTAGTGACAGTGCCTCCCTTGGTCACAACTTTCCTTTGAAATCGGCATGGGTGCTGGGAGTGGGAAGAGGCCAGGCAGTGGGAGCAGGCACTTCCGAGCCTGTGAGAGTGGGGGATGGAGGTAGGGGCGCATCCTGGGCCCCCAAGAGCACAGGGATGCCTGTAGCCATGGCTGGGTGGCTACAGCTACACCCAGCATGGGAGGGATCCCACCTCTTCAACTTGTAAGAGGGCATGGCTCCTACCTGTTCCTGGCTCCAGCTGACACCTGCCGGCTCCGTGGAGCGTACAGCCCCAGCTGTGCCTTTCCCACTGCAGCTGGCATCTTCACAGTGCCCACTCCAGGCAGGCTGCTGCTGCCATCACTGTTGTGGTATATTTCACTGAATGAAAAATCAGTGTTTAACAAGGTCACATTAAAGAGAAAAGATCATAGGAAACTGTGGCTAGTTACTATATATTCTCTGATCTTTGCTTGTAAATGAGGGTGTCAGATGTTGACCTGAATCTTCGTGCTTCATTTATATTGGCATTGTGAGGTTTTTGTCTCTTTTAAAACTACTTACAAAGTTTTTTTTTCTGTTGAAAAATTATTTTCAGGGACCACATAAAAAGAACAGGTTCTTAAATAAAATTTCAGAATGTACACATACAATATTTACTTCTAATAGATCTTTTTAGACATTTTGAAAATGTGGAAATTTTGAAGCTATCAGCTGGAAGGTAATCTTAGAGAAAACAAGGAGTAGGAGGTAGAAAAAGGAGGTGAAGCAAAAGACATAGTAAGAGTAGGGTTTCTTTTTTTTTTGAAACGGAGTCTTGCTCTGTTGCCCAGGCTGGAGTGCAGCGGTGCAGTCTTGGCTCACCACAACCTCTGCCTCCTAGGTTCAAGTGATTCTCCTGCCTCAGCCTCCCAAGTAGCTGGGACTACAGGCGTGTGCCACCATGCCCAGCTAAATTTTGTATTTGTGAGTAGAGAGGGGGTTTCATTATGTTGGCCAGGCTGGTCTCGAACTCCTGACTTCGTGATTCACCTGCCTCTGCCTCCCAAAGTGCTGGGATTACAGGTGTGAGCCACCATGCCTGGCAAGAGTAGGGGTTTTTATAAACCTTGGGAGAGAGAAGGAAACCTTGAGGAACTGTCATTTGTGTTCCTGTTAGAGGAGAGGTATGGGACAGTGGTTTTAAAAGGGGCTGATGCCATAATGTTTTTGAGTGAAGCTAGGATAATCTCATTGTGTATAAACTGGATTGGATTTGAGAAACACTCATCTATATCATTTGGCTTAAATAAAAGTTAGCTACCGGTCCATCTCACCCACCCCAAGTACCCAAGTTATCCTACATCCATTGTACAACCTGGAAAATGGAAGTCTAAGCCATAACATTAAAAGGCACTAGTATGGCATATCCATACAATGGCATACTATTCAGCAATAAAAAGGAGTGAACCACTGATACATGCTACCACATGGGTGAACCTCAAAAAGATGGTAAGTGAAAGAAGCCAGATCTAAGAGATTATATGTTGTGATTCCATTTATAGAAAATGGCCAGAATAGACAAATAGTAGTGACAGATAGTAGATTAGTGGTCGATTGGGATAGGGTATGGGAACAGGGATTAGCAGTAAATGGGAATGAAGGATTTTATTGAAGTGATATAGTGATTTCTAAAACAGATCTCAGTAGATCTTCAAAAGTTTCTACTGAGCAAAGGAAGATAAGTGGAAATTAATTCTACACAACTCATTATTACTAATTTGATGTGTGATATGCTACTAATATACTTTTCACTTAGTATACTCTATTACTTTAAGTGACAGTAAAAACCTCTATAAAGGCTGTAAAAAGTTAACAAGAATTTTTATTCCTCTAATTCTAGTTCTTTTAAAAGGTATTACTTTATTTAAAAATCCTAGATTCTATTACCTGTGGGAGATTTGGGAACACACCAGGCTGGGGTAAGGGACTACTGTAGAACAGTACTGAACCAAGACTGAGGGGCCTACTAAGGACAGGGAGCTGTGTTCTTAACATCCTTTCTAGCCAGAGGCTTTTGAGTTGGTATGCTTACTGAGGTCACTATGAGTTTCTAAATTTTATCATTCTGTGAATAAGCTTATATTTCTAAATATATTTAGATTTTTTTCTTTCTGCATGTGTTGTAGTTAGTTGTCTTTTTTTAACATAAGAAAAATAACGCAAAAATGATTAGAGCAAAATATGAAAGTCCCTTTTTACCTTTCTTCCCACTGTCCTTCCCAGAAGTACCTAGAATCAATAGTTTAGTGTTTATCTTAGACCCCTTATATGCTTACTTATGCATGCAGACACATACATAAACACTTTAGTCTTCTGTATAAATGAGATCATGATATATATATATTCATTGGTTAATGAAATATTTATTGTGCCCCTAGTATGTGCTAGGCACTGGGGATATCACAGACTCCTCTAGCTACTAGGGAGGCTGGAAAGCATAGTGTTTTAGCTAGGAACATTAACTTTCTAAGTAAAATCAGGGTTCTCTTAGTAAGGAAGGAGAAAATGGATATTGGATTGGCAACTAGCTGCCTCTGTCTCCTGGGACAACAATGGCAATAAGACTAGTTAGGACACTTTGAGAGTAAGCAATATGTTGGGTTTAATTGGGCTTGGGATTTTGTCAGAAGTGTGATGGAGAGATGCAGTAGATGCACTTGGAGGTGTATACAAGGAAGTTGTTACAGTTTTGGATGATGGATCTAGGTTAAGGGGAAAATTGAGGACATGAAGGATGTGATAGTGAAAGAGTTAGTTGTAGGGTCAATGGATCGGAAACTTTGATGGTGAAAATTGTAAAAGTAGGATTGCTAGCATATATAAATAAAGCTGGAAAGCTAGGAAGTGGTGGTCTCAATATAAAAGGCTTAAATGTGAGCCTTGGGAGATAGTTTAGTTATGGATATCACAAAGTTTAGGGTATGACCATGGAGTAGATAGCTGAAATAGGATGGAGAAAAAGATGTATTTAAGGAGGAGGTGAAGGAACTGAGAGAGTATGCCAATATTGAGACCTTCAGGAATGATCACTGGAGTAGTTGGAGAGAAATTAAAATTTAAGTGCCAAGTTTTTCTGTGAATGAAGGAGAGTGACAGAGAGGGGTCATGAGTGTTATAGTCTAAGGCTAAATACTTCAGAGAAGCTAGGTTGTTTGTTTGAAGAGAGATATTCTCTCTCTCTTACCCAGCCTGGAGTGCAGTGTTGGAATCGTAGCTCATTGCACTCTTGGATCCTGGGCTCTTAAGTGATCCACTTGCCTCAGCTTCCTGAGTAGCTGAAAGTATAGGAGCACACCACCATGACTGGATACTTGAAAAGTTTTTATTTCTGTAGAGATGAGGGTCTTGCTGTGTTGTCCAGGCTGGTCTTGAACTGCTGGGCTCAAACAATCCTCCTGCCTCTTCCTCCCAAAGTGTCAGGATAACAGGTGTGAGCCACCACGCTTGGCCGGAAGGAAGGATTTTTGAGAAATAATACAATCTATTTGGTGACTTCCTTTTTCCACTGAACAGCATATTTTTTTGGGTGGGGGGGTGGTGTGTATGTTTTTAATGTAGATACTCTTTTTTTTTTTTTTTTTTGAGACAGGGTCTCACTCTATCACCCAGGCCGGAGTGCAGTAGTGTGATCTCAGCTCACTGTAGCCTTTGTCTCCTGGGCTCAAGTGATCCTCCCACCTTAGCCTCCCAAGTAGCTGAGATTACAGGCACATGCCACCATGCCCAGTGTGTTGCCCAGGCTGGACTTGAACCTCTGGGCTCAAGCAATCCTCCCTCCTGGGCCTCCTAAAGTGTTGGGATTACAGGCCCAGCCCGTTTCCCCCAGTTTTAAAGGAATGCTGTGCTGAGCACCCACAAACATATGTGGGCAAATACAATCCCTTCAGTTAAATTCTTAGAAGTGAAAGTGGGAAATGGTAAGAGGCTGGGCACATTGGCTCATGGCCATAATCCCAACACTTTGGGAGACTGAGGCAGGAGGATCTCTTGAGCCCAGGAGTTTGAGACCAGCCTGAGCAATATAGTGAGACCCTATCTCTACAAAAAATAAATTAGTTGGACATGGTGGCACATGCCTGTAGTCCTAGCTACTCGGGAGGCTGAGGCAGGAGGATTGCTTGAGCCCAGGAGGTCGAGACTGAAGTGAGCTGTGATTGCATCACTGCACTCCATCCTGGGTGACAGAGTAAGACTCTTGTCTCAAAAAAAATAAAAAATAAAGCAGACATGGTTTTGTTGGATGTTAACAAATTGCCTTTTAAAAAGACTTTTTCAACTTACTCTCTCGACAACAGTATAGAGTCCATTTTCCTCAAATCCTTGCCAAACCTTTTTCATTGTTTTGATATTTTACTATCTGCTAGATTAAAATATCTCATTGTTTTAATTTACATTTCCTTGATTACTACAGAGCAGTAGCATTTATGTTAATCGACCATTTGTATGTTTTCCGTGATTTCTTGTTTATAAGACTTAAATCTGAAAACCAGTTCTATCTTTTGGGTATTTGTGATCTTGATTGCTAATGGCATGCTTTTTTGTTGTTGTTTTTCCATTCTATTATATATTTATTCTATTAAAAGTTTTCTGACATTTTATGGTGTTTTTAAATGGAAGGAGAGTATTAACACATGCTCAGTCCTTCATCTGGATATACATCTTAATGGAAAGGATTTTGTAGTATTGGTTCTTGTTATGTAAGGATGTGCAGTTAATGCATGTTGAAATGAAAAAATTCTAGGAAGATATTACTTCAGTATTGATATCTTTTAATGTTTTCAGTTTATATAAGACTTAGCCATCTTTGTCTTTTGAAATAGATTTATCTCTAAAAAATGTTATTTATTGGTTGAATTAAGCTTATTATATACACCATTATTTCTTCTGCTTTGCTTGTTAGATGCTTAACTTTGACTTCATGGTTCAATAATAGTTGCTTTGTTTTGATTTGGGAAACACATAATCCAGGATGGTCTTGTCTTCTTTGAATCATTGGACTCTGAAAGACTGAAGGTGGGGGAAAAGATTGAAGGTGGGGGAAAAGCAGCCTTGCTTCTAGACTATTCATTTTCCTGGTTTTTACATTGGGAAAGGTGAACTGCTTTCAGTTATTCTGTGGAGCATATGAGTGGCTTAGGCTTTCTTTGGATTGGTTTCTCGACCTATCCATTTTCTTTTTTTCTTCCTCCGTTCTGGTTCTCTTTTTAAAAAAGTAAATGAGGTCTTGCTATGTTGTCCAGGCTGGAATGCGTTGGCTATTCACAGGTGTACACTACAGACTGAAACTCTTGGCCTCAAGTAATCTTCCTGCCTCAGCTGGCTGAGTAGGTGGGGCTACAGGCACGTACCACCTTCCCTGGCCTTCTGGTTCATTTTCAAGGGGTATTTTCTCCCCATTGTGGGCTGAATTATTCAAGTAGTAAGCATGCAGTTTTTTAGTCCTTAGCCAGAGAACAGACTAGTCAGATATAGTCAATGGGTTACTGAAGTGATTAGTAGCTCTATAAGGCAGTCATTAACTTGTGAAGGGATATTTTAAAGGTAAGTAAACTTTTAGGACCTAATTATCTTCGAAATTACATTTTAAAGTTTCCTTTTATTAACTTACTGCCTTGAACTGTAAAATATTAATATAAAGTACTTTATTAAAATGAACATTGCACTTAAATCCATTTGGCTGTGTAGTGTATCATGAACTGAATGTTGAGCTGGCCTTTTTCTTATTTTTATTTATTTATTTAAAAAGTAGCTTTATTTATCTAGAAAGTTTAAAATATGTTGTTATACCACAGAACAAGCAGATTATTTTTAAAAGCTTTTTCTTATTCGATTATAAATCTTTCAAGATAGATCTGTTTGTTTTAGTCTCTTTAACTCCACTGTGTCTAATATAATATCTTGCACATAGCTCTTCACCAAGTACTTATCTAATTGAATTTCTAATCATCTAGTTTCACAGCCCCTTCTCTTATTAGAAATGACTTGTGAAGGATGTATATATGGCTGGTTCATGATACAGCTAGATATATTTTATGATTTCTGGGGATTTGGCTGGGCACAGTGGCTCACATCCCAGCACTTTCGGAGGCTGAGGTAGAAGGATCATTTGAACCCAGGAGTTCGAGACCAGCCTGGGCAATATAGTGTGTTGTGGGAAGTCAGGGACCCCAAACGGAGGGACCGGCTGAAGCCATGGCAGAAGAACATGGATTGTGAAGATTTTACGGACATTTATTAGTTCCCCAAATTAATACTTTTATAATTTCTTATGCCTGTCTTTACTGCAATCTCTAAACATAAGTTTCGAAGATTTCATGGACACTTATCACTTCCCCAGTCAATACCCTTGTGATTTCCCATGCCTGTCTTTACTTTAATCTCTTAATCCTGTCAGCCGAGGAGGATGTATGTCGCCTCAGGACCATGTAATAATTGCATTAACTGCACAAGTTGTAGAGCATGTGTGTTTAAACAATATGAAATCTGGGCACCCTAAAAAAAGAACAAGATAACAGCAATGTTTAGGAAACGAGAGATAACCTTAAACTCTGACCACTGGTGAGCCGGGTGGAACAGAGTCATATTTCTCTTCTTTCAAAAGCAAATGGGAAAAATATCGCTGAATTCTTTTTCTCAGCACGGAACATCCCTGAGAAAGAGAATACCCACCTGGGAGTGGGTCTCTGAACTGGCCCCCCTGGGCGTGGTCATCTCTTATAGTCGAGACTGCAGAGATGCAATAGACTTCAGTCTCCCATAGCGCTCCCAGGCTTATTAGGAAGAGGAAATTCCCACCTAATAAATTTTGATCAGACCGGTTGATCTCAAAACCCTGTCTCCTGATAAGATGTTATCAATGACAGTGGTACCCGAAACTTCATTAGCAATTTTAATTTCGCCTCGGTCCTGTGGTCCTATAATCTCACCCTGCCTCCACTTGCCTTGTGATATTCTATTACCCTGTTAAGTACTTGATGTCTGTCACCCACACCTATTCACACACTCCCTCCCCTTTTGAAAATCTCTAATAAAAACTTGCTGGTTTTTGCGGCTTGGGCATCACGGAACCTACTGACATGTGATGTTTCCCCTGGATGCCCATCTTTAAAATTTCTCTCTTTTGTACTCTGTCCCTTTATTTCTCAAGCTGGCCGATGCTTAAGGAAAATGGAAAAGAACCTACATGAATATCGGGACAGATTCCCTGATAGTAGTGAGACCTCGTCACTACAAAAAATTTTTTAAAAAATTAGCCGGGCATGGTCGTGCATGCTTGTGGTTTCAGCTACTCAGGAGGCTGAGCTGGGGAGATTGCTTGAGCCTGGAAGGTTGAGGCTGCAGTGAGTCGTGATTGCATCCCTGCCCTCCCACCTTAGCAACAGAGCAAGACCCCGTCTCAAAAAAAGAAAAAAAAAAAAAGATTTCCAGTGGTTTTTTTTTTTTGCTACACTATTGCTATTTTTTCTTCTTTCTTTTGAAATGTTATATAATTGAAGAAATGCCCACTTTTAGCATGTGCTAGCATATCTCTTTCTAGAACCAGAAAATAAGTATAGAATCTCATAGTATATCTTTAAGATATACAGGTAACAGGTGTGGTATTAAGGAGAAGGAAAAATTCTCAATAGAATGTTTAAATTTTAACTACATGAGGGAAGAACAGTTAATTTATAGGATGTTCAGAATCCAAGAACATTAGATATGGTTGTTGTCTCCTTTTGCTATTTATAACTACCCAGATGTGGAGAAACAGTTTTATCAAATAATGTGCTTTTCAAAGAAAAGAACACACTTGGAGCATTCAAAACACGATCAAATTCAATTAGAATAGCAGGTTACTCAGGTTATTTCTGCAGTGTGCTGTTTTTCCTCGTCTTATTGTTTAGGGTCAGGATCAGTAGTTATAAGGTTACTATATTAGTATAATTATTTTTATGGTTTAAGTATTAATAAAATCACTTAACTACTACTTGGAAGCCAAATTAAGGAATTTTCCAGAAGCTGTTACAACTGTTGTCTCTAGTATAAAATAAAATATTTTGTTAAAATATGTAATGAGTGAAGCTTTTAATAAATTAGAATAGCTTTATTTTTTTCTGCTTATGAACATAAGCAGAATTGTGCATTTCTGTTAATTGGGAAAAAACCTTCAGGTTATCAAAAAGTTTTAAAGCAGAAAGGGAAAATCGCCAGTAATCCTGCCACTTAATAAACATGTTTAAATGTTTATCAAAAATTTAAGCTTAAGACTTTTTAAAAAATAGATTTTAGATCACATTATGCATGCCACTTTTACTGCCCTTTTAAAATTTAGCATCTCGTATGAAGTTTTCCATATTAATATAGATCTATGTCAACATTTTTAATGGCTATATAGAATTATAGAAAATATTGTAATATATCACATATATGCCAATATTTTCCCTAAATCCAAAACCATTCAAGAGTCAGAAATAACTTTTAAAAATATAATATGTAAAAAAGATTCCATAAGATAAACTGATTTTTAAAATACCCATCTCTAGCCAAATTTGTTTAAAAACTCACAAGTAATCTGCTTTCAGTGATGATTGTTCCTCTAAAATTGCAAACTTGGTTATATTTTTCCAGATTCAAATCAGGGTTTAAGGTCTTATTTGCTGTTTACATTTGAGAGTAAACTTTTTTGTTTATTGCAGACTTTTTAAAAAATGCAGGTGTTCAACAAATCATAATACAGATGATGTAGATATTTTACCCTAAGCTGAGAAACAGTAGTGTGATTAAGAGCTGACTACTTGAGTTCAAATCCTGGCTCTGCCACTTAATAGTGTGTGAATTTGGGCGAGCTATTTGAGTTCTCCATGTCTTAGTTTTCTGGTCTGTAAAATAGACATCATAGTACCAAGCTTATAGGGTTATTGTAAAATAGTGCCTGGTCCATAGTAAACTGTATATAAGTATTATTAATATTTAGTATTTGGAATTCTAAAAAATCTAGCACAAAGTAATCCCTTCTGTTGCTGCCATTTATTTGCTGCCTTTGGGTAAGAAATGGAAAACTCAAAAAGTCATAGTTGGAGGCTGGCAAGTTACTGATATGAAACACAAATTAATTCTCAATTTTCTTGAATTTGGACAGTGAAGGTGTGTCTTTGTCTTTTTACAATTGATTACTTAGAGCTCTTTCTGCTTCCCATAAGCAAGTGTCCCCCTCTTCATTCAGCCTTTCAGCTTGGCAGCTAAACATGTGACTGATAATATATCTGCCGGTTCAATTTATATGTAAACTTGGATGCCTGCAATTCATTTTATATGCCTATCTACAAAATGCATGTAATAATTTAAAACCTGTATTGAAGTAATTTTAAATATCTTATTACATAAGAAGAAAATTGGTAAAATATTATTTTTGCATAAATATTTAGATACGCTTAATTCTAAATCTAACATTTAATTTGGAAGTGGTCTAGAATTTAAAGTGAAGAGAACATAGTATCATAAATGTGATTTCTTTAAAATTAGGTAAGAATCATAAGAGCAAGTCAGATGCTTTGGTGCTATTTATGTGGTTTATCAAGTAAAAGTTATGGCTTTTATGCACGTTAGCCTTGTATGCAAGAGATCGTTTGCTGTGAGTTCAGGATGCTGTAAACAGGAGCTAAGAGTAGTCCTTTCACCCCAAATACATTGTTTTTGTGGACAGCATCAGCAATAGTCACCAGTCAGACCCTATAGAAGCCGTAGCTGTTAGTGCCAAGTGAGAGTCCAGGAAACAGAGGATATAAAGCATCAATTGCTCTAGATACCAAAGTAAACTGAAATGTTCTGACACCAGTTTGATTAACTAGTTTATGTTCTGAATCAGTGATTCTGAAGCAGTGGTCTCCAACTTTTTTTACCAGCTTGTATTATATTCCTTTCATGACCCCCATATGAATTTAAAGTATTTTGATAGCTCTATTAAAGAAAAAGCTCTAGATATCAACAAAAAATGTATTCAGCCTACTTATTAATATGGTGATACTTAAGCTAGGCACAGTGGTGCACACCTATAATCCCGGCTACTCGGGAGGCTGATGTGGGAGGATCACTGGAGCCTTGGCAACATAGTGAGACTCTGTCTCTAAAAAGCAAAGAGGATGATATTTAATAGAGACAACCTTATGGACTATAAGTGTCTGATTTGTTAGATTTTTAAAAATACGTTAAAAATTAACTTAAAGATTCCCATTATTAGCTTGTGAAACCCCCCTTAGAATGTAGGGTCCCAGTTTGAGAACCGTTGGCCCAGAGATAACCAGAACATGAGTAAAATGTTCATAACTCATAATTTACTGTTTCAGGTGCATCATTTTATTTTATAAGGAAAAACCTGTTACCTCTTGTCAGGAGAAAGATTAATTAAACACCGTGAGACTGTATGGTTCTACAGCGCTCCCAAATTATTTCTTTAGTATACTATTATTGGATGGTGGTCCATTTAACCAGTTGAGATAAGAAAATCAGAAAATTATGGATATATAAGCTCTAGTCTTTAAAGTACCATTGAGAAGCACTGCCCCCTATAAGCCCTATACCCATGGCACTGTCTGGTTGGTTACCTTTTACAGTGGAATTGAGAGTACAGTAGTTCATCACAAAGCATGGAACAGTCACCACAATAGGTATGGTTTGTGTCAAAAAATATCTTTGTTGGAAGGACCTTTTATAAAAATCAGTTAGTCCAGGCTGGGCGTGGTGTCTCACGCTTGTAATTCCAGCACTTTGGGAGGCCGAGGCAAGCGGATCACCTGAGGTCAGGAGTTTGAGACCAGACTGGCCAACATGGCAAAACCTCGTCTTTAAAAATACAAAAATTAGCCAGGCGCGATGGTGCACAGCTGTAATCCCAGCTACTTGGGAGGCTGAGGCACAAGACTGGCTTGAACCCGAGAGGTGGAGGTTGCAGTGAGCCAAGATCATGCCATTGTGCTCCAGCCTGGGCAACAGAGTGAGATTCTGTCTCAAAAGAAAATCAGTCCAATCTTACTTCAACAGCATTCTGCTTGTGAGCAACTTTGTCATTTTTGGTCAAGACTATAGTCTCAGCACTAAAAAATTGCCTAACATATAGAATCTGATGCACTGTAAATATTTGCGGAACTGAGCTTATTGAACACAGACCCTGTATCTGGAACTCAAGTAGGGGAGTGGAAATCAAGGATGCATAGGTTGCTGATTAAAAAAAGCTCACAGTATCTGGGGGAAAAGGGATTTGAAAACAAGTAATTGAACACAAGTAATTTTTTTTGGGGGGGGGTGGGGACGGAGTCTTGCTCTGTCGCCCAGGCTGGAGTGCATTGGGGCAATCTCGGCTCACCGCAAGCTCCGCCTCCCGGGTTCACACCATTCTCCTGCCTCAGCCTCCTGAGTAGCTGGGACTACAGGCGCCCACCACCATGCCAGGCTAATTTTCTTTTTTTTTTTTTGAGATAGAGTCTTGCTTTGTCACCCAGGCTGGAGTGCAGTGGTGCAGTCTGCTCACTGCAAGCTCCGCCTCCTGGGTTCATGCTATTCTCCTGCCTCAGCCTCCCTAGTAGCTGGAACTACAGGCGCCCACCACCACGCCTGGCTAATTTTTTATATTTTTAGTAGAGACGGGGTTTCACCGTGTTAGCCAGGATGATCTCGATCTCCTGACCTAGTGATCTGCCTGCCTCGGCCTCCCAAAGTGTTGGGATACAGGTATGAGCCACCGCGCCCAACCAAACACAAGTAATTTATATTAGAAGTCTGTGATAGAGATATGAGATATGTTCTGGGTGTTATGAAATATATTTTAAAATGCCTTATTTGAAATAGTGTGGCATGTATATATGTTTTAGTCTACATTCCAAGGATGGCTAGTTAACATCTTAAGTACTAACAGGGAATATACACTCTGGAGTAGTTACTTAGTGTTTAAAAGATTATAATCAGAATTTTCACTTCATAGGCTCCTATAAGCCCATCAATTATTTTAATCATCACCCAGCACCTGAGGTTTGTTAACAAGCATAACAGATGTTATAAATGATCTCAGAATTTTTGGTTTTTATAATATTCAACAGACATAAAACTGGGAAGAATAATAAAAATGAACCTCCATGTATCCATCACCTAGATTCAGTAATTATGTTGATAAACAATTATGAAGATAAATATTAATAATTTTTCATGAGGAAATGAGCATTATTCAAGATATGTGGATTGGCAGTAAATATTGTACAGGCATTTCTGCCCTTGCATGAAGAGAATTTAAGAATACAGTGAGAGAATGAAATTGGACCCATATCATATACTATATACAGCAGGTCATTGTTCAACAGTGATGTTATTTTGTTCAACATCATTTCATTATGACATTGATGAGAGAAAAAAAATCACTTCTCAGCCAGGGCCACTGTCTGCATGGAGTTTGCACGTTCTCCCCATATCTGTGTGGGTTTTTTCTGGATACTCTGGTTTCCTCCCGCATCTCAAAGATGTGCATGATAGGCGAATTGGCATGTCTACATTGTCCTAGTCTGAGTGAGTGGGTATGTGTGTGAGTGTGCCCTGTGATGGAATGGTGTCCAGTCAAGGGTTGGTTCCCATCTTATGCCCGGAGCTGCTAGGATAGGCTCTGGTCACCTGTAACCCTGAACTGGAATAAATAGGTTAGGAAACGAGTGAATAAATGAGTACAAATTTTTGTAAAATAACAATTTGTGAAGTGTATGATACTCATACAAATGGAGAACGATAAACTATGCAGTACGAAAGTGCTTGGTGAGCCTGTCATATCTGTCATGTTTTTGCACTGCATGGTGGTAGGAGGTGCTCTTTAGAGTTTTTCTTTGCAAACATGTATTCTTTGATTTAACCCACCGCCACTGCAACCACTATCACTCACTGATTCACCAAAAATTGGGTAATTACCTTGCTTGTTTTTATCTTTCTTAAATGTATGTGTAGCTCTCATTTATCTCAGTGTTTAATATTAGAAGTAGTTGGGTCTTTATTTAGAAGTTTGGTGTTTTTTTGTGAATAGAAATATGCTGTAGGAACTTAACTCTTTTATACCAGTTAGCCTGTGGTAAAACTGTTTTATTATACGTTGTTTGCTTGAAGTTTCAGTTTCTGAGAACCTATGGACGACGTTAAGAAATGTGTATCTAACAATGGACTTATATCCAGAATATATAAAGAACTCTTGCTAATCTAACTAGTAAGGTTTAAAAAAAAGGACAAAAGGTTTGAACAAATTCCACAAAATAAGATACACTTTCATGCAGTAGTAGTAGGAGTATAAAATATAACCACCATTGGAAACCTTTTGGCTGTTGTTCTATAAATTTAAACATACACTTAACTGTGTGATGCAGCAATTCCACTTGTAGCTATTTAGCCAACCAAAACAAAAACACCTGTCCACAAAATGACATGAATGTCCATAGTAGATTTATTCAAAATAGCCCAGAACTAAATAACAACCCAAATGTCCCACACTTGTGGATAAGCAAATTGTGGTTTATTCATAGAATGGGTTATATCTTATCCGTATAAAGGAGTGTCTTATTAGTAAACTCAGTAGCATGGATGAATTAGTCTCAAAAGTATCATGCAGAGTGAATGAAACTTGACACAAAGAAATACATCCTGTATATTTTTATAATAGGCAAAACTAATATAGTAATCAGATTAGTGGTAGCCTGGGGCTAAGTGGTTTGAGAGATTGATTGCTAATAGGTTCAAAAGGACTTTCTGGGGATGGTAGAAATGTTCTGTATCTTGATTAGGGAAATGATTACATGGATATATACATTTGACAAAACTCATTGAACTATACATTCCATATGTGTCATATTATATGTAGTCTTATGATATAAAAAATGAATTCTTAATATAAAAAATGAATTCTAAGTAGACTGAAAGGTCAAATAATAAGCTCGTTAAAGATAACATGGGAGAATATTCTGATGACCATGGGGTAAGCAACATTTATAAATGGGATAGAAAAGGCACTAACCGTAAGGTAAAAGATTGATAAATTGAACTGCATCAGAACCTGATACTTCTTGTTTTCTGAAGAGTACAGTTGACCATTGAATAAGAGAGATTTGAACTACGTGAGTTTATCTATATGCACATTTTTTTTTTCAACCCTACGGATTGAAAATCAGAATTCATGGATGCAAAATCTGCAGATACAGAGGGCCGACTTTTTATTTAGGCAGGTTTTGCAGGGCCTACTCTGAGACTTAAGTATGCATGGATTTTGGTATATGCGGGGTCCTGGAACCAATCCCCTACATATACCGAGCGACAGCTGTACTAAGATACTGAGAAAGTCAAGCTTCTGTGTGAGAGGGAGAAGAAGTATACATGTATATATATACACACACACGTACATACATATAAGATATATGTACATATGTATTCATATATTTTTCCTGACAATTGCTTCATATCCAAAAAATATAAAGAACTCTTACAAATTACTAGAGGAAAAAAACAAACATCTAAAAGAAAAAAGGGTAAAGATATCAATAGACACTTCATAAAAGAGGATTTCCACATAATAAACATGTGAAGCTGTTGTAGCTGTTGTACATCTTTAGTCATTAGAGAAATACAAATTAAAATAATGCAGTGCCAATATATACACATTGAAATGGCTAAAATTGACAAATAGTACTGAGTGTCAGCAAGGGTGGGAGCAACTGTCATTCTACACTGGGGAGGCAGGCGTGTAATCTGTACAACCAGTTTGGAAAACTGTGGCTGCGTACCTTATGACTCAGCAGTTTCTGTTCTAAGATACACTCCAGAGAACAGTGTGTATACCTGCATACATATTCCGTAATATTTTTGGCACTCAATTTATAAATAGCCAAAAGTAGAAACTACTTAAATATCCATCAACAATAGGATGGTTAAATTGTTTTATTGTCAAACAACAGAATACTATAAAACAAAACAAGAAATAATAAACTATTTGTACCTGCATGGATGAATATCACAAATAGAATGTTGAGTGAAGGCAGAAAGATTCAGTAAACATGTAAGACTTCACTTATATAAAATTCAGAAATAGGTAAAATGATTTTTTTTGGTGTTAGAAGCCAGGATCATGGTTTCTACCATAGTTCACTCACTTTTGGGTGAGGGGTGAGCATAAGGGCTGTATTGGTAATAAACTGTTTCTTGATCTTGGTGGTGGTGAATGGATAATTTATCATGTCTTACACTAATTATTTGTATACTTTTCTGTGTGTATATTATGCTTTGATTTAAAAAATTTTAGTTTTAGAAATTAATAAGGGAAAAGTAAAGATTCTTTTCGGGAAATAAATTGCTTAGTATTCCTGGTAGTGTGGCTGAGTATGAGATTAATGTGCAGATGTCAATAACTTTTCTCTAGTAATTAGCATCTGAAAATGGAAGCAGTAAAAATGACCTCATTTACAGTAGTGGATGGCTTCATTCTATCTCCTTGTTTAGGGTCCTGCTGCTTTTTAGCTCTATGGCTTTTCTGTTGTCTCTGCTGCAGTACCTGCCATGGGGACTTACTCAGGTTGTACAAGCCAATCAATGTGGAGTATTTAACACTCCATGGGGCACACTTTGGTCAATGGGATGTGGGAGCCAATAGATACATGCTTCCTTTTTTTTTCACCTCAGACTGTCAGTCTTGAGATACATTTCATATACCTGTAGCCAACTAATGGGCCAGCTATTGCAGCACTTTATATTGGCTCTCTGTCTTTTTTGGTTATGCTGCTCTGTCCTTCTACACCTTGCAGAAGTATTCATGCATAAACCTTCTCAGACTGCCCTGGTCCTCACAACAAAGAATTATAGAGCCTGGCATGTCAGTTGTGCTGAGGTTGAGAAACTGGTATCTGAAGTCAATGATTTGCTTTAAAATCCAGGCTCTTCAGTATTTAATGTCTATGATTTGAATTAAGACCATTGAGTCTTAATTTTTGTCTCTATAAAATAGTCATGATAAATAAATACAAACAGAGTCCTTAAGGATTAAATGAGGTAAGTTTGATAAACTTAATGCCTAGAACATAGAAGAGTTCAACAAACAACAGCAATTGATATTTTTTATTCACATTTAAAATGCTACTTTCTCACCCTCCCTTAGTCTTTTTCAGTATAAAAACTCTCTTCTAGAGACCAAGTTCTCAAATCCTTATAAATAACAACCAAAAGCAATGAAAACAAAGAAACAAAAACTTGTACAGAACTCCATATTGAGAAAACACCAACATGATTCATTTGAATATTTAAATGGATACATGATTTTTTTCACTTTTGTAAATTTTTAGCTAATGGTCTGTTAGCAGTGGCTCAGCATTGCGGTGAAAATGTTGTTTGCCAGCAACACAAGTGCGTTGTCAAAAACTTTGAGAGCAGCAGTAAAAATTATTAGGAAGCCGGGCATAGTGGTTGACTCCTGTGATAACAGCACTTTGGGAGGCAGGAGGATCATTTGAGCTCAGGAGTTTGAGACCAGCCTGGGCAACATATTGAGACTCTATTAAAAAATAAAATTAAGAAAAAAATAAACTATTTGGAGGCAGAAGGATACATTCTAAAACACTAGAAAAGCCAGAGAACATAGTATGTTAACAACATTAAGCACCAAACAAAATAACACTAAGATATATAAAACAGGAAATGTAATATTTAGTTTTCTTAAAAATAGCAATATTTATGTATATATTGGAGGGGGCTATCCTGTGCATTTAGGATGTTTAGTAGCACACAGACTCCACTTCCCCAGTTGTGACAATCAAAATTGTCTCCAGACTTGCCGAATGTTCTGGCAAGTTGGGGAGGGAGGCAGAATAATTCTTGGTTGAGAACTGCTGAGATAGACCTTGATTTGCATTCCATCCCCATGCCTATGGCAGTGTGAATTTAAACACGTTACCTAACACTTAAACCTTAGTTTTCTTAAGTGAGATAATATAGACATAGTGCTTGGCTAAGCACCTGACACGTAGAGTTCAGTAAATGATAATTCCAATGATGCTAAAACCTGTTCTCTTTTGAACCATTATGCTCCTCTGTCCTCTAAAAGTAAACCACCCCTTTGTATAGCCTGTAGTCAAGTTGTTGAATAAGGTCTTCTCATCTAAAATCTTCAGAAGACCTTAAATCTTTTATGTGGGCAGTTAGTGTAGACTATAGTTTTGTTTTCTCCCCAGCTGTGGATTTGCTTTCCTTTCCTCCGTGTTCCTGTTTGGATTGGGCAGAGTTGCCGGTACTTTTTTTTATTTTAATCTCCTCCTGGCATAGCATTGTGTTTGGTGTTCTTTGCATATTCATAACCTCATGAATTAGACTAATATTTTAAAGATTAGTTCAGGCTTACAAAAATCAGACCTATAGAAATCAGAAACATAAGGCTAAGGCTTTGTTGTTGTTTATTGTTGTGGGGTTTTTTTTTCCTGTTTTTGTGTGTTTGTTTTGTTTTGTTTTAAACCTGAGGCAGCAGCCTATCAAAAATATCCATTTGTTCTTTAGCTTAATTTTTTTCTTAAGAATAATTAAAAATATTAGTAGCCTATAATTGCTTTGATATACATCATCTTATTTAAATGTTATTAAAACTCTAGACAGTGAAAAAGGAAAAAAAGTAGAAATGGAATCTTGATGTACTATAGGTACACAGCAAGACTCTGTTAATAAATACTATTATATTGTTATCTCATTTACTCCTGCAGGTTAAGTTGCACTATCCCTCTTTTGAAGACAAGCAAATGATGCTTCCTTTGCTCACGGTCACCAAGGTTTTCATTCCAAAGCCCATGCTATTTTGATAATGCCATGCCACCTCCCCAAAATAAAGAGCATATCTCTCTGCCATAAATTTCTTTGTACAGCCAGGTTCAGTGGCTCATGCCTGTAATCCAGCACTTAGGGAGGCCTAGGCAGGCGGATTGCTTGAGCCCTGGAGTTCAAGACCAGCCTGGGCAACATAGTGAGACCCCATCTCTACTATTATAAAATTAGAACAAAATTTCTTTGTAGACCGTGTATCTTGACTTATCCTGTAACTGCAGGATAAGAGCATAAAAATGTAGGACATTAGAACTGCGTTAAGTCACTCTTTTGTTGCCAAGGAGGCCTCGTCCAGCTTCTCTGGCTTTCTGTGGCCATCTCTGCTCTTCTTCTAGTCCAATGCAGTTACATCTGGCTTATGGGAATAAGGAAGATTTTCAGGCTTAGCCCTTTTTGGCTATGTGACTATACTTTATTTTTTGATAATGTGTATTATCTTAGCTTTTATGATTTCATATTGCTTAAGAATGCAGAGCAGTTAAATCTTTAGCCCTGAAGAGTATGTTTGGCAAGAGCCAAGTAAAAGTAGATTTACTTAGAAATCAAGAGGGCTCTATAGCTGATAAGAAAAACAGTCTCAAAACTGCCATGTGATCTGTTTGTTCTAATAAACTACAGAGTAAAATATGTTTTTAAGTTTAGAGTTGCCTAAAACTACTGTGTTTGCATAATTTATATTTTTAGCTGAGAGAAGAAAAGTTACAAGAGGAAAAACCCTCTGAAGATCAAATCCACAAGCTGTTACCAGAGGATACAGAAACAGGGAAAAGGAAAATGGATGAACAGAAAAAAAGAGATGAACCATTAGTACTGAAAACAAATCTGGAACGTGTAAGTAAATCACCTTTTTAATGGATACCTGCCTCAAAAATCAGTGGTTAGCCCAGGTGACCTGGACCTGAAAGACCTATGTTGGTAAATTGTGAGACCAGTAACAGTCAGTGACTGTGCAGCTTAAGAGTAGTGAAGAACTTACGTCCAGGCCAGAGCTTGAGAAAATAATTTTTGAATGGGATATTAAGACTTGTGGGAAGATTAAGGAACAGTGGGAAAAGCAGGTGAGTGAGAGGAAAAACCTAGTATAGTTTACTACTTGTGATTAGATTTATATGTATGTTGTTATTTGGACTTATGTGTTATTTGACATTTAAGATTTGTACATTGTCTTCTGTCCTCAACTAGATTTTCTTAAAGCATGTATTTTACTTTCCTTTATTTGTTGTAATACCCTAAGCAGCACAGTGTAGATATAAGGTAGGTTTAGATACTTAGTCTATATTCAATTAGACTTCTAATTGGGCCAAATCCTGCCTGAGTTTGTTTCATTACTTATTTGCCAAGTAAATTACTAGAAAAGGTTGCAAGTTGTGTATTTAACTTACATAAGGAAGCACTTTTGGAGGATCCACTAATTATACCCAAATGGATAATCACAATTGAGTTTTATTTCTTTAGTAAGTCATATTGGATTGGACATATATTGCTTATGTATGTACTTAGCACATCTTTAGACTCCTATCTTTTAAAATATTTTGTGATTCAGGCTTGTTAAAATTTCAGGTTGTCTTTCTGGTCAGCTGGAATCGATAAAGCTTTACCATCTATAATGACAGGCAAGATAGCAGAGTGGAGGCAAAAAAAAAAATCTCTGGATCAGCAGTCTACCTCTTATACAGGTCCCAGCATTGTAACTGTTTGTACACTTCGGCCAAGTTACTTAATTTCTTTGTGCTTCTGGGTTTATTTATTTTTATTTTTCTGGAGCAGGGTCTTGCTTTGTTGCCCAGGCTGGAGTGCAGGGGTGTGATCATGGTTCACTGCAGCCTTAGCTTCCCAGGCTCAAGCAATCCTCCTACCTCAGCCTCCCAAGTATCTGGGACTACAGGCTTGTGCCACTATACCCAGTTGTATTTTTTGTAGAGATAGGGTTTTACCATTTTGCCCACACTGGTCTTGAACTCCTGGGTTCAAGTGATCTGTCCACCTCGGCCTCCCAAAGTGCTGGGATTACAGGCGTGAGCCCCTGCCCGGCCTTGGTTTTATTTTTGCAAAGGTGTTTTTCCTGAACTTAAAAAGGAAATTCTTTAAGCTTTCTTGGGACAGTAGTGTTTGCTGAGTGCCACATACATGTGCAGCTTCTGATTCTAGTTATAATAATAATTATTATTTAATTATTAAAAACAACCACTTAGATTTTACAGGGTTTCAACCTTCCAAAAGATTCAGTTTACAGGCATGAAGTGTGTGTGTACTCTTAATGCTCTGAACATTAGAAACCACAGAGGGCAAAAAAGACTGCTACTAGAGAGGCTACAGTTTAGCTAGACAAAAATAAGCTCTATGATGGTCTCGTGTATGTAGTATGTTGTATGACTAGTAGCTCCAGCTGTGGTCTGTAGTCTCTGAAGACCGCGGCTCTCCCTCTTCACCCTGACAGTTCTACCCTATTAGGGTCCTCAGGCAGAACAACCCAGAAGGATAAACTAGCCTTGATAGAGAGAGCTGACCCTTAACTATGGTCCTTTGATAGAAATAACCTGTTGTTCCTAGGTCATACCAAGACTAGGAAATTGCTCTAATTATTTTTGCATTTGCCACTACCATTTTTGAAATAGAAATCAAGTGCAGCCACCTAATTTTAATCTTAAAAGGAATCAGAAAGTACAAATTCTGATTTGTTCTTGATAACAGCCAGTTTTACAAATGCATTGAATAAAATCTGACCTATGAATGTGTCAAGTTTTAGATTTTTGTGATTTTTGCCTTTTTTTCTGTTTTCTTATATAGTTTTTTTTTGTTTGTTTATTTATTTAGAGACAGGGACTTGCTCTGTTGCCAAAGCTGGAGTGCAGTTGCACAGTCATGGTTCACTATAGTTTCGACCACCCAGGGTCAAGCAATTCTCTCTCCTCAGCCTCCCAAGTAGGTGGGACCACAGCTGTGTACCACCATGGCTGGTCAATTTTTATTTTACTTTTTTTATTTTGTAGAGATGAGGGTGTCCCTATGTTGCCCAGGCTGGTCTCAAACTCCTGGGCTCAAGGGATCCTCCCACCTTAGCTTTCCAAAGTGTGGGATTACAGGCATGATCATGCCAGTGTGCCTGGGCTGCTTTTATATTTTGGAGGACTTTTAAATGGCTCTAATTTAAGAGTTTTCAGTGTTGAGCAAATAATTCCATTTAGTTTGGCCAGACTACATTCAAATTGAGACCCAAAAGAATCTTAAGAAAGCTGACCAAAGGATTATTTTTTATATAGAAACTATTGTGATTAGAGCGAGACTGATCATTTCACTCTCCTGTCCCCCAAATTTTAATGACTCCTCTTTTCTTGTGAAATTAAATGAAGACTCTTCACCCCAACATTTAGGCCCTCAGTGTGATTCTAGCTTATGTTTTCATCCTTGCTTATACCCCAAAACTCTAAGGAGTATATATTTGCTTTCCCCCAAATACATACACTGTGCTTTCCCTTTTCAAGGTCTTTGCTCTTGCAATTTTCATCTCATTGAAATGCCATCCAGCTTACCTGTTGGAAGGTTATTTATCTCTCCATGTCCAGTTCAAAAGCTATCACATTCATGAAGCCTATAGGAGTTCCTCTTCTGTTTCTCCACTTCTATCAGCCACTCCCCCAAACCCCCACTTTGTAACTTTTACAAGAGTTCTGTCATTTTCCTTTACATCATGGTTTTTTGTGTTTGTGTTTCTCTACTAGATTGTAAGTTTGTTGAGTATAGGAAATGTCTTATCCATTTAAATCTCCTGTAGTACCCTGCACATTGGAAGTGTCTGATACATGTTTATGAAATTAAATTTGAATGGAAGGAGGAAGGAGCTTACTCTAGAAGCAGATTATCATCTGTTATTTTTTTAGAATAGAAATAAAGTGAGCACAGTGTTTAATTTATTACAATTTGTTATGGTACATTTAATCCAATAATAATGCGAATTATTAGAAAACAATTGGATACAGCAGTTATGGTTATACTAAAGACTAGAAAACAAAAAGGGAAAAATTACTTGTCATCCCACAACCTAGAAATGAGCCCTATAAACGTTTTGATACATATCCTTATAGATATGTACCATATGAACATATAGAACATATAGATACATTCATTTCTAAGAACATATAAATACACACCATATATTGTTTTTCTTTTCAGAAAATGTAACCTAGTATACATACTGTTTTTCTTTTTTGAGACGGAGTCTCGCTCTGTCGCCAGGCTGGAGTGGTACAGTGGCGTGATCTCGGCTTACTACCACCTCTGCCTCCCAGGTTCAATCAATTCTCCTGCCTCAGCCTCCTGTGTAGCTGGGACTACAGGCACGTGCCACCACGCCCAGTTAATCTTTTGTATTTTTAGTAGAGATGGCGTTTCACCATGTTAGCCAGGATGGTCTCGATCTCTTGAACTCGTGATCCGCCCGCCTCAGCCTCCCAAAGTGCTGGGATTACAGGCATGAGCCACTGCGCCCGGCCTAGATGCTGTTTTATAACCTGTTTTAGTTCATCTTAAGTTGTGGGTATTGGCCAGACGTGGTGGCTCACACCCGTAATCCCAGCACTTTGGGAGGCTGAGGTGGGCAGATCACCTGAGGTCAGTAGTTCAAGACCAGCCTGACCAACATGGCAAAACCCCTTCTCTAATAAAAAATACAAAAGTTAGCTGGCCATGGTGGCACGTGTCTGTAGTCCCAGTTACTTGGGAGGCTGGGAGGCTGAGGCAGGAGAATTGCTTGAACCCGGGAGGTGGAGGTTGCAGTGAGCTGAGATCATGCTACTATACTCCAGCCTGGGTGACAGAGTGAGACTCTGTCTCAAAAACAAACAAACAAAAAAAATAAATTGTAGGTGTTCTTTCTTTCTTGCCTTTTTTTTTTTTTTTTTTTGAGACAGGGTCTCACTGTGTCACCCAGGCTGGAGTGTAGTGGTGTGATCATAGTTCACTGTAGCCTCAAGCCCCTGGGCTCAAGCGATCCTTTTACTTCAGCCTCTGAAGTAGCTGGGACCACAGGCGCCTATTACATGCCTGACTAGTTTTTTTTTCAAGTTTTTGTTTTTGTAGAGACAGGGTCTCACTGTGTTGCCCAAGCTGGTCTTGAACTCCGGGGCTCAAGTGATCCACCCATCTCAGCCTCACAAAGTGCTGGGATTATAGGTGTGAGCCACCATGCCCGGCCTGTTTTTGTGTGTGTAAATAAAGAATCCACATCATTATTCAGTGGTCTTATAATATTCTTGATTGTAGAATTTATTTAAGTAATCTTTTATTGATATTTTGCTATCTTAAACACCATTGTGATGGAATCCATTTGTCTCATTTTTTTCTTATTAGTTCCTTAGAATAAATTACTAGAAGTAGAGTGACCAGGTCAAAAAGAGTGTTCTTTTTAACATTTTTGGTGTTTATTACAGTTGCCCTCCAGAAGGTTTATATTTATTATAGGTTTATTATGCTCCCACCAGTAGTATGTGAGGAGTACTAAACTAATTTCCTCACATCTTGCCAACTTTGAGTATTATCTTTCTTTTCCTTTTTTTTAGGTACAACATTGTTTTAGATGTCACTGCAAGGATTTAATTTATGCATGCTTTGTACCATTTTAGGAATCCATAGTACCTTGGGGCTTATTTTTATCAAAGATGAAAGATGAGGGGTAAATATTGGGAATAGAAATGTAGAGGGGTGGGAGAGCTTTTGTCTGAACAATTAGTTATATATTTGTAATGTAGTTTATTTTGCAATAATTGAAAGGAACTTGGCGCTGGGCGCGGTGGCTCACACCTGTAATCCCAGCACTTTGGGAGGCCGAGGCGGGCAGATCACTTGAGGTCAGGAGTTCAAGACCAGCCTGGCCAGCATGGTGAAACCCTGTCTCTACCAAAAATAGAAAAATTAGCCGGGTGTGATGGTGGGCACCTGTAATCCCAGCTACTCAGGAGGCTGAGGCAGGAGAATCACTTGAACCCGGGAGGCGGAGGTTGCAGTGTGCCGGGATCGTGCCACTGTACTCCAGCCTGGGCAACAGTGTGAAACTCGGTCTCCAAAAAAAAAGGAACTTGGCATATATCTGTTATAAAACGGAAATTTTTCTTAAAAGATTAATAGTTTTGAAGTTAATACAAATAAAATCTATCTTTTTGAGCACTTATTACTTGTTAGTTAATGTACGCTAGGTATTTTTAATGGCCTGTCACAATCTATATAGTAGAGTAGTCTTTATTTTACAGATGAGGAAACTGAGGCTCAGGAAGATAAAGCAACAACTAACCCACAGTGACAGTGATAGCTGACAGAGCTAGGATTTGAACACTTTTTACTTGGTACTGATTTAATTATGAAGAGAGGTTTATATAGACAGAAATTGCCATTATTCCCTATTGAGTCTATTGGTATCAAAGCTTATCTTTTTTCTAGAGTTGAGAAGAGAATATTATATAAAATTTGATAATGGGTTGGTGCTATTAAAGTTTCTTCATTGAATATTTTGTACAACAGAGTTCTCTGAGGAATGATACCCTACAAAATTGAAAGGCCTCTCTGTAAATTGTAATTCTTCAAATCTCTCTCAAAGGCCAGCTGTTAGCAAATATAGTCTATTGTGTCGCTGTGCCTGTCAGCCTAGAGAAAAACAAAGCATTTCAGGAATGCAGGGTACTCGGAGCCATATGATGCCTTGCGTGCCTACATCTACAACTCTTACTTTGATAATCATTTGATCATTAGATAATTGGTTAATCATCAGCTGAGCAGACAGTTCTTATTTATCTACTATGTAACAGTATTGGAAATTTTTTAAAAAGATGGTCACTTGCTCTCACAGGGCTCATTGCATAAAGCAGAACAGATCCCTAAATAAGAAGCTACAGTTCAGTGTGATTAGTTGCTATCCATTAAAAGAAAAAGACTCTCATGTTTAATAATGAGGCAAAACTTCATTACATTATATGTTAAAGACATACCTCTAAGATGTTTCTAATGTAATTGGAAAGACTCTAAAAAGGGACTCCAAAGTAAAACAACGATAAATGAATGGATATAAACAAGATGGAAAAACTAACTCTAGGATAATTTGGAAGCCTTTGCAGAAAAAGTGATATTTTAGATGACTCTGAAAGGCCAATTAGTATTTTATAGGCAGAGAGCAGAGACGGAATTTTAGGCAAAGGGTGTAGCATATCCAAATGGGTAGATAGAGGTTTTGAAAGACTGTGGTACGTGTGGAGAGTAAAAAGTAGTTTGGTTGTACTAGAGCTCAGGGAGTTCCATGTGTGGGAACTGGTAGGGGAAAAGCTGTGAAACAAGGTTAAGTCTAGTTTGTGAAGGTTGTAGTATCAGGCTGAGGCATTTAGACCTTACCCTGAAGTCACCAGCCGTTAAGCAGGGGAGTGATTGCTGGAAAGATAATTCTTGATGGTGTGGAGGGTATTATTAGAGAGAAGAAAGCCTGAAGAGAATGAGACCAGTAAGTAGATTGTTGCAGTAGTCCAGGCAAAAGATGATAAGAATCTAAGGTAAGGCAATGACCATGAATATAAATGGGAAGAGTTAGATCTGAGAGACTTTCTAGAAGTAGAATAGAATAGAGTGGAAATAGCATGGAGACAATTTGGAGACTAATGCTCTTAATTTAAGAACTAGTTTTATCCATGTATTAACCCTGTAATTCTAGGAAAATTAACTACTCTGAGCCTCAGTTTGCTATCTGTAAAAGACAGATAATCATCCTGCTTTTAATGGGAGTGACATAAACAGTAAATGAAATAAAATATTTAGAAGTGTTGGAGTACCTAAAGCCACTATCCAAATGTTACTATGAATTAGAAGTAAGGGACAGAAATAGATGGCATTTAGTTTTCTAGATGGGTTGGTGATGGGGCTTACAGAAGAGAAATATAGTGAGTTTGATTTTGGATATATTGAATTTGAACCACATTTGAGATTGGTATCTCCAGGAGGCAGTTGGAAACATAGGTTGGAGCTCACAGAGAAGCGACATAGAGAAAGAGATTTGAACCTATAGCTAGAGTAGATGCCTTGGGAACTCCAAATGGACAGTGTTGTCTCCCTTGTCTCCCTGCCAGTGTCCTGCACGTCTCTCAGATTCAGAGAATGAAGAACCTTCTCGAGGCCAGATGACACAGACACATCGCTCGGCATTTGTTTCCAAGAACAACTCCTACTCCTTAGCTTTCCTGGCAGGGTAAGAGACTGATGCTGAATTCAGTCAGGGGTCTTTGGTTTTGGGGTATGAGATAAAAGGGACTGGGGGAGCAAAGGTATTTGTTGTGGCTACTTTGGTGGGGAGGTGGAAGGGGAGAAAAGAGGTGGGAATTGGTTTTCAAATATGGACTAGGGAAAAAGGGCTGACCTGAATTTTTCAGGAAAAGTAACACCCCTTTTCTGATATCCTCAGGATAGGATTGTGCTAATTGCTGTGCTGCAAAGTGTGACCCTTTTATCTTGGGAGGAAACAACAAAGTCTTCTTCAGTCTGACAATATGCACAGACTCTCCCTCTGGACTTAGTAGGAAGTGAGGGCAGAACTGATTTTCTTTTCAATGCCTAGACCTAAAATATATCTTTATAGGTTTCAAGAGAGCAAACTGAAAAGTTTTTAAGACCTTTGTCAAGGAATCTCTTGATCCTTTAGACTTTGTAGGCCCTGGGAAGGAAAGGAAGAGGGAATTGGATAGATGATGGGTGCTAGAAGGATAATGAAGGGCTAGGTGGAGGAAAGGAAAGATGAATAGATAGGAGGAAGGAAGGGAAGCAAAGAAGAAATGGAGGAAAGAAGGAGGACTCATGCATACATTCATTCAACAGACATTTTGTGAACAGCTGCTACATGCCGTGCTCTGTTTTAATATACAGATGTAAAGATACAATCTTTTTTTTTTAGACAGTGTCTCACTCTGTTGTCCAGGCTGGAGTATAATTGGGCAATCATGGTTCACTGTAGCCTCAATCTCCTGAGCTCAGATGATCCTCCCATCTCAGCCCTGAATAGCTGAGACCATAGCTGTGTGCCACCATGTCTGGCTAATTTTTAAAACGTTTTTTGTAGAGACGAGGTCTCCTTGTGTTGCCCAGGCTGGTCTTGAACTCCTGGGCTCAAGCAGTCCTCATGCTTCAGCCTCCCAAAATGCTGGAATTATAGGTGTGAGCCACTGTGTCTGGCCAAAGAAACAATCTTCACCCCAGTTCATTTCCTGTTTTGTTTAAAGCTGGTATTGCTCACCCTTATCTCTAGGGTTCAACTCTTCCTTTCCACCAGTATTATTTAGTAGATCTCTCTCTCTTGCTGCTCCTGTGAATACACACCCAGACCCTTTCATTTTGGGGCTTTTTTGTTTGTTTGTTGTTTTTGTTTTGAGACAGGAGCTCTCTCTGTTGCCTAATTATTTAAAAAATAATTTCTGCTCTACCCTTCTTACATGGATTACTTAATGTCTTTATTTGTCATTATGTATTTGTACTGTAAATCACTTCAGATTCTTCTTGTAAATAGAGTGTAACCATACAAAGAAACATAATCAAACCAGTCTTCTTTCCAGTTTTTTTTTTTTTTAAAGTGATGTAGTAATGCCGGTAATGCCATTTCATACAAAATGGAATCTTAAGTAAATGGTTCCTAGCAAGATTCTGGCACATGCTAAGTCTTCAGTGAATATTGCTGCTGCTGCTGCTGCAATTTTTATCTTCTCTTGGAACATGGACTCTTGTAGCTGAAAAGGACCTTAAATATCATCTTATTCAGTCCATTTGTTTTATAAATGGAAGACTAAAGCCCAGAGAGAGAACATGGCTTGCCAAATCTTAGACTGCTAAAACAGGAGGAAACTGAGTTAGAACTGAGGCTTCTTGGCTCTGAGTTTACTGCTCTTTCTACTGTACTCCATACCTTCTTATAGATCCTCATGCTGCCTCTGTTCACCTTCTCCTCTAGACTTTAAACTCATCAAAGGCAGGGATAGCATCTTGTTCATCATTATAATACTTAGTACAGTGTCTGGCACTTAGTAAGGGCTCAGTAAATATTTGTGGAATGTTTGAATAAGACAGGCCTTGTGCCTGTTGGTAGGTTAAACTGGGGCTTTGTCAGAACTGACTGTCAAACATGCAGCAGAGGGCCTCTAGGAGGGAGGGCTCTAGGAGCTTAGATTGGCTGATGGCTGTTTTTTAGATTAGATTCCATAGGATTAATATGGGATTTAGGGGGAAGTCTAGTGACCACATTGATAAAATTTTTATGTTATGAAGTTGCTTTTTAGCCTTCGAATGCTTTAGCAATAGTTTATATTGATACTTTTTATAGATGCTATAAAAGAAAGATCTGTGTTCTACTTAGTAGAAATTAACCGTAGCTACATTGTTTTGTTTTCTAACGTGCAGATACTTTTAAGCCTGAGTCTCTGGTGGATCAGAGTGTGGCACATCAGGGGACTTAAAGTGGCTGTGCGTTCTATACAGTGTATGTATAAGGACAGATATAGACAGAGACTTACTGACAGAGTCAGAGATACTAAACACATGTCCAGCCAGTGTTAGAGTGAATTGAAATCTGAAGACCCTCTGGGAAATAGGTACCCTTCCTTAAAATTCACAGATGAAATACAAAAGCATTCAGGTAACAGAAACCAAGCAGATGCATAAGTGATGTGATATTGGAATACTAGCTTCAGGATTGAGGAAAAGAAGCAGATGCAGAGAACTAAGGGGTGGAGTTTTAGGGAAGAAGTAGCATTGTGACCTTGAGTAAAATCAGTTGGCTCTCCTTCAGTCTCATCTAGGTAAAATTGCAGAGTTATGCCTTACCTACAAGCTAGGGCAGGGGGGTTTACTCTATGATTTCTTAAGATTCTTCCTCTAAAATGGAAATATCTAGAGGTGGCTTAAACCAGAGTTTTGAAGGATGGAGGAAATGAGGCCAGGGCATGAAAAGAAAGGGGGTGGGGGCCGTTAGGAGGTTGTAACAATAAAGATCAGACTTAAGTTGTGTGTGGGGAATAGTCAAACAGTGGCTTGAGGGAGAGGAGATTATGAGAAGATGATGAAGCAGTGAGTTGAAACAGCAAGGCTTGATGATGGCCTGGGGTGTGTGTGTGTTTGGGGAGGGATTCAGGAATTGGAACAAGTCAAGTGTTTACCAGCCTGCTTATTAAGAGGACAAATCTTATTAAAAGTAATGGAATATGGCTGGAAAAGGAAGATAGCTTAAGGAGAAGCAATGTGGAGCTTAAGGAGAATGGTGGTAGAAGCGTCAGTAATATCTCTGCCATTTTAGAACAGAAATATTCTCATAGTCTTCAGAAAGGCCTGGAAGTTTGGTGAGGGGTAGTGTCAGGAGCTAGCCTTTTCCCAGTGCTTCCTTGGGCTCTCTGCCATGTTGAGTTCTTAGCATACCTCATGTGATTTAATTCTCATATTCATCCTGCAAAATGTGTGACATCACTGTTTTACAGCAAAGGAAGCTGCAATTCAAAGAGGTTAAGTGACTCACCCAAGAACCTCTCAACTCATTAGAGTACAGAGAAGGAATTGGAACCCAGTTCTCTTTTTACTCCAAATCTGTGTTCTTTCTGTTGTTATCAGAACTCTGTGACAAAAGGCCCTGCACTTAAATATGTGTTTTGAAATTATCTATCTTTGCAACAGAAGGCTGCTCTCCTTCCATTTTTTAAAAAAATAATTTATACCCTCCATTGTTCCAAAAAGATACATGGTTGCTACAGAGAAAAGTGAGAATCTGTCCAGTTATTTCTCATTTAAGAGAACTCAAATCCTTCTGCATTATGTTAGGCCTTTTGGAATAGAGCTATGGAAACAAGTGTTCCTAGCCATCAGTAAAAGAATACAAGTGCGGGCCGGGCGCGGTGGCTCACGCCTGTAATCCCAGCACTTTGGGAGGCCGAGGCGGGCGGATCACGAGGTCAGGAGATCGAGACCATCCCGGCTAAAATGGTGAAACCCCGTCTCTACTAAAAATACAAAAAATTAGCCGGGCGTAGTGGCGGGCGCCTGTAGTCCCAGCTACCTGGGAGGCTGAGGCAGGAGAATGGCGTGAACCCGGGAGGCGGAGCTTGCAGTGAGCCGAGATCCCGCCACTGCACTCCAGCCTGGGCGACAGAGCGAGACTCCGTCTCAAAAAAAAAAAAAAAAAAAAAAAAAGAATACAAGTGCGGGTCCAGAATAGGCAAATACGTAGAGACATAAAATACATGAGTAGTTCCTTAGGGCTGGAGGAAGTGGGGTTTGAGGTGATAGCTAAAGGGTATAGGGTTCCTTTTTGAGGTGACAGAAATGTTCTAAAATTAATTGTGGTGATGGTTAAATAACTGAATATACTAAAAACCATTACATCGTACACCTAAAAAAATAAAAAGAATACTAGTATAGACAAGGCAGATAACCCAGAGTGTAACAAAATATTACCAACTTCTGGGTGGATAGCAGCTGCACCAAGGTCTAAAGAAGCTTCTGGGTTTCACTCCAGGGTGTGTGTGTGTGAGTGAGTGAGAGAGAGAGAGAGGTGTGTGTGTGTGTGACAGGATGGAGAGGGTGGGAAGGGTCTTTCAGGCCAGAGACTGGCAGGAGGGTCCTCTCCAACCTTAATTTCTTGGTGGGACTCAGCTCTGTCAGACCTGAAGGTACCCTTAAGAAACAAGTATGGCGTAGGTATGTAAGAGACAGAGAGAGTAATGAGCAAGCAATTGAGCGCATAAGCTGTCTAACGTTTTATATCTTGTATGGCCATTTGACACCCTTTAAGCAGTGTTTTGTAAGCATTAAATCTTCTAGCTTTCCAGCTGCATGTTTATACTGGCTAACCCTGCTTTCCTTTGTTTGTAAATCAAACTCATTGTGGGTGCGGGTATTTTTAGCCTAACTAGACGTCCCAGAAACCATCTGGTCTCTTGGCAGTGGAAATTTTAAGCAAGTTGCTTTTCAGACAGTGCTGCTTTCTCTTGTTTATGCCTTCATTATGTGTTCAGATAGACAGAGCTTTCCTAGATGTTTTGAGTCTGTTCTATGGCAGAGTAGAGTAAGTTAGATCAGTATGCTGTGGTGCAAAGAGCACAGGCCTTAGAACTATACTGTAGGTTTAAATAATTCACTTCAGCTGTGTGAACTTGGAAAGATCACTTCTCTCATTTCTCTGTCTATGAATTGGGGATGATGACACCTGTGTCATAGAGTCTCTGTGTGGATTAAATGAGATACAATATATTTCAAACACTTAGCACAGTGCCTGACAGATAATGGGTTTCTAATAAATGTTGATGTTTTCTTTCTTTTCCTTAAGGGATAGAAAGAGGTTATTTCTGCACACATTTTTATGTATTTATAAGAAATTTCTTTAATATATCCACTGTATGCCAGGCACTGTGTTAGGGTTTAGGAATACAGAAAAGGACTCCGTACAAAAGAGGAAGGAATACTTACCGCCTCCATTTTTTTTTAGTGAGATTATTGTTTGGGCACTTTAAATCCTAAGAACATTGTCAGGTTTATTGCTCTTGACTATTCTGCTCCAGCATTTTGAAGACTCCTTCCCTGACCAAATGCTACAATAACAACAATAATATTATCTGGGTATTATGTTTATGTTTTATATAATATTTTTACATTCATGATTTTAGTGACTGTTAGTGTCCACATTTATACTGCATGTTGCTAGAAGTACTGCTTGATCTTTTCAGTAGTGCCATGGTAATAAAACACCTTTCTTGCTTTATAATTTAAATATATCTCACTATTTCTTAAAAGATACTTTGCCTGGTGACATGAGCAAAATTGGCAGAGCAGGGAACTCCAAAAGCCTTCCATAAAAGCAATAATAATTGGCAAAAACAGCCAACATCAACTTTATTGGAACTCTGGAAACTAATCAAAAGTTTACAGCAAATAAGCAGTGTCTCAATCTAGAAAAAATGCACGTGGCTGAGTTTGGTGACTCATGCCTGTAATCCTAGCACTTTGGGAGGCTGAGGTGGGAGGATTGCTTGAGCTCTGGAGTTTGAGACTAGTGTGGGCAACATAGCGAGACCTTGTCTCTACTAAAAATTTTAAAAATCAGCCGAGCATAGTGATACATGCCTTTGGTTCCAGCTACTCAGGAGGCTGTGGTGGGAGGATCTCTTGAGCCCAGGAGATAGAGGCTTCAGTTAGCCATGATCACTTCATTGCACTCCAGCCTAGGCGATAGAGTGAGACCCTGTCTCAGAAAAAAAAAAAAAAAAAAAAGAGGAAAAGAACACTGGAATCTTGGCATCTAAGGAACTCTGTCAGATCACTAACTGACCACTAAGCTAACAGAACAGAGAATTCATTGGCCACATATGACAAAAAATAGACTTTATAAAATCAGTTCAAAAAAGTCACTGAACAAATAACAGCTATAACAGACAGCAACAACAAACCCAGGGGTGGGGAGAGAATCTGATTTTCATAGTTGCCACCTTATAATATTCAAAATGCAAAAAATATGAGGCATAAGAAACAAGAAACAATGACCCATACACAGGAAAAAAGAAACTGATAGAAACTGTCCCAAAGGAAGCCAAGACATTTGACATTTTTAATGGGGACTTTAAATCATATCCTCAAGAGCTAAAGGAACTATGGGCAAAGAACTAAAGGAAACCATGAAAAACAGTGTCCTAAGTAGACAGTATCAGTAAAGAGATAAAATTATAAAAAAGGAATCAAATAGAAATTCTGGAGCTGAAAAGTACAGTGACAGAACAGATTTGAACAGGCAGAATAATTAGCTAATTTGAATATAGGTCAATTGAGATTATCCAATCTGAGAAACAGAAAAAAGAATAAAGAAAAATAAACAGAGCCTAAGAAATCTGTGAAACACCATTAAGTGTACCAATATACACAAAATGGTAGTCCCAGAATGAGAGAGAAAGGGGCAGAAAGAATATTTGAAGTAATAATGAGCAAACACTAATCAAATTTAATGAAAGACATAAGTCTACACATCCAAGAAGTTCTGTGACTCCAAAGTAGGATAAAGACATCTACACCAAGACATGTTATAATCAAACTGTTGAAAGCCAAACAGAATACTGGAAATAGCAAAGATCACAAATCACTATACCAGATATAATAATCATGAAAAAGTTTGAAATATTGTGAGAATTACCAAAACGTGACACAAGAGACAGGAAGTGAGCACATGCTGTTGGAAAAATGATGCTGATAGACTTGCTTGATACAGGGTTGCCATGAATCTTTAGTTTGTAAAAAAAATGCAATATCAGCAATGTGCAATAAAGCACAGGACAAAAAAGAAAGGGTTGCCTGTATAAGACCTAGAAAATAGCAGAAGTCCTTCTTTATCAGCAATTACATTAAATGTAAATTGATTAAACTCTGCAATTAAGAGGAGGAGATTGGGAGAATGGACTTAAAAAAGAAATGATTGAGATATATGCTGAGACACACCTTAGATCCAAAGACAGAAATAGGTTGATAGTGAAAGGATGGAAAGATATTTCATGCAAACAGTAAACAAGAGAGCTGGAGTAACTATACTAATATCAGACAATATAGACTTCAGGTTAAAAATTGTTACAAAAGACAAAGAAATACATTATATAATGATAAAAGGATCAACTCAACAAGAAGAATTCTTCTCAAGTGCACATGGAACATTCTCCAATATAGACTGTATGTTAGACCATAAAACAAGTCTCAATATATTTTAAAAGGTTGAAATAATAACTGTATTTTTGACCACAATGGAATGAAACTAGAAATTGATAGGAAGAAAACTGGAAAATTAACAAATATGTGGAAATGAAACAACACGTTCTTTAAAACCAGTGAGCCAAAGAAGAAGTCACAAGAGAAATTAGAAAATACTTTGAGAGGAATGAAAATAAAAACCTTCCTGGATATATACACCCTCTTAAGACTGAACCAGGAAGAAATTGAATCCCTCAATAGACCAATAATGAGTTCTGAAATTGAGGCAGTAAGGAGTAGCCTACCAACCAAAAAAGCCCAGGACAAGACATTCACAGCTGAATTCTACCACAGGGACGATGATGAGTTGGTGCCATTTCTACAGAAACTATTCCAAAAAATTAAAAAGGAGGGACTCCTCCCTAACTCATTCTATAAGGCCTGCATCATCCTGATACCAAAACCTGGAAGAGATACAACAAAAAAAGAAAACTTCAGGCCAATATCCTTGATAAACATCAATGCAAAAGTCCTCAATAAAATACTGGCAAACCAAATCCAGCAGCACATCAAAAAGCTTATCTGTCATGACCAAGTAGGCTCCATCCCATGTGTTAATCTTTTTTCACACTGCTATAAAGAACGGCCCGAGACTAGGTAATTTATAAAGAAAAGAAGTTTAATTGACTCAGTTCCATGTGGCTGGGGGAGGCCTCAGGAAACTTACAATCATGGCAGAAGTCAAAGCAGGCACCTTCTTCACAAGGTGGCAGGAGGGAGTGAGTGAATGAATGAAGGGGGAAGAGGCCCTTATAAAACCATAAGATCTTGGTCAGAAGCAATGGCTCACATCTGTAATCCCAGCACATTGGGAGGCTGAGGTGGGTGGATTACTTGAAGTCAAGAGTTCAAGACCAGCCTGGCCAACATAGTGAAACCCCATCTGTACTAAAAATACAAAAATTAGCTGGGTGTGGTGACATGCACCTGTAATCCCAGCTACTCCAGAGGCTGAGACATGAGAATCGCTTGAACCTGGGAGGTGGATGTCACAGCGAGCCAAGATTGAGCCACTGCACTACTGCCTGGGTGACAGAGCAAGATCCCACCTCATAAATAAGTAAATAAATGAAACCATCAGATCTCATGAGAACTCACTATCACGAGAACAGCATGGGGGAAACCACCCCCATGATTCAGTTACCACCACCTGGACTCTACCTTGACACATGGGGATTATGAGGTTTATAATTCAAGATGAAATTTGGGTGGGAACACAAAGCCTAACCATTCCACCCCTGGCCCCTCCCAAATATCATGTCCTCACTTTTCAAAACACAATCAAGCCTTTCCAACAGCCCCCCAAAGTCTCATCTGAGATAAGGCAAGTCCCTGCTGCCTATGAGCCTGTAAAATCAAAAGCAAGTTAGTTATTTCATAGATGCAATAAGGGTATAGGCATTGGGTAAATACACCGATTTCCATTGGGAGAAATTGGCCAAAATGAAGGGGCTACAGGCCCCATGCAAGTCTGAAATCCAGCAGGGCAGCTAAATCTTAAAGTTCTGAAGTGATCTCCTTTGACTCCATGTCTCACATTCAGGTCACACTGGTGCAAGAGGTGGGCTCCCAGGGCCTTGAGCAGCTCTGCCCCTGTGGCTTTGCAGGGTACAGCTCCCTTCCCAGCTGATTTCACAGGCTGGCATTGAGTGTCTATGGCTTTTTTAGGTACATGGTGTAAGCTGTCAGTGGATCTACCATTCTGGGGTCTGGAGGAAGGTAGCCCTCTTATCACAGCTCCTCTAGGCAGTGCCCCAATGGGGACTCAGTGTGGGCATTTCCCTTCCACACTGCCCTAGCAGAGGTGCTCCAGGCTCCACCGCTGCAGCAGACTTCTGCCTGGACATCCCGGCATTTGCATACATTCTGTGTAATCTAGGTGAAGGTTCCCAACCCTCATTTCTTCACTTCTGTGCACCTACAGGCCCAATACCACATGTAAGCCACCAAGGCTTGGGGCTCGTACTCTCTGAAACAATGGCCTGATCTGTACATTGGCCCCTTTTAGCCACGGCTGGGGTGTGGGCACCAAGAGACTTCACAAAGCAGCAAGGCCCTGGGCCCAGCCCACGAAACCATTTTCTCCTCCTAGCTTTCTGGGCCTGCAGTGGGAGGGCTTGCTGTGAAGACTTCTGACATGCCGTGAAGACATTTTCCCCATTGTCTTGGCAATTAACATTTGGCTCCTTATTACTTATGCAAATTTCTGCAGCTGAGTTTTTGTTTTCTATTGCTCCGTCAGACTGGAAATTTTCCAAACATTTATGCTCTGCTTTCCTTTTAAACATAAGTTCCAATTCCAGACCATCTCTTTGTGAATTATGGGGATTATAATTCAAGATGAGATTTGGGTGGGGACACAAAGCCTAATGATGTCACCCGAGATGCAAGGGTGGTTCAGCGTAGGCAAATCAATAAATGTGATTCTTCACATAAACAGAACTAAAGACAAAAACCATATGATTATCTCAATAGATGCAGAAATGGCCTTCGATAAAATTCAGCACCCCTTCATGTTGAAAACTCTCAATAAACTAGATATTGAAGGAACATACCTCAAAATAATAAGAGCCATATATATGACAGACCCACAGCCAATACCATTCTGAATGGGCAAAAGCTGGAAGCATTCCCCTTGAAAATAGGCACAAGACAAGGATGCCCTCTCTCACCACTCCTATTCGCCATAGTATTGGAAGTTCTAGCCAGGGCAGTCAGGCAAGAGAAAGAAATAAAGGGTATTCAAATAGGAAGAGAGGAACTCAAACTGTCTTTGTTTGCAGATGACATGATTCTATATCTAGAAAACCCCATTGTCCCAGCCCAAAAGCTTATTAATCTGATAAGCAGCTTCAGCAAAATCTCAGGATACAAAATCATTGTACAAAAATCACTAGCATTCCTATACACCAGTAGCAGGTAACCAGAGAGCCAAATCATGAATGAACTCCCATTCACAATTGACAAAAAAAGAATAAAATAGGAATATGGGCTAACAAGGGAAGGCAGGATCTCTTCAAGGAGAACTACAAACCACTGCTCAAAGAAATCAGAGATGACCCAAACAAATGGAAAAACATTGCATGCTCATGGATGGGAAGAATGAATATCATTAAAATGGCTGTACTGCCCAAAGCAATTTATAGATTCAATTCTATTCCCATTAAACTACCATTGACATTCTTCACAGAATTAGAAAAAACTATTTTAAAATTCATATGGAACCAAAACCATTTAAAATTCATATGGAACCTGAATATTCATGACAATTCTAAGCAAAAAGAAAAAAGCTGGAGACATCACACTACCTGACTTCAAACTATACTACAATGCTACTTGTAACCAAAACAGCCTGATATTGATACAAGAACAGACAGACCAATGGAACAGAATAGAGAATCCAGAAATAAGACCACATACCTACAACCATATGATCTTAGATAAACCTGACAAAAACAATGGGGAAAGGATTCCCTATTTAGTAAGTGGTGCTGGGAGAACTGGTTAGCCATATGCAGAAAACTGAAACTGGACCCCTTCCTTACACCATATAAAAAATAAAATCAACTCAAGATGAATTAAAGACTTAAATGTAAAACCCAAAATTATAAAAACCCTAGAAGAAAATCTAGGCAATACCATTCAGGACCATAGGCATGGGCAAAGATTTCATGACGAAGATGTCAAAAGCAATTGCACCAAAAGTAAAATTGATGAATTGGATCTAATTAAACTAAAGAGCTTCTGCACAGCAAAAGAAACTGTCATCAGAGTGAACAGACAACCTATGGAATGGGAGAAAAATTTTTGCAATCTATCCATCTGACAAAGGTCTAACATTCAGCATCTACAAGGAACTTAAACAAATTTACAAGAAAACAAAAGCCACCCCAGTAAAAAGTGGACAAAGGATGAATAGACACTTCTCAAAAGAAGACATACATGTGGCCAACCAGCATATGAAAAAGAGCTTGACGTTACTGATCATTAGAGAAATGCAAATCAAAACCATAATGAGATACCATCTCACACCAGTCAGAATGGCTATTATTAAAAAGTCAAAAAACAACAGATGCTGGCAAGGTTGTGGAGAAAAAGGAACACTTCTACATTGTTGGTGGGAGTGCAAATTAGTTCAACCATTGTGGAAGACAGTGTGGTGATTCCTCAAAAACCTAGAAGCAGAAATACCATTTGACCCAGCAATCTCATTACTAGGTATATACACAAAGGAATATATATCATTCCCTTATAAAAATACACGCACATGTGTGTTCATTGCAGCACTGTTCACAATAGCAAAGACATGGAACCAATCTAAATGCCATTCAGTGATAGACCGAATAAAGAAAATGTGGTACGTATACCCCCATGGAATACTATGCAGTCATTAAAAGGAACAAGATTATGTCCTTTGCAGGGGCATGGATGGAGCTGGAAGCCATCATTCTCAGCAAACTAATGCAGGAACAGAAAACCAAACATCACATATTCTCATTTATAAAGTGGGAGCCGAATGATGAGAACTCATGGACACATGTGGGGAAACTGGGGAAACAACACACACTGGGGCCTGCAGGAGAATGGGGGTGGGAGGAGGGAGACCATCAGGAAAAATAGCTAATGGATGCTGGGCTTAATACCTAGGTGATGGGATGATCTGTGCAGCAAACCACCATGACACAGGTTTAGCTATGTAACCTGCACATCCTGCGCATGTACCCCTGAACTTAAAAGTTAGAAAAAGGTAAAAATTAAAGAAAACCTGTACATCAAAACTTACTGAATGTAATGAAAGCAGCGCTCAGAGGGAAATTTATAGCTGTAAAAGCCTACATTATAAAAGATCTAAGACTAAACACACAGAGTAGACTAAACACAGAAAACAAAAGGAAAGAAATAATAAAGATTACATTTAAGATTAACAGAGAATAGGAAAACAGTAGAATGAATGAAACCCAAAAGTTGGGTCCTTTGGTAAGATCAACAAAATTGACAAATTTTTAACGACTGGTCAAGAAAAAAAGAGAAGACTCAAATTACCAAAATTAGGAAGAAAAATGATGACATTACTGTTATTACAGAATTAAGAAGGATTATAGACAAATACTATGAACAATTTTAATGCCAACAGATTAGATAATTTAGATGAAATGTACCAGTTCCTAGAGTGAATGTAATGAAATGCACCAATTCCTAGAAACTCGTAAAGTACCTGAGGAAGTTGAAAATCTGAATTGACCTATATCAAGTAAAGAGGTTGAACCCATAATAAAAAAAAAAAAATCCAACAATAAAAGCCGAGGGCCAGTGGCTTCACTGGTGATTCTATCAAACAACTAAAGAAGAATTAATGTGAATCCTCACACTCTCCCAAAAATTAAAAGAATAAATATTCTATGAGGTAAGCATTACCCTGATACCAAAGTCAGACACATATTTCATAAGAAAAGTAGAGGCCAAGATCTCTTCGGAATATAGATAAAAATTCTTCAGCAAAAATACTAGCCAACAAAATCCAGCAGCATTTTTTTAAAAGAATTATATACCATGACCAAGCAGGATTTATTCCAAGAATGCAAAGGTGTTTCAGCATACGAAGATCAATGTAATGTACCATTTTAGTAGAATGAAGGGGAAAAAAGCTCAGTAGACACGCACAAAAAGTGACAAAATCTTATACCCTTTCATGAGAAAAATGCTCAACATGTAGGAAAATAAGAGAACTTCAGTCTTATAAAAGGAATCTATAAAAAACCCACAGCAACATCATACTCAGTGGTGAAAGAGAAAACTTTCCTCCCAGTAGCAGGAACAAGATAAATGATGTCTACTGTTGCCACTTCTGTTCAACATTGTACTGGAAATTCTAGCCAGAAGAATTGGGCAAGAAAAATAAAAGGCATCCAGATGGCAAAGGAAGAAGTAAGACTATCTCTGTTTACACATGACATGTTAATCACAAAAAATCCTAAAAAATCCATGAAATAATTGTTAAAGCTAATAGACAAATTTTAGCAAAGTTGCAAGATACAAGCTCACCACACAAAAATCAGTTGCATTTCTATACACTAGCAGTGAACAACCCAAAAAGGTAACTATGAAAACAATTCAGTTTACAATAGCATCAAAAAATAGAATACTTATGAATAAATTTAACCGCAGTAGTGCAAGACTTGTATGCTGAAAACTACAAAACGTTGCTGAAAGAAATTAAAGAAGATCTAACTAAGCAAAAGACTTCCTGTGCTCATGGATTAGAAGACATAATATTGTTAAGATGGCAATACTCTTGAAGTCGTTTTACAGATTTAGTGTAACATCTATTAAAATTCCAATGATCTTTTTTGCAGAAATGGACAAACATACCAAAACACATATATGAATTTTCAGAGGATCCCAAATAGTTAAAACAATCTTGAAAAAAAAAAAAAAAGAACAAAGGTGGAAGACTCACAACTCCTGATTTCAAAACTTACTGCAAAGTATAGCAATCAAAACAATGTGGTACTGGAATAAGGGTAGACATGTAAATCCATGGAATAGAGTTGAGAGTCCAGAAATAAACCCATACATCCATGGTCAACTGATTTCCAACAAGGGTGCCAAGACCATTCAGTGGGGAAAGAACAGCCACTTTACATATGGTGCTGGTATAACTGGATATCTACATGCAAAAGAATGAAGTTGGGCCCCAACCTCATACCACATACAAAAATGAACTCCAGATGGATCAGAGACCTAAATGTAAGTGCTTAAACTATAAAACTCTTAGAAGAAAACAGTTGAGGAGTTCAGTTGTATAATAACTGATCTCTTACAGCACTTATGCTACAGAGTGGTGGACTTCAGTGGCTAGACGCTCCTTTCAGTGAAGGTTGTCTTTTGATCAATCTGTCTCTAATGCTTTGCACAGTTGGTGGTCAGTAAGAAGTCTGTTGGTCAAATATGAATAGGAGAGATAATGACAATTTCAGCTACACTGAAGTTTAGCAAAAAGATTTTAGATTGTCAGAATTTTTTTTTTTTTTTTTCTTCATTGCATGTTTGGTCACTGCAAGTGTGTTTCCTCCCTGGGCCTTTTCTTTTGCCAAAATGGAGTTTATGGGGCATGTGAAGATGTTCTCCCCAGCTACAGGTAGTTGTCATTTGTGTATCTGATAACGTAGGCTTGAAAACAGTGACTTTCAATTTGACTGTTTTACACCTGACAAAATGGATTTATAGCCTGTTTTTAAAAATTAAGTTATTTCTTAATTATGTAATATTTGGAACTTAAGGTCTAGATCCCGCCTCAGTTTGAATACCTCTAACGGCCTGGAGCTCAGTGTCTTCCCAGGCAACTATCGGTGAACTGCTCTATTGAAAGTTAAAAAAGTCTTTCTCAGGTTGATCAGAAAATCTTTTCCTCTTGGTGTCTGCTTGTTTTGCCGATGGAATCACACCAAACAATTGATATATTTGAAGTAACAATGCTGTCTCTCTCAACAATGCTGTCTCCCTTTTTTCTAACCCAAGGTATATATTATTTACCACAGCATTTTAATCTGCCATACAGTATACTTCTGGGTGGCTTATGCCACTGACAGTTTCTGTGACTTCTAGGGATGCAAATGAATATCAATATTTTTAAAAGTAAACTACCAATCAAGCTGACTTTTACACAGCTGCTTTTATAGGGGGATGTTGAAATTTTCCACCTGCTCCAAAATGTATTTCCCACTAGATAGTACAACTTTCACATCTTTCATTTGGGTTAAATGTTGAGTTTCTTGGTAAAGTGCAAGCACGTGATACAGGCTGGCCACCTCTTTCTCCTATTAACACTATGTGGCCATAAGATATAGGATGGGAGGGTTTTGAATGGGAGGAATAACACAGAAATACTGGAATAGAAGCCCTTATGAGTGGGTAGGACATGCTACCCCCTCTACTTACTAGAGATGTAGGGAGAAGAGAGGCACCTTGGGAAGGTACCTTACCTCCTTTACAAGTTTTCTCCAAGCTAATGCTGGCATAGTAAAACTCTGAAAACAAGTCTTTTGCTACAAAAGAGTAGATATGATGCGTTCCATTCCAAAGCTAAATCGAATCATTTGAAGAAATAATTTCTGTTTGAGATCATCTGCATAACTATGTGTCCACCTTGACTTACGGCATATTCCTGTTTATCCTTTGAAATGAACATGCTACAGGAGGACTTTTCCAACCCAGATCTCACTTCATCCCAGGTTATGAAGAACTCTCTCCTTTATGCCGTTTCTGCTTCCTATGCATACTTTTTTTTGTTGTGCCCTTTCACTGTATTGTATTTATTTGTCCACTGGACTCTGATTCCTTGAAGATCTAGACTGTGTCTCATTCTTCTCTGTATTCTCAGTGCCTGGATAATGGCCATCAGTGTCTGGCATACATATAGTAAGTATATGATACATGCTTGGTGAACAGACATATATTTAGGCAAGAGTTGAGGAATGGGGAAACAAAGGCGAGTGAGAAATTAAGTGTCCCTACTTGTTTCTGGGGCAGGTGACAGTCATCTGCACATAATTCTAACATAGATTCACATATGATCCTGGGACAACTGTTAATAGATACCCACATACAAAAGGATAAAGTTGGACTCCAACTTCACACCATTTTGAGTTAAAAAATTTAACTCAAAATGGACCAAAGACCTAAACTTAAGAGTCAAAATGATAAAACTCTTAGAAGAAGACACTTGGGAAGTTTAGTTGCATACTAACTGCTGTCTTATGGTACTTACTATGCTATAGTGTAGTGGACTTCAGTATAGAATCCAAGTACTGTGGAGTTTGGTTTGGGTTATAAACTCAATGTCATAAAGACAAAAATCATGTGTTCTTTAAACCTCTGAAATCACTAGGATTTAGGCCTTTGAAAGCTCAAATGTAATGGATTAAAGGAGAGACTACATTTAATTTTGACTCTGTACATAGAGATCTAATGCACTGCTGTGCATTTTTGTAAGTACTTCAATATTTGTGCTTGATGTAGATTGAAGAGAGGTTTGGGTCTAATAAAAAGAAAAATCTGTTTGTTGTAAAGGTGATTTAACATTGTATCCACCCTATTAAGGATAGTGAAGTATCTACATCTCTCTAAGCATGTTCAAAATAGCCACTGGTTCTGCCTCCTTTTGGCAGGGTCTAGTTTGGAAACAAAATCTTGAACCAAATATCCTCTCTGGAGCACTGTCTTTTGGCAGAATTTCTATTCAGAATGTATTTTGTTAATAAATTAACTCATTTTCTATTGTAGCTGCCCAAGGGAATTCTTTCCTGGTGAGTGGCTTAGAAAGCAAAAAGATATTGTCATCCTTTTTCCTTACCTATATATGGACTAATTTTGACTACTCGTTTTTTATTTATTCTTTTTTAGGAAGCTAAACTCCAAGGTGGAAAGGAGTCAGAGCTGTAGTGACACAGCCCAGGAAAGAGCGAAGAGCAGAGTCAGAGCAGTTCCAGGCAACAAAGCCAAGGTACACCTCAGCCACAGACCTCCGGGGCTTGTGAGGCTTGCCCCATCACCCCCTCTGCACATGGTCATGAAATAAACTATTCCAGAAGAGAAGAAGCAGAATGAGCCCAGGCATACTAGTTATATTGGAGAAGTCCACAAACAGATGTGAAGGAAGAAAGTTTGAATTAGTAGCCAGATGGGTAGAATTAGGGCTACTAGAGAATCCCCCCTTCTTTTTTTTTAAGAGACAGAGTCTCACTCTGTTACCTAGGCTGGTGTGCAGTGGTGCAACCATAGCTCACTGAAGCCTCAGACTCCTGGGCTCAAGTAGCCTTTCTCACCTCAGCCTCCCAAGTAGCTGGGACTACAGGCACATGCCACCATACCTGGGGAATTTTTAAATTTTTTTGTAGAGATGGGATCTTGCTATGTTTTCCAGGCTGGTCTCAAAGTAATACACCTGTCTCAGCTTCCCAAAATGCTGGGATTACAGCACTTTGGGAGGTATAAGCCACCATGCCTGGACAAGAAACCTTTTTTAAAGCTTTAGATAAGTGTTTTTTCTCCCCTACAGATTTTCAGTTTTATGAATTGTTTGAAGTATATAGGATTTTCTGCTAAATGGTATGCTTTCTAAGTTAGGGATTTTCTCCATTTCTTAGGCTCACATTACCCTTCATCCCTTTTCTTGTCCTCCCCTTCCCTGTGCCTCCACCATCATAAAGGAATGATGAAGGAAAATGTATATGTATGTGTGTATGAAGGCATAATCTTTTTAATCTCTTTCAGGTCACAACTATGACTCCAGCCTCCAACCCCATCATTGGTGTCCTCTTGTCAACTCAAAACAACCGCTGCGTCTCGGCCCCTGACTTAACCATCGAAAAGCGTCTACCCTTCAGCTCCCTTTCATCCTTGGCTTCCCTGCATAAGCCAGAGCGTTCTGTCAGCCCTGAGAGCAATGACAGCATCTCCGAAGAACTAAACCATTTCAAGCCCATTGTCTGCTCACCATGTACTCCTCCCAAGAGACTCCCTGATGGCCGTGTGCTAAGTCCTCTCATCATCAAATCAACTCCACGCAACCTAAACAGAAGCCTGCAGAAGCAGACTTCTTATGAGGCCAGTCCACGGATCCTCAAAAAGTGGGAACAGATCTTTCAGGAGCGGCAGATCAAAAAGACCCTTTCAAAAGCCACTCTTACCTCTCTGGCTCCTGAAATGGGGGAAGAGTTACTAGGCTCTGAAGGTATCCATTCTAGCAAGGAGAAGCCACTTGTGGCTGTAAATACAAGATTATCTGGTGGGCAGGTCCTCTCTGAGTATACTGGACCCACCTCTGCTGATCTTGATCATTTCCCCTCTGTTAGCCAAACAAAAGCAGAACAGGACAGTGATAATAAAAGTAGCACTGAGATCCCACTGGAAACCTGCTGTTCCTCAGAACTCAAAGGGGGAGGCAGTGGGACTTCTTTGGAGAGGGAGCAGTTTGAGGGGTTAGGGTCAACTCCAGATGCCAAGTTAGACAAAACCTGTATAAGCAGAGCCATGAAAATCACCACAGTTAATTCAGTGCTACCCCAAAACAGTGTTTTGGGTGGAGTCCTCAAAACAAAGCAACAATTGAAGACATTAAATCATTTTGATCTGACTAATGGTGTTCTAGTTGAGAGCCTAAGTGAAGAGCCACTTCCTTCTTTGCGTCGAGGCCGGAAAAGACACTGCAAGACCAAGCACTTAGAACAAAATGGCTCCCTTAAAAAACTGCGACAAACCAGTGGGGAGGTGGGTCTGGCCCCAACAGACCCAGTCCTGCGAGAGATGGAGCAGAAGCTTCAGCAAGAGGAAGAAGACCGACAGTTGGCTCTGCAGTTGCAGCGCATGTTCGACAATGAGAGGCGGACTGTGAGCCGGCGAAAAGGAAGTGTGGATCAGTATCTCCTACGGTCCAGCAACATGGCCGGGGCCAAGTAGCACCTAATGAAGTGTTACCTATTTTTAAAAGGTCTTAGGCCTTGATCATTTATCCTGAAGAGCTGAGTGTTCTCACTTTGGTTTTATTTTAATGGCAAAACACTGTCTAATATGGTTCTGAGAGGTTCCAGGGCCTTTGTAGTCAATATCCAAGGGAAAAGCATCTCCGTTTCTCTGTGACCCAGGCCAGAAGCCTGAGTGACCCATCCCTAAGGGCTTCTGGGCCAAACCTGGCAGCACCCACTGGGAATGAGATTTGGAACGGCCTCAGGAGCATAATGGCCACAGTTAGTAATGGTAAAGAGGGGATACCTTCTTAAACTGATAGACTTCCTGACTTCTTTCAGCAGGGTATTGTTTTAAATCAGCCTTGCAGATAAAAATTAATTCCATCTTTTTCAGACAAGTGAACAATTTAGTTCCTTGGCAGATCCAAAATGATAGATGGTTATGTTACGCTTTCTGCTGTCCCTTGCCAAAAATAAGTAAATATATCAGTTAAGATTATGCCTTTACAAAAGTTAATTTACATTCTCTGTTTAAAAAATAATATTTGGTGAATGCTATATAGTTGACAGAGCACATTTACAGACCTTATTAATTTAGTCTTTCCAAGAGACCTCTCATGTAACTGGCATTAGCCCCATTTTTAGATGATGAAACTGCAGTGCAGATGTTCTGGTTCTCTCAACTACCAAGTGGCATAACCCATGGATTTTCTAAAGGTTTCCCAAATAGATCACAACCTAAGGGTGTGCCAGGGGAGCCTAGGGGAAGCTAGGCTGGGCATTGAACACTGATAGTGCAGAATCCACATGCAAACAAGATCGACAGGGTGGATAAACATATATGTGCATTATCCCCATCCCCCACAGTTTAGAGCCTTCTGCTTTTCTGGGGGTTTCAGCCTATGAGACAAACTATAATCAGGCTTCATTATTACTTTTCAAATGGCCAAGGGTTATCTGCAATGTTGATCTAAAATCCTAAAAAATCACCCTGAAGTCAGGCAAGGAACAATACTTAAACTCCATACTATGGAAACAAGGTATCTAGCTGGATGCAGCTGGTAAATTCAGTCCCATGGACCTTTGGGGGTTTATTTTCCTTAGCAGCTGACACCATGTGTCTTTTGCATCCCTGGTGGTGCTTGGTGCTTCTGCCCATCTGGGCTCATTGAGAATAGGGATGAAGATATGATTTTAGGGAATTTCTGATGGGCTGGCATGCCCCATGTAGTATGAGTTACTATATAAAGTCATGTGACTGGCATTTTAACAGACCTTCCAGAGCTTATATATCCCAATATATGTTGTTTCCTTTGAGTAGCCCCAGCAGGATACTGCTTAGTTTTTCCAGTGCCATTGGTGAAAGCATTTCTGGAACTGTCTTCAAAGACTAGAAACACTGACTCCCAAAATGCTAGAACTGGAAGGGACCTTAATGGTTATCTATTCCAGCCTCCTCCTAAGGTCCTCCTCAGCTTCTAGACCTAGAAGCCAAAGTCCAGAACAGTGACCCATTGATCAAGGCAGATAGTATAACTCCTTTTAAGTGTTCTCAGATTTGCCTTTTCTCAGGGCAAATCTTCAGTGTTTTGTGGTTATTTGTGGTTGAGAGAGAGAGAGAATGTAATGTCTGAGACTAGCCAGCAGCTATTTGAAGCCTCTGGGAAAGAAGGTGGCTTATCAAGTGGGTTTGTAGTAATGAGTGCTGCTGTAAAGCAGAGCCATTTTCTTGTGCAGCTCATAGTTCCCAAACAGTTCCCAAACAGAAATTCCAGAGATGTCTTAAACATTGTGGTCATCATTGAGATAGGTGGAATCTCTTTGGTGACTACGTTGGTGGGGAACATCACTCACCTGAATGTATGCATTCTGTGTTCTCTGTGTGTGTGCACATATGCAGATGTATGTTTTAAAAACATTTACCAAACTCATGATTTTGTAGTCACACCACTTCAGTTCTGGGCCCTACCAACAATTTATGTCCTCCAAGAGCTGCTGGAGGGCATGTTTGTGCCCAAAACAGAAGAGCTGGCTCTGGTTTACAGAAGACAGGGAGGGTGACCTTACTATAAATGCCCTTAGAGGAAACTTATCAGTTACTGCCATTTCACGCATTTCCTTTTTGATCTTAGTAAATATTATTGGAAGGCTAGTCTTGTTGGTAGGAGCAAAGACACTTATTTTTCCACTTGCCATCTTTCTCTATATCTCCAGTAATTTGAAAAACACTTTTCAGTTGGAATTGATTTTTGTCTTTGGTAAAAAGAAATATTTTTAATAGATAAAAGATATATATTTTAAATATTTCCCCAAATTAATACTTTCATTTTAAGAATTGCATAGCAGTTGTAACAAGTGCAGAATGAAGAACAAATTCTTGTTAAGCAAATAGTCCAAACTCTAGGTCCAGCTTACTGCCTTCCCCCCTTGTACCTACAGTGATGCCTAGGATGGTATTGACAGTTGTTTTCTAAACTTCCTGCTGAGCAACAGTCCTTCAAATATAGGTAGAGTGGTCTAGGTTAAGGAGGGAGGAGGGTTGATCTTTAATCAGGTTGGCTTTGGAGGAAGGAAAAACCACTAAGGTATTATCTGAATTTTAAGATGCTTCCCATCCTTAATAACTAAAACCTGAATGCTTTTCTTTCTGAAAAATCTCCCTCTCTCCTTCCATGATTCTGAAGTTGGTTAAAAGTCGATATGTTGATGTGTATTATTTGGGGGAACAGAAAAGGACAAGGAAGGAAACAGAACGATGGGAAGGGTTTGTGAGCTAGAATAAGAGGTGCAGGATTTCACAAAACAAATTCCTCACAAATCATTGAAGCCCAGTTCACCATACAAATTACCCATGTCTTACTCTGTTCCTTGTATATATGCATTCTGGGTTTTTTTATTATTAAAGGGGAAGTTAGGGGGGAGGGTGAAGGTCAGTCTGAGGGGAAATCCAGGAAATGTGGTGCCCTTAGAAGGGGGCTGTCAGCTCTTTTCCATAGAGAGGGAAAGAAACTTTGAGAAAATGTTCTTGACCCATTGATTGTATCTGCTGGAAGAAGTCATCTGGGCCTGTTGGGTTGGTATCAGATCAGGGGATTATGCATCCAGCCCCTGGCCCCTTTAATCTATTTGCCTCTTTTTAAAAAAGGTTAAGTCTTCTTGGGTGAGGCTTGCCAGGGAAACTCCTAAGTGGCTTCACTTATTTTTTAAATTTTAATTTAATTTTTAAATTTTTGCTTGGAAGCAGCACTGGTAATAAATGTTTTATTTTTTGTTCATTTTCCCTAAAGGAAAAATGTCCTTAAGAGATTAAAGCTCTTAATTGATTACTGTCTGGTTACAAACTGGCAAACTGACTAAAATGGGAAGCTGCCACCGTGCCTGACTCATGTAGCTGATGACCGAAGGCTCATCCTTTCTTTTCTATTTGACAGACATTTACTGAGCTTCAGACTTGAGCCAACCCTGAGCTGGACTGTGGAGATAAAGCAGTTCCTGCTCTTGAGGAGCTCAATGTCTAATGGAATGCATTTGAATGTATGTGTGGCTGGAGAGTTCATTTATGGTCTTAGGAAAGCCATTTCTGGTCCCATTTAGAAAACTGACCAGCACCCAGCAAGCTGCATTCTACATTTTAGAGACCCCATTGGTATTTGTGAATTTGATTGCACCACCGCTTTTCCTTTACTAAGTAATGTTATGGAAGGAGAATGAATTTTCTCCTCTAGTGATTACAGGACATTAACATCTCTTCAGAAGCTGCTTTTAGCTTAAGCCCCAAGAAGTGAGGTGGGTTGTGGATCACTGACATGGTCAGGGGAGGCCCACACCTCAATTCAGTAACCACCTAATCTCTCCCCCAACCTGATCTCTCATCAGAGCTGGCAGCAACTTGGGATTCCTTTCCTTTTTCCTGCCTAACTTTTCATTGAAATGTCTAGTAGGAGAGTGAGAAAAGAGAACAAAGGCTGGGTCACAGTCATAGAATGTTACAGCTGGAATGGGCATGGAAATCATCCAAGTTAAACTTCTTCTCTGCCCCCCGCCCCCACTTTTTTTTTTTTTTTTTTTTAACCAAACGAACTTGTGATCCAGTGCCCTATTTTATAGTGTGGTTTTCCAGGGTCTGAATAAATAATCATTAAAGTTTGACACACGCAGACACACGCACCAATGATGGGGATACCCCCAAATGATTTAGGAGGTTATTTTATTTTAATAGTTTTTTCTTCCTGATTTTTTTCAGTTAGTTAGAGTTAAATGTACCTATAGCCCCTGAATACATGCTCAGGTAGAGAAAGTCTCCATAGTATAAGTAAGTAATATGAATGTGGAATCTTGGAAAGTGATATATTTTGATTGGAATAATTTTAATTAAATTTAATGATTTTAATTAAGAATTAAAAGCCAGCTAGCCAAATTTTCTTTAAAAATTGGAAACTCATTATGGTCTTAAATTGTCCTCAGGCAGCCTTTTCCTCATCAACCCATAGAGTGGTCTTTTGAACTGGTATCTAAACATACCTGGTTATGAATTCTCAAAAGAGAAAGCAGGTCTGGGGCGGGGTGGTCAGGAGACAGATTCTAGGGAAAGTGCTGAAGAGATTTTCTTCTGAAGATGATCTAGGAAATGCATCTTTATACATGATTGTTAGCTGCTGTAGCTTTCTGAAGAAGATTGTAGAAAAGAGACTAAGATATATGCAAGGGTCACCAGTTTAGAGATCAGTCAAATTGGAAAAAGTGCCAAGACTGGATGTGCAGATTGTTCTATGTATTATCAGTATTTTTTTCCTCTTAAGAAAAAAATTTACTCTCTCTCCTTTGTGAGTAAATGCCTCCTTAATGCCTTTTAAGTAAGGTGGCAACTTTTAACTGTCATCTTGTGAGAGGCAACCTCAAACTCTAAGCAGACTCCCTCTCTCCCTTTCTGGTGTCTTAAATCAAGAACTAGTTTGAAGCCAAGGCAAAGCAAGGTTTGTTCATCTTCCTTTCCTGTCATTTAAGGTAAAACAGGCAATGAACTCGCTCTTCAAATACCATAGTTCAAGAGTAGCTGTTGGCCCTGGTTCCAGATTAATATAGCAGCAGGCAGATTGCCCCTTCTTGGGGCCACCACCCTCCAAAGCTGTGCCACCAATGAGAGCATTGGGTTCAAGTTTGCATCAAACATGGTATTACCAACGCTGAGCCTCCAGCAGAGCACTTAAAAGTCCTAGTGAGAGAATAGATACTATGCAAGGGAAAAAAATTTAAATGCCAACGAATAGTTTTTTTTTTTTTGAACCTGATACACTGTTTGTTTACTCTCAACTCTTTGTACAAATATTATTGTCCTAAGGGCCTTTTCCCCTCCTGCCTAGAAAATAGGTTGTGTATTGGTTTTATTCAACCTGCTGTCTGCTTTAGGATTGGAGAAGGTACCTGGATCCTTGTGGACTGCCACTGCTGGCTGCCTCCTCTCCAACTCATCAGAAGAGCATTTTGACAAAGACAGAGGACTTGGACCAGGGCATGCCCTGTTGGGGATGTTTCTGTCAGCAAGGACATGGCATGGAATCAAGTGGGCTGATGTGTTGTTATTTAAACAGTACCAAAGTGCATTCTTCAATGTATGTTTGCCTGCTTGAAGCAAGGCCCAAGTTGAGAATACAGTAAAGGAAACTCATGAAAGTGGATGTTCTGTTTATAGTCAGAGTCTTGTCTCTGGTGAACAATCTCAGACAAAAACATGGGTTAAGCTTAGGCTGTGTGTGGATTTTTGGTGCTGTATGTGCTCTGGGAGATGCCCCATGTTGGATGTCTTGCTTTGGCATTCAGAATGGCAGTAGAGATTAGGAGCAGGGATGGGGTTTCCATGGTGTACAACTACGTCTTTTGGCATAAGTTATGTCCAGTTTACAGTTTGCTCCAATTTACTGTCATGTTCACATTCAACCATTCATGCTCCTAATGAAGGAACCAAGAAAGAGTCTGAGTAAAGAACGAATATACAGGATGACACTGTCCCTGCACATTAGGGCTGTACTCACAAGATCTGGTTTTTAAAAATACCCTTTTTTGGAGCCATTGTTCAGGAATTTGTTAAGATCCCCTTGGTGTCAGTTTCTCATACAACAGAGAACAAATGTATCCCTGTTGCATCTGAACTGGAAAACCATTTTTAGAGGGAAGTGTGACAATGCTGCTGTGGCCTGGGTTCCAAGAAAGAATGCATGTGGCACCCAGTCTATTGCCCTGTGCACCCACTCTTTATTGCCGCTGGGCCAGGCACCAGGTCATGCCTGGGCCAAGGAGGGGAGATCCTGACAAGGGGATGCCACCTTGTGGCCAGCAAGTGGGGCCCAGCTGAGCTCTGAGGCCTGTGGCCGGCTGGTCAACCTTGAGGTGCGGTCCAGGGCACAGAGCCCTCGGGGAGAGCTGGGGCACAGGCCGGGTGGTGCACACAGCCCCCATGCACAGCTCTAGCCTTGTGAGTCACTGGCTGTGGGCTCCTGGCAGAACTCATCCATGAACTCGAGGAAGTGGCCGAACTTGGGCTGGCTCTCACTCAGCGCTGGGCAGGCCATGGGGAGCGGGGTAGTCCCGAACACTGTGCGCAGAGAGCCACTCACCAGCTGCCGGTAACGTGCCTGGAACTCCTTCAACAGCCTCTTGGCCTCCAGGTACTGCTTGTGGTTCACCAGCCGCCGTTCTGTCCACTGGTGCAGGACAGCACCTGCAGGAAAAGAAGCCAGGAGAGGCACCAAGCTCATCCTGGTTCTCACCTAGCCAGAAGCAAGAGGATTGGGTCCAGAGACCCTTGGAAAATGGGATGGTGTGGCAGGAGGATGCTAAGGGGCTAAAAATGGCCTTTCCAGCTTGGGAAGTCACTGACTTCCTACTGCCCCTATGCATTGACTCTATCTTAAGCCCTGGTTCAGGACCTTAACATGCTGTGTGATTTTAGGCAACTCCCTGCCTCACGCTGGCTCTCCTTTTGTCCATCTACATGTAGAGACTGATGTAGGCAGTTGCTCTCTAAGGGCCTTTCCTGCACTGACACAAGCCCTTTCTTTGCCTTTAGCCAGCAGGCGTGAACTGGATCTGGGATCCTGGCAGCTGTGGCAGAGCCGTACCTAGTGGAGCCTCTGTAATGTTCCGGGGATCCCGCAAGCGAATGAAGATGTCATCCAGAAGTTGGGCTCTAGTCTTCTTTGGGGGTGGAATCGGGATTCTCTGGGCCTGGCAGAAGGTCATGGAGGAGGGTGTTATCCCAGGTTTATGCACAGACTTCCCTGGCCTAACTTCATACAGTCACAGCAACAGGCTGGGGGGCATCTGGGGGTGCTGGGAAAGCATGGCCCTCAGAGGGTCCCAAGGTGACAGCCACATCTGTAATTGTGGGCGGTACTCAGGGGCCATTTACACATTCAGTGAGCTGGATGTTTACCCGTTTCTCTTTGTGAACATAGGGTTTCTGAAGAGTGTCCAGCTTGGGCTTGGAGGAGTGGCACAGGAGTGGGTGCTTCAGCATTTGTTGCAGGGCTTGTGCATTCTTCTGGATTCCTAGGGCAAGAAGGCAAGACTGAGTCAAGGCACTTCCCCCTCCTCCTCCCAGATGCCTCCCCTGATTGCTTCATTCCTCAGTCTCACAGCAGCTCTAGGTAAAAGGATTTGAGAGTCCCCAAAAGAAAACACTGCCCCCAGGTTTCTTCCGGATCTGTTCCAGTGCCTGAAGTTCCATCATTCTTCAGTGAGTATTTGTCCCATATTATAATGGAAAAATAGCACAGATTGTAATGGGTAAATAGTATTGGAGTGGGGGAAAAGGCTGGCTCCAATGTGACCCCATTAACCTCAGGGGGTTATATCGCAGGGGCTAACACCCAGAACAGCCCAGCTGAATGCCAGTTGCTTTGGAAGTACTGATTAACACAGAGATGAAGCTGCCTCCTTTGCCTCCAACCAGATAGGAACGATTTTGGACGTTCAGTTTGGGAACTTAACCTGGGCTGGGAAAAGCTCAAGAATCTGGCCATTCTGGGTGTTCATTCATCACACTTTTCCTGAGGAGAGACTTTATCATCCAGAGCAGCTAGGCTGAGACCAACTAGAATCTCTGAATAAACTGTGGCTCCCCATAAGCCAGTGAAGGCCTAGGCCAGGACAGGGGTCCCAATATGTGGGGCTTCAAACAAAGGACACCCTAAAAGGAGCCCTTTGACAGGTATTTAGACAGAGGACAGCACCCTAGTTGGGAAAAGACAGCTTGGTGCCAGCCTTGGCTTGACCCTGACTTGCTCTGAGCTGTGGAGATGGCCTCTTGCCCTAGAGCAAGGATATGCCCTCACATACCCTTTGGCTCAATGAAGGCTGGATCAGGCTTGGCTGTCAGCAGTTCTTCATAGCCGTGGTACTTGCTGGGAAGGAAGGCAGTTGGGAGTTTCCTCCGAGTCCCTTTCACCTCTCTGGGTGCCGTTGGTGGTTTCTTTTGGTCTTTCTCCTTTAACTCTAAATCATCCTTATGGATGACGGAGGAAGGCAGTTCACTCACCTGTGCCCAGGAAGAAAACGCATTCATTTGTCACTCATTCATTCATTCATTCCATGAACATTCGGAGTATCATCTCTGTGCTGGTCTCTGCTGGGCCCTGTTAAGGGCAAGGGTAAGACCAAGACTGGGATGGAAGAAAGCAGATATAAAAATAGACAATTGATAAATGCTTTAACAGAGGGAATACAGTGGTTTTGGGTGATCCCAGAGGAAGCCCCAACCTAGCCAAGAAGCTCCCTTGGAGGAATGCCTTAGCCTGAGCTAAGTCTTGAAGAGCCAGGAGAGCCATCCCTACGGAGCAATGGGGAGAGGTGTGGACTGCAAGTGATGAGAAAGAATGATTGTTTCAGACAAGGAACAGCACGAGCAAAGGCGCAGAGGTAAGAAACATCAAGGTGCATTTTCGGGGAACTAAAGATTGGTACAGTTAAGTACAAAGTGAAGAGATAGGCAACTGCAGTGGTAAGCAGGACCCGGATCGGTAAGGACCATTATATGCCAAGCTGAGGGTGCGTTTTATTTTGTATTTTCTTTATGCTCACTCTGATGGCAAACCATGGAGGATTTTAGCCTATCCTAATGGCTTTATAAGAAATCTGTATGTCATGTAGGGATGTATTTATTTATTAAAATTACTCACCAGGTGGGGTGGCACATGCCTGTAGTCCTAGCTACTCAGGAGGCTGAGATGGGAGGACTGCTTGAGCTCGGGAGCTCTAGGCTGTAGTGCATTATGCTCCTCGAGTGTCCACAGTATGTTTGGCATCAATATGGTGACCTCCCAGGAGTGGGAGACCACCAGGTTGCCTAAGGAGAGATGAACTTGCCTAGGTAGAAAATGGAGCAGGTCAAAACTCGCATCCTGATCAGTAGTGGGATGGTGCCTGTGAACAGCCATTGCACTACAGCCTGGGCAACATAGTGAGACCCCACCATGTATATACGTGTGTGTATTTGTGAATATATATTATATATACACACGTATGTGTGTACATATATATGACCTATAACAAGCAAAAAAGCTGAATTAGCAATTTTTAAACTTCCCACAAAGAAAAGCCAAGGACCAGATGGTTTCACTGGTGAATGCTACCAAACATTTAAAAAAGAATTAACACCAATACTTCACAAACTCTTCCAAAAATTAAAAGAGGCTTATTCTCTGAGGTTAGTATTACCCTGAAATCCAAACTAGAGAAAGACATCACAAGAAAGGAAAAATACAAAGCAGTATCACTTATGAATATAAATGCAAACATTCTCAAAAAATATTAGCAAACTGAATTCAACAAGTAAAAGGGATTATATACTATGACCAAGTGAGATTTATCCTAGGAATGAAAGGTTGGTTTAACATCTGGAAATCAATTAATATAATATATCAAAACCATATGATCATCTCAGTAGACATAGGAAAAGCCCACTCTGTCATGATTAAAAAACACTCAAACTAGGAATAGAAAGTAACTTCCTCAACCAGATAAAGATCATCTATGGAAAACCCTCACCTAATATCATAATTAATGGTGAAAGACTGAATGCTTTCCCCTTAAGAACAGGCACAAGACAAGGAAGTCTGCTCTCACCACTTCTGTTCATCATTGTATTAAAGGTTATAGCCAGGACAATTAGGCCAGAAAAAAAAAGATTTTTTTTTTTTTTTCTGAAAACATGGTGACTCATAATTGATTGTATTGCTTTGGCCGCTAGGAGCTCAGAACTGCATTTTGTCAAAACACCTTTATTATAATAGCAGCAGTGCATGATGTGCATGTTTGAGTGACAGAATTACCCTTGTACTATTTCCTTTCCTGTCCGTATTTTCTTTTCATCTAACTCTCTCAAATTGTTTCTTTTAAAATGCTTATTTATATTCTGCATTGCTCCAAAAAGGTTCTGAGATATTTCTTTAAGATACTTTTATACTGTATAAATTTATATGTCACTATAAGTCATCTGTGGAAAAAGAAATAGATGGAGAGTTAGACCTCCATGAATGGATAGATGTACATCCTGGAAAGATCTGGCAGTGAGCAGACTGGAGGGGCAAGACTAGAGGCAGGGAGATCAGGGAGAGGGATGGTACAGTAATAAAGTTCAAGGGGGCCCTGCCAACTCTTCTAGCCTTATATTACCCTTTGCCACATGCCACCCTTCTGCTGCACTGACACTAAACATTTGTGGTTTCTGCATGTACCATTTTAATTTCCTTCCTCTATCCTGTTTCATGCTGTTTCCTCTGTCCAGAATGCCCTTGCTGCTATATCTTCACCTTTTTAATTCCTACTCAGCCTGTAAATCTCAGCTCAGTTGAGCCTCTTCCAGGAAGCCCTCCTGGGCTGGGGCAGAGGCATCTCTCCTTCCTCCAGACTCCCAGCCTCTGGGATTCCCTCAGTCTCAGCACTGATTGCATAAGCTGTTCCTGTCTATGTTCCCCATTATACTGAGAGCACCTTAAGGGCACGACCTGCATCTGATCTATGTTCCCAGGATCCAGAGGCAGCATCAAAAGTGAGGAGACCTGAAGCAGAGAGGTACAGGCAGCAGCAAACCCCTCTGAAAAACTAGTTGGAATCACACCCCAGTCAGACCCCAGATCTTGACTGTGCCACAGAACCATGACTTATCCCCATGGGTGTCCCTATCAGGTATCCCTATCAGTGTCCTCAGACCAGAGATCTCCCAGAAGAGGCTTGCAAGCTCCACCAAGGGTGCTGACTTCTTGTTTCCAGACCTGCCATGTGCTTGTTGCTCCCAGCTGTCCACAGCAATCGAGCCTAAGGGCTGCACAGGAACCTGTGGGAGCTAGCAACAAGTGGGCAGGGGCAGCTGGATACAGGTACCTGGGTCAGGAAGATGGACTCTGTGCTCTTGGAGTCCTCATCTGATGGGCGCTCTGGGCTGAGGCGGACAGTTGTGTCACTCAGGTGGGACAGGGTCTCTTCACTATGCACAGTGGAGTTGGAGCAGATGGGAGGCAGTGGCACGAAGGTCCGGCAAGACGGGGAATGGCCTTCCAGGTTCTCAGTGGGCATCTCTGACTCCACAGAAGTGCTTTTGGTAGTGGGCAGATCTTCAGCCAGCTCTGCCTCTGGCTCTAGCATATCCTTTGAGGGAGACTTGGTTGTCGTCATGCGCGGGTGATGGAGCACCAGAGGCTGCTTCGGCACCTTTGGGATTTCGCTTTTCACCTGTCATGGAGAAGGGCCAGAATGAATTTGCTTCCTAATTAGGATTCTCTCCTCCTGGGCCTCACTAGCCTAAGGCCACTTGTATAGCAGCCGGAGTGCTGGGTACGGACTGAGGCGGGGGTGGAAAGGGAAATCATACTTGTTGGGCATCTATGATGTGCCCCATGCATGATGTAAGTTGTTTTATTTCTACCTTGAAACTACCCAATGAATAATTATCCCCAATTTTATAGATGAGGAAACAGGGGCTTAGAGAGGTAAAATGACCTGTCCAAGTCCCAGAGTGATTTGGCGGTAGTGCCTGGACGATGTAATTCCAGTCCTGGGCTCCAGGCTTCATGCTGCATCCCTGACCATACGTACTCTGGCCCTCAGTAGTCTCATTCTTCAGATGAGGGTTGAACATGGTGCCTATGGCTTTCCCCAGGGACTCCGAGGAGAGGGTGTTGGGGAATGGTCCTGTATTTTCTGGAAGATGACAGCACCAGGCCCCTTTCAGGATGCTGTTCCCTATACCTTATATAAAGATCCTAAAGATAGATCTCTCTGAAAGATTCAGGACCAAGAAAATAATTCCCTTAATTAGTAAAAGCCTGTGACCATTCTCCCTCTCCTCCTCAGCCTCAGCTGCCAGGAGGTGTCCATGTGCCCTCAGCTGGGTTTAGTCCTTTCTTTCTCCCCCTTTACATAGTGGATTGTTTTCACTCTTTGTCAGAGGTATTTGGTTCACTTATATCTGTACTTTTACTGAGAGATGTAAGTTGTGTAGTGGAAAGATTGCAAGCACTGTAGTTAGAAAAATGTGGGCTAGAATACAGGTCTATCCTTTGAGCACCTATTTCCTCCTTGTGCCTGTCTCACAGAGTTCCACCCAATGAAATGGTGTGTGCAAATGTACCTAATGGACTAAGGAGGGCGAAGGATGACTTTTATAAAATATGTTACTTTAAAAAAATGTATTTCCTTTTGGAAAATATGTGGAACCTCAGTGTTTAGACTCTGAGGGACCCAGAGTCTTTGTCTGAATCCATGCCACAAGGCACAGGGCACGGACACAGCACCGCACCTCAGCATCTAAAACACCAAGCGCCATCACTTGGCAGCTGGCGGGAAGGGACAGTTCCCCTTCCCTCTCATGGCTCTGTGAGAGAGATGTGCTAGAGGAAATGCTCTTTCTCTATCCCACCGCTACTTTCCCCGCCCCCTCCCAAGGGAGGAATGGGTAACCTAACTGGCCAGAGGTTGAGTCACTGGGCCCTGCTTCAGTCGTGGGCTGGATTACTGCTCATCAATGAGACCAGGCTATTTTATCTTCCATTTGTGTCCTCACATCAAAGGGCTCACACAGCTTCTTGGTTACAGGCCTGCTCTGGCAGGTTCTCCATTTTCCTCCTGTCTGTCCATGCCTAGGTGTGAGGGGAGGGACTGCAGCCTTTGTCCATGTAACCCCAGGGGTCTAATCTGCATTTCTAGCCCCATCTCTGTATGCACAATGAGGACATGCAGGCATCCCCAGTCTGACTCAGGACTAAGTCACGTTCTTCAGTCCAGAATAGAGGGTGTTTGCCTACATTAACAAAGCATTGATTTGTTTCTCATTTGGCCACTGGCATCTGTGTTTATTTAACTCATTTAGCTCAAAGGTTAGTCAGAACCTTTGATGGGAGGAGGTGTGAGGGGTCCCCTAGGACCCACACTAACTTTTAACAAGTCAGTTCACCTCTCTGAGTCTGTTGCTTCATCTACTGTGAGGATTATGGGATAGCATACACGTAAGAGCTCTGCAGAGTCCTGGGCATGGGGCTCTGTAAAGGAGAGAGGATTCTGCCCCTCCCTGGCTGGCTGATGGGAAATGATGGGGCAGATCCTTAAGAGGAGGTAACAGACAAGGAGGAAGATGATGGAAACCTTGGAATTTCTATTTCTGACTTCAAATGCTTGTCCAGTCCTCTGAGGACGTCAGACAAGAGCCTGGCTGGACAGAGGCGGGCTGCAGAGGGGGTGGCAAGGAAACATCTGTATTTAACTTTTGGGATCAGCAATGCTCAGCCCACCTTTTGGCTGTAGAAAGACTAAAGTTCAGGAGGGAGGAGCATTTCACAGAAATTTTTGAAATTCTTCAGATGAAAGAGGGATTTCACTTACTTTATGGCAAAGGAAGCAGACTTCTCTCAACATAAGGAAACACTTCCTTAAGATTCAGGCAGGAGATGTATTCTGGTCCTGCCTTAGCTATTCTTTTTTTTGTTTTGTTTTGTTTTTGTAGAGACAAGGTCTCACCCAGGCTGGTCTCAAACTCCTGCCCTCAAGCGATCCTCTCGCCTTGGCCTCCAAAGTGCTGGGATTAGAGGCGTGAGCCACCACGCCTGGCCCATAGCCATTCTCAATTACTGTAGGTGACTATAACTTTCAATGGTAAGAGTTTTAGGAGTTTAAAATATATTTTCATATCTGTTGTTTCATCCAGTGCTCTTCCCAAAGCAAGGAAAGGAGAAGGCAATGCTGAACCTAATGGAGAGATTCCAGGCACTGTGGAGTGAGCAGCTCTACAGCCAGGTTGGTTTGCATACATTATAATAGGCTGCACTCTTCCTGGGGGTGGGAGTCCTGCCTTGGAAGCCCTACCTTCCATGATTCCTTCCGAGACATCAAAACATGATGCTTAGGCTTTACTATCTTCCTTCGAATTAAGTGGATTCCCAGTCGCTCCTGGAGGAAGCTCTTCAGCAGTGGAGGGACCCCTGGTGCCATGATGGGAAAATAAGATTACTATTAGCTAAAATTTATACTGGGGCTTACTATGTGCCAGGCACTATTCAAATTGCTTTACATGTATTACTGAAACTTATTCTCAACCCTAGGAGGTAGGTCGAGAATTCCTACCTCCTAGGAGAATTCCTACCTCCTACCATTATTCCCATTCAATAGGCAAGGAAACTGAGGCACAGAGAGGCTAAGGAATTTGTCCAAGATAATAAAGATAGTGTGGAGTGATGATCAGAACTTCACTGGTGTCACTCCAGGGCCCAGGACTCTAAAATGCCTCCAACTCCTGTATCTTACACAGTGGCTCCACTGCTGACCACTCCATTCAGTGTGCTCTGGGAAGAGAGGCTCCTGCAGTTGGGGCTGCACCCCTCTGCAACTGGGAATTGGGAAATGAGGTCATGACAGAACTGTTCCACAAAGCAGGGTGTGGTTCAAAAGAGCTCATACAGGATTTAAAGAATTCCATATTCCATTCCCAACTCAGACTCTTTCTTGCTGTGTGACCTTGGGCAGATCATGAACCTCCCTGAGCCTCAGTTTCTACCACTGTCCGTGGGGACAATAATGCCTGCTCACAGGGTTACTGTCAGGAAGCGCTGGTACAGAGCTATTTCCTCCATTCCTCAATGTACCATGAACCTTGTCCACCCCGACACAGAGTAGATCCCAGGGCTTGGCATTGATGAGGTGGGGATGAGGGTGCCACACTGCTCCTTGGGCACTGGGTTGAGAGGGGGCAGGTTTGCGGGCACTATACCTCGTGTATGGGCCACCAGAGGGTTGTTATGAAAGACGAACTCGCAGAGAGATGGGAAGAGAGCTACTGGTAGGACAGCATCCTCTTTTGCGATCTGTAATGAATGCAGGAGAGACTCTCAGGTTGACACCACCCCTCACCTCTACCCAGGTATGTCTAGGCCCCTCACTGCAGGGCTACATGCTTGCTAGGATTGGGGGTGGTATTGGGTAAGACATGCTGCTGTGGATGGGACTCACTGCTGGGTGATGCCTTGACCCTGTAATAATACCTACTCATGCACAGAGTACCTTGCCCCTCCTGTCTGAAATTCCACCATCACTGTTGCGTGTTTAAGAGCTAAGAGTTTTTCCTCTTTTTTCCATGCTGGATATGTAGCCTACATCAAATACTAGGGAAGCTGGTGGCAAAATAATAAGAACAAACACATTTTTCGTACGAACAAACTCTTTATCTCATAAAGATTCTGGAAGGTTGGCAGGGCATTGACTTTAACTTCAGGATACAATTTGACACTTCATCTTCCTCAGCACAAACCTCTACACACTTCTGATGGCTCTTTCACTGAGGCCAGTCCTGGGCACTTATTTGGGGATGGACAGGGGGAAAGGAGGACCCACACATCTAAGGGATAAGTAGAGCCAGTGTTAAGAGAGACCTCATGGCTGTCTGGGACACAGAGAATGCCCTGTGAAGCCAGCCTGCAATCGGTGGCTTATTGGCCAAGCCAGCCTCTGAAGGGCAAAAAATATACAAGCTTTGTTGAGCAGACTGCCTGGAAAAGCTGGACCATCTTGGCGAGAGTATTTATTTGCAATGGAAGAGTATCAGGGACATCAGGATCGAAGGGGTCAGGAGTCAGGCAGTGGCCGATCAGACCCCTGGACACACTGAAAGGTATTGGGTCAGATGTAGGACCCAATGAAGGTACTGAAGTCCAAGGGCTGGAAGAGGGAGGGCACTTCAGTTTAGCTTCCTCCGCAGCCTTACTGGATAGCACTAGATTTCCACTAACTTCTTTCATTTTTATTCATTCAACCAACAAATATTTACTGAATACCTACCATGTCCCAGGCACTTTGTTAGGAATGAGCAAAACAGACACAATTTCTGCCCTCAGAGAGCACTGTCTAGTGGGAAACAAGCATTGGAGAAACAGTAACACAGGAGAATAGATTTACAATGTGATAAGTGTCACAAGAGAGGTGCATGAAGTACCAGGGTCATGTGACCTAGTCAGAGAGGTAAAAGGTGTCTCTGAGGTCTGAAGGAGGAGGAGGAGGTAATTAGCGAACGCAGTGAGGCATGGAGTGTGTGGTAGAGAAACCTCTGTATTAACCAAAACCATTTCTCTACCTCTAGCACACGGATTTTATCTCCTAGCCTCCCAGGCAGCTACATGTGGTCACATGACCCAGTTCCAGCCAACGCAACTTGGGCAGAAGTGGTAAATGCTACTTCTATGCACAGTCTGCACCCTCCTGTACCTCTTCTACTTTCTTCCCTTTACCACAGTCCCCCTGCTTGACCATCTAACAGGATACATAGGATCCAGTTGAGTAGTGTTAAGACCCTATGAGATGACAGAACATAGCCAGAGGGCATCTGGGTCTCTGAATGATCATGTGGAAGGCCACCTGCCAACCAGGAATATCCAAGATGGACTTTGTAAAAGCAAGAAATACACTTTTATTGTGTTAAGTGATTAAGATGTTTAAGTTTGTTGCAGTAGCTAGTCTTACTTTAATGCAGAGAGGAAGTGTCCTATACAAAGAGAAAAATGTGTGAAAGGCCTCATAGCCTGCTGGAAGAGTTTAAAGAAGGCTAGTGTGACTAAAAGCAGAGAGAAAGAGGGCACCTGGTGCAAAATGGGGCTGGAAATGCAAGTAGGGGCCAAACAAAAGGTGGTTTAAGATTTGGGTCCTTGGGGAACTCATTAGATGGATTTTAGAAATATGAGGACCTAAATTTGACAAGACTTGGTGATGATGTAGATACTGGGGGGGCGGAGGATGGGGAGGTACAAGAGAGAGAAGTATCAAAGGTGACAGCTGGTTTTTGCCTTGAGTAACTGGATGGAAGATGAAGCTATTCACTAAGGGAACAATGAAAGAACATACAATTTGAAGAAAAAATTTATCAATTTGCTTTGGGTATGTGTATGTTGGCGGTACTTTTGAGGCCTCCAGGTAGAAATGTCAAATAGGCAGTTGGATACACTGGTCTGGAATACAGAGGAGAGGTCTGCATTAGAGTTAGAAATTTTTGAGTCACTGTTCATGGGCCAGTGGCTATCTGAAGTCATCCCTAGGGAGACAGTAGGGAGTGAGAGGAAAGAAACTAGGAGTAGGCCTTGAGGGACTTTAACATTTGATCTTCTAGACCAGGGGATCAGCAAACCTTTTCTGTCAAAGACCATATAATAAGTGTTTTAGGCTTTGCAGACCATATGGTTTCTGTTGCAGCTATTCAATTTTACTATTGTTGTACAAAATCAGCCATAGACAATTCATAAATAGGTATGGTGGCTTTTTTCCAATACAATTTTATTTATGGACCCTGAAATCTGAATTTCATATAATTTTAACATGTCATGAAATTTTATCCTTGTTTTGATTTTTTTCAATCATTAAAAAATGTAAACACCACTCTTAGCAAACAGGCTATACCAAAACCAGGATTGGGCCCATGGCCCAAATCTGGCCCATGATCCATTTACTAAAGTTTCAGTAGAATACTACCTTTCTCTGGCTGGGCGCGGTGGCTCAGGCCTATAATCCCAACACTTTGGGAGGCCGAGGCAAGTGGATCACAAGGTCAGGAGTTTGAGACCAGCCTGGCCAATAGGGTGAAACCCCGTCTCTACTAAAAAAAAAATACAAAACAACAACAACAACAAAACCCCACAAAAATCAGCTGAGTGTGCTGGCGGGTGCCTGTAATCCCAGCTCCTCGGGAGGCTGAGGCAGAAGAATCACTTGAACCCAGGAGGTGGAGATTGCAGTGAGCCAAGATCATGCCACTGCACTCCAGCCTGGGCAACAGAGTGAGACTCTGTCTCAAAAAAAAAGAAAAAAGAAAAAAAATACTACCTTTCTCATTTGTTGCCATATTGCCTTTTGTCCCACAAGGGCAGAGTTAAGTAGTTGCAACAGAGTAAAATATAAAATTCTGCTGCCATTATCTAGACTTCAGAGATAGAGGATGAACCTAAAAAGGTGCCCAATATGTTTTGATAAATGACTATAATGGTGGTCAAAGTGGGTGTAGAGTCTTGTGTGTGCAAATCAAGGGGTCAAGAGACAATCACTAAAGAATGGGAGATGCAGAATTTAATCTTGTCAGGATGCAAAATTACATTCACCCGAACCAGGTGATTAAAAAGTTGAAGAAAATTACAATTAAGAATTGATAAAAAAATTGAATGATACTCAGGTCATGTGTGTGGTATTTTCTGTGAAATTAAGCCCAGCTGAAAGGTATGGGCTTAGGATTCTGGCTGACACAGCAAGCGGAAATCTGGCCATGGGGCTAGCCTGTTCTCTCTCGGGTGAGCTGAATGTTCTGGAGATGCATTCAGGTTCCAATGATAACTTTAAATTTCTTCTCAATCTCATTGGATTAAGGAGAGTGTAACAATCTGTCACATTTAGGAACTAAGTATTAAAGACCAAGTGAAAGTGATTATTTTACTTTTGACACAACAATTTCTAGTGAATATTCTGAGTAATTTTCTGATGAATATTCTAGATGTATAAGTTCTGTTTAAAGGCAGAATTTATTTTGAAGTTTGTAACTTTAATAAATTGAATATTAATTTCAACACAGCTGTATTATTTGACATGATTAAAACATCATTCATGGGGTCGGGTGTGGTGGCTCACGCCTGTAATCCTAGCACTTTGGGAAGCTGAGGCAGGTGGATCACGAGGTCAGGAGTTCAAGACCAGCCTGGCCAATATGGTGAAACCCTGTCTCTGATAAAAAACAAAAATTAGCCAGGCGTGGTAGCGGGTGCCTGTAATTCCAGCTACTTGGGAGGCTGAGGCAGGAGAATTGCTTGAACCCGGGAGGTGGAGGCTGCAGTGAGCCAAGATCGCACCACTGCACTCCGGCCTGGGCTACAGAGCGAAACTCCATCTGAACAACAACAACAACAAAAATCATTCATTCATCTAACAAACTTATTGAGCACCTATCATGTATCAGGTAATATTCTAGATAATGAGCATATAAGATGTAAGCAAAACAAAGTCCTAGTGCTAAAAAACAAAAGCACATTCTGGTAATAGATATGTGACAATAGACAAAAAGATATAATATGTTAGGTGGTAACTATCATAAAGTAAAATACCATTTAAAAACTCAGGTGCAAACATAGAAAAATGGAAAGAGTGCTGCTCCAACCTTAAGAAAACTACTGAATAATCTATAAAATCATAACTTTTCTTGAGTCCAATAGAGAGCTAACATCCCAGGACAATCATGCGGCCTGAAATCTAAGGAAATACTGGCACCTCCAAGGAGAGATGGGACACAGACACTGGCCTGCCTGTGGCAGAATGTGGCAGATGCAAGTGCCACACAAGCACTTAAGAAGAAATCAGGTAAAAATTTTAGTGAATTTATAAAGACCAAGCGTGGCCTAGAGTAAACCCCTTTAAGCTGCAGACATCCAGGGAGTTCACACTCACTAGTGTGAGAAAGACTGGAGGCAGGAGAGAGATTGATGACAGCCTTCCTCAGTGGTGTGAGCCTGGAAGAGGAGATAGCTCCCACCACAAAAAGGCAGGGGGCCTTACCAACCCTTCTCCATAGTTAACGAAAGCCTTCAGTTGCTGAGGAAGATCAGCAAACCCTGTCAGCTTGGGGCACTGCATCTTGGGTAGGGAAAAAATTAAAACCCACTACTCCTGTGGTTGGAGCAGGAAACCAACCTGGGCCTAGCACATTAGAGGTCTCCTACTGCTGGGAGAGGGGTAGGACCACTGAGAAAAGCCTATCCTTGAGACACAGGGTTGGTCCCAGGGCTGCCTAAGACTGGGGCTAGAGCCTCCTTTTGGCACCTACCACCACTTGCTACTTAGCAAGCACTAAGTAGCAAGCAAAAGCAGTCTACTGCTAGGGGGAGGAACAAGCATGTGGAGATAAACTTCTCTGAGGTGCAGGCACTCAGGGAAGGATGAAAGCTGAGGACAAAGCAGGAAAACTGAGAAAAACACTCTGGCACCCTAGGAAAAACCAGCTATATGCTGTCTAAAAGAGACACACCTTAACTACAAAGATATAAATAGGTTGCAAGTAAATGGACAGAAAGAGATACACCATGCAAACAGTAAGTATAAGGAAGCAAACAAAATAAGACATCAAGACAAGGAATATGATTAGAGGCAAAAAAAAAAGGCAACTCATAATTTATAAAAGTATCCATACATTTGGTAGATATAAATGTATCTGCATCAATAGCAGACTTCAAAATACATGGAGTAAAAGCTGACAGAACTAAAGGGAGAAATAAGTAAATTCACAACCACGTCTGGAGATTTTAACACACTGCTCTCAGTGATTGATAGAACAACTATACAACAGTACAGAGAAGATCTGAGTGACACAACCAACCACCTTAACTTAATATTTATAGAACACTTTCCCCCAAAACTGCAGAATATACATAGTTTTTGAAATGCACATGGAATGTTCACCAAGACAGACTGACCATAGGGTGAATCATAAAACAAGTTTAAATAGATTTCAGAAGAATGACATCTTACAGATTATGTTATCTGCACACAAAATAGATTAGAAATAAATACAAGACACCTAGAAGAGCCCCCATATATTTGGAAATTAACTAACTTATAAATAACCTGTGGATCAAAGAAGAAATCACAGGAAAAAGTGAAAATATTTTAATCGAATGAAAATAAAAAGAAAATATATTACAATTTGTAGGACTCAGCTAAAGCAGTGCTTGGAGAAGAAATGTAAAGCTTTACATGCTTATATTAGAAAGAAGAAAGGTCTAAATCAATTAACTAAAGTTATACTGCCTAAGATGCGAGAAAAAGAGGAGCAAATTAAAATCATTTTAAGTAAAAGAACAGAAAGTTATGAGCAGAAATCAATGAAATGGAAAACAGAGAAATCCAGTGAAACCAGCAGCTAGTTTAATAAGAAAAAGTCAATGAAAGAGGTAATGTCTAACTATTTTGGATCAATAAAAGACATAAATTACCAATTTCAAGAAGAGGGACCTGTGATACATCTATGGTCCACTGATTTTCGGCAAGGGTGTAACAGTGGGGGAAAGAATAGTCTTTTCAATAAGTGGTATTGAGAAAGCTGGATATCCACATGCAAAAGAATGAAGCCGATGCCTGTCTCACACTATATATAAAGATTAAGTTGAAATAAAGACCTAAATGTAAGAGCTGAAACAATAAAACTCTTAGAAGAAAACACTTGGGGAGTTTAGCTGTATCAGCTGCTTGCTGTAGAGGAATGTAAGCAGAGTATCTTACAAGTTTCCTGCATTTCAGACTTGAGTAGGGCTCAGTTAGTGGGATTTTACAGAAAACCAAACAGGACATGAACATTGGAAAAACATGTTAAATCTGTCCCTTATCCTTTATATCTGCTGTTCCCCTTAGGCTACAACATTTCTACCCTCACTTGACTCACCCCTCTTCACCTGATTAAACTCACTGATTCAGATCTCAGCTTAAACACCACTTTCTTGAGAACCTTCCTTGATCCCAAGTATTAGGTTAGACACCTCCCCTCCATCATTTACTTCATAACACTGTGAATTTCTTCATAACACTAAGCATGCTCATATTGTGATGATTTGTCCATATCAGTCTTCCTGTCTTCCTTATAGGTGATAAGTTGCAAAAGGGCAGAGAGGCCAAGTCTCTTTCCACAGCTGTATATCTAGTGCCTACCACAGAGCCTGGCACATGGTAAGTGCTAAATAAATATCTGTGACTGAAGAGATGGACTCCTGCCTTGGCCTGAACTCCTTCCACTTTCCCCACCCTGAGAATTCCTGAGCCCATGTACCTGTAATGCAGGGAATTGAATGGAGGGTTGGTTTTTAGGCCAGAGCAACTTGCATCCCACCTTCCCATCTGTGCCCCTGAGTAAACAGGAGAGGAGCAGAAAGTCACCTTGTTGTAGGCCAGGCTAAGGTATCTCAGCTCTGGGAAGGGTGGGGCCAGCGTCTGGTTCCTGGCCTTCAGTGACTTCACAGGAAGGATCTCGAATATGGGAGGAAGTGAACATATCTTGGTTGTCTTAGAAAGAAGGAAAAGTCAAAATCAAAGTGCCCGATAATAAATAAGGCCACTAAGGGCCAACAGACCCTTTCAATGGAACAGGGTGGAATGAATGACCTTCCTAGAGAGACTTGGCCAAAAGAGACATGTAGGGTCATAAGGGTAGATGTCGCCATCAGCCCAGAATTCTGGCTCCAAGTTCTCTTAGGAGAATTAGCTTACATGATGAGCTAATTCTCAAGCACCCAAAGTTCCATTTTCAAGTTTTCTGAGGCCACAGGATAATATAGCACTGGTGCAGACATCAGAGGTACTTGGTCCCCACCCCCTCCCTCTACCCTACAGCAGCTTACCCTGAATTGGCCCTTCTACACAGTTGGGCTAAAATTTCTCCAGAAGGCAAAGGGGAAGGTGCTTGTGTTCTTAAGGGGAATTTTTCTAGGGAGGAGAGGGAGAGGGAGGTGTTTTGAGCCTTGAACACCTGCTCTGATGGGCTAGCCCACATCCTCGAGTGGAGGGTCTTCATTTGAGGATGAAACAACAGTCCTAAATGACTTCAACCTGCCCGTGGGAGCTGAATGTGGCATGCTGCAGCTGGATCCCTTGCAGGGTCATGTTCTTTTCATACAACCCAGACTGCCACAGGTTCAACATATTTGATCAAGCAGAAAAAGGTAATTGTTGGTTTAACTATACATAACTCAGTACACTCACTGATTCCTGAGTTCGATGGGACCACAGGATATTATAAGGGTAGATGCTGGGCTAATGGTTAGGTTCAGATGAACTAGATTCCATCTTAAGCTGAATTAATTAATCACTATGGAATCTTGAGCAAGTCACTTAAATTTTGCTTGTTCATTCAGTGAACATTTGTGGGGCACTTACTTTGAGCCAAGTATTTTGTACCCTTCTGGGTCAACTTGTAAAACCACACAAGTGGACAGGTCAGTCATGGGTGAGCATAAAACAAAAACCAGCGACTGTGTTTGGGAACTCAGATGACTCGCCTCTCCCAGTGATCCCAAGGCAATTTCTGAGACGCAAGAGTGGAACATGGTGGCGGTCTGATAAGGCAGTATCCTCCACTATGTAATTCCCTACTTGGAGCAAGGCTGTGTGAACTGAAGGGGGTAAGTCATACTGCAGTACAGAAAAGGAAAAGCCAGAGAGTCAAGATGAGGAGTATCCTGACCCAAGGGCATAACTGGCCCTGATGGGGGCAGAGAGGGCCCTGTCTTGGAGGGAGGTGCATCTGATTTTAATAGAGTAAGGCCACTAAAAGTCTCAACTATCCAACTCACTTTCTAGATTTTCAGATGTCAGAGAGCTGATCTGAGCACTGAGCAATCCTACAAATTATCTTTGACTTGTGTGGTAGACTGTTTAATGGTCACAAGCCCCTCCATCCCACATACATGCCCTTTTGCAGTGTGACCTTGCTGCTCCTCCCATTCAGAGGTGGAGACCATGTGTCTACCCTCCTGAAATTAGACTGGCTGTTACATAAGAAAAAATTTGTCTGGTCTTTATCCCAGGTTCCTGGCACTGAGCTTCTAAAACTCTTGGAATTTTCTGAGTGATAGGAATATCTTTGTTATGCAGGACCCCTTGAGTCACACCTGAGTTTAGGATAATGAGATGACTCAGGATGGAGGCTGGCCATGCCAGAAAGACTAACCATGTGACTAGAGAGTTGGGGCTTTGCACCAGCATGACCCCTGGGGAGGATAAGGAACTAGAAATTAAGTTCAATCAGGTGGCCAGTGAGCCTCCAATAAAAGCTCTGGACTCTGAGGTGTGGGTGAGCTTCCTGGTTGGTGAGCACATCAATGTGCTGGGAGGGAGACATGCCCTGATTCCACAGGGAGGGGGCATGAAAGCTCTCAGACCTCACCTTATATGCCTTTTCATTTGGCTGGTCCTGATTCGTGTCATTTATAGCTGGGGTCCCCAACCCTCGAGCCACAAACCGGTGCCAGTCCCTGGCTTGTTGGGAACTGGGCCGCACAGCAGGAAGTGAGCAGTGGGTGAGTGAACAAAAACATCATCTGTATTTACAGCCACTCCCCGTTGCTCAAATTACTGCCTGAGCTGCACCTCCTGTCGGATCAGCAGTGGCATTAGATTCTCATAGGAGCACAAACCCTGTTGTGAACTGGGCATGCAAGGGATCTAGGTTGTGTGCTCGTTATGAGAATCTAATGCCTGATGATCTGTCACTGTCTTCCATCACCCCAAGATGGGACCATCTAATTGCACGAAAACAAGCTCAAGGCTCCCACTGATTCTACACTGTGGTGAGTTGTATAATTATTTCATTATATATTACAATGTAATAATAACAGAAATAAAGTACATAATAAATGTAATGCACTTTCATCATCCGAAACCACCCACCCCACCCCAGTCCATGGAAAAATTGTCTTCCACAAAACTGGTCCCTGGAGCCGAAAAGGTTGGGGACTGCTGCATTATAGTAAAACTGTGATTGTAAGTATAACCCTTTCCTGAGTTTGAGTTGTTCTAGAAAATTACTGAACCTGAGTGGGTTGTGGAAACTCTTGAATTTATCACCAGTTGGTCAAAGTGTGGATAGCCTGGGGACTTCCAAACTTGTGGCTGGCCTCTGAAGTGAAGGAAATCTTTTTGGGAACTACCCTCACTTGTGGGCTTTGTGCTTAACTTGTGGAGTCTGCGCAAACTCAGGGGTCAGCGTCAGAATAGTACAGCAGTATAATACGGGGCTTTTGACTTGCTTTGACCAATAGAATGTGGAGAAGTGACACTATTTCAATTTCAGAACTTTTTAATTCGCCCTTGCTCTCTTGAAACCCTGATGCTGTAATGAAACCATACTGCAATGTAGCCCAGGAGGAAAAGACCACAAAGAGAGAAGATGCCAAGCCATACCAGCTGTGTACCTGAGCCCAGCCTGCAGCTACCCTGCCAGCTAAATGCAGCTGTATAAGTGAGCCTTGGTGGAGCCAGTGGAATCACTTCGTCGACTCAATTGTGAGTGGTGAAAAATAATGAATTGTTATTGGGTTGGTTTGGTAAGCAGCTATAGTTAACTGATAGAATTTCTCACACAGTTCTATCTGTGGGGAGGTTGTATACTGAGCTGCCTCTCAAGGATGCAGGTTGGCTAAATGAAGAGATATACTATTTATTGTAAATGAATAAATCAATATTTGGTTTACATGTACCAGTCCCCACGAGCATCTGCCATGAGAGAAAAAACAATTTTCTGTGCTGATGAAAATCAAGGGTCTAAGCCTGTGACATCAACGATTAGGTCCTGGATAGTGGTGTATCTGGCAAGGACTTTTCCAGCTTTGGGGGACTCTTGTTAAGGAGCTGCTGGTAGCAGCCCCACTTCAATGCCAATTTTATCACTTGAGGCAGCTGCCATTATTACATTATGCTAAACAGCATGTGAGAACAATGAAAGTTAGACTAGGCAGGTAAGGTCAAGACATGTCTGTCTGTGGCCAGCACAGGACCTGGTACAGGTAAGGTCAAGACATGTCTGTCTCTGGCCAGCACAGGACCTGGTACATGATAGGTACTTGGCAACTACCTATTCAATGAATGGGCTTCCTCAGTGTGATCTATAGAAATGACTCTCATGGCTCCATTATTTTATTTGATTTTGTCTATTAAAATTAATGTTCTAACTCAGGAACACAAATATAAAGTAGTCAGTTCCTACCTCTGAGGTTGAAAATCCAGGGTAAGATGAAAACACAACCTCTGAAACAGAAGAGAAACAGAATGAAGGTTGGTGAGACCGCTGATTGATGCCTAGAGCACCCAGGATATAGGTCTGCCATCCACTGTGTGCAGCAGGGCACCTCCTAGAGGGAGTTCTCATTGGTCCTCAGCCCCAGTGCTAACTAGGAAGAGGAGCTGGCTGTGACATGCATCAGGTAATAAGTCCCTTTGCACTTAGGATAAAATACAAACTGCTTATCTAGTCCTCTGATGTCCTGCATGATTGGGCCCCTGCCTACTTCTTCAGTCTCATTTCATGATACTCTCCCTCATTCACTGTATTTCAGCCACACTGACTGACCTTCAATCTGACTTTAAAGCACATAAGCACTTTCGAGCCTCAGAATTACTGGGGAGTCCATACTGAGCAGAAAGCTAACCAACTGTCTTAGAAGAGAAAAATGTATATAGAAGACATTCTGTCAGAGGATTTGGAAATATTTCTTATATTAGTAGAAACAGAATGTGTTGAGCCAGTGAATTCAGGAGAGATACCAAGAACAACCAGCACACAGTCATAAGGAGGAGGCTGCAGAGTGATTTCATTCTTGGGACCGTCAGAATGAGATGAGTCTAACAGCTGAGTTCAACCTAACACAGCATAGCATCTGCTGGGACTAGATCCTGTGCAGACATTGCTCACCTTTACCCTAGTTAACCGACACCTTCTACATGTTAATGATATTATAATGAGACAAGTCACATGAAAATGAAGAAAACAGTAATAGGAGATGGAACAACATGGCATAAATAACTTCTCCTGTGATGAGGGTCTGCAAGGGAGTTTGGGAAAGCTTTGTGCAATGAACAAAGTAGGAATTCCCTGGGGGATGGGCCATGGTTGCAAGTGTGAGTGCTAAGCAATGAACCCTAGAAAACAACAGCACCTCTAGAAAGATGGGCACGCTGTCTGAACGCGCATCCTGCTCTCCCCACAATCACAGGAATTACTGCATTTTAAGCTTCTGATTGAGGATTGTTACACAAAAAGACTGAATAATCAAGAATCTCCTACTATTTGAGGAAAATTAACAATATAAAAAAGGGAAGAATTATCACCTGAATAAAAACAGTTTATTTAACAAAAGTTATAAAAACTTCAAAATAGAATAATTAGTATCCTCTGAGAAATTCAAAAGTTTCACTCCTGAAACAAAAGCAGATTGTTGTGGAAGCAAAGCTACTAACAAAGCTGTAAATTTATAATGAAAATAACTCATACATGTGCTGGATAGAAGAATGGACCCAGGTGAACTAATTCATAAAATGGAAGACTGAGTGGAGAGACTCTCAGAATGCAAAAAGGCAGAGAGAAGATGGTGGAATAGAAAGTAACCCACTCATGTCCCCTCACAACCACAAAAATTCCACACCCGCCCACAGTCAAAAGTCTCTCTGCAGGAGCATCAAGATTCAGGTAGGAGTTTTTGAAACCCTGGTGGATCCCAAGACATTGAAGGATTGTTTTGAGGGTACAGACCAACACCCAAGTGGCTGATCCACCAAGCTTGCTCCCCAGTTCAAGCCTAGAAACACCCCAGGCTTCCAAGGTCCTGGGCTACAGCCATATTTGGCCTTGAGCCTGCAACCAAAACCATCTGCAGAGAGGTCCAGAAGGAGTAGTGCACACTAGTGCCTTGGTGGAAAGGCTTGTCTGCCTGCTGACATTGATCTTAGCAGTAAGCCTGAAAGTTGCCGTTTTTCTGATCCACCCCCTCTCAGCTGAGGTCCCTGCTCACAGCCTCTTGCACAAGGACCCAGAGGGAGACTCACCTATATCTTGCAGCCTGAGGCTCCCAGATGAGTTCACCAACTTCTGTCCCACAGCAAATTCTGAGGGGACCCAGTTTGAGACCTGGTCCCTCCAGCTGCAATCAGAGAACTAACCAGACTGTGCAGGGACTTGCTGGAAGACACATGCCCCTCTGAGCCAATGAGGCTGGGCTTTCTAGCCTTTACCCTACAGCAAATCCTGAGAGGACCCAGTCTCAGCTCTGACCCCTGTCACTACAGTGGAGAATTATCCTATCTGTGCTGAGACCTGCTGGGAGACACATGCCTGTCTGGGCCAACAAGATGGGCTTCTTCCCATATCAAATCCCAGCGGGGCCCAGTGTCAGCCCTGGCCCCTCCTGCTGCAATCAGGTTACTATCTCATCTGCATAGGGACTTGCTAGGAGACACATGCCCCTCTGAGCCAATGAGACTGGGCTCTCCAGCCTCTACCTCACAGCAGATCCTGTGTGGGCCCAGTCTGCGATTTGGCCCCGCCTGCTATAGTCAGGGAACTATCCTATCTGTGCAGGAACTTGCTAGGCAATGTGCACCTCCCTGAACCAAGACAGGGCTCTCTAGCCTCTGTTCCACAGCAGATCCCAAGGGGGCCTATGGTCAGTTCCAGCCCCTCCCTCTACAATCAGGGAATTATTCCATCTGTGCGGAGACATGCAGGCAGATGTGTGCCTGTCTGAACCACCATGACAGGCACACCAGCCTCCATCCCACGGCAGATCCCAAGGGGACCCAGTCTCAGTTCTGGTCCCTCTTGTTGCAGTCAAGGAACTACTTGTGCAGGGACCTGCTAGGTGACATACACCTGTCTAAGCCAATGAGATGGACCACCAGCTTCATTCCTACAACAGATCCCAACATGCCCCAGTCTTAAATTCAGTCCCTCTGGCTACAGCTGGGACCCATCCTGCCCATGCAGAGACCTGCTGGGAGGAACACATATCTGGGCCACTGGGACAGTGTTCTGGACTCAGGTCCCCTTGGCCAACATTCCCACATAGCCCCAGTCCTGTGTTTGGGTCTTCCCAGAGCCATTTGGGCCAGAAAGCCACACCAATCTCAGTCTTTGCAAGACTTGCAGCAAGCCTGGGTTTAGACCATCGCTCAGTGCTGAGATGCCAGTAGTGGTCCCAAGCTCAGGAAATGTAACAGTCAGTCTGCCTAGAATCCCTGGAAGTCCCTCTGAAGAAGGACAGGCACACACAAAGCCAGACTACAAAGGCAAAAATAAATACCTAATATTTCAAGGCACGGATATCATCACACTTCTACAAACATCAGGAATATTCAGGGAAATATGACGTCACCAAACAGACAAAATAAGATGCCAGAGATCAAACATAAAGTAATAGAGATGTGTGATCTCTCAGACAAAGAATTCAAAAGAACATTTTTTTGGGTTTTTTTATTTTTTTTGTTTTGTTTTGTGCTTTTTTTGGAGACAGGCTCTCATTCTGTCACCCAGGTTGGAGTACAGTGACATGAACATTGCTTACTGCAGCCTCAACCTCCTGGGCTCAAGCAATCCTCCCACCTCAGCCTCCCATGTAGCTGGGACCACAGGCATGCACCACCATGCCTGGTTAATGTTTTTATTTTTTTGTAGACATGGGAGACTCACTTTGTTGCCCAGGCTGGTCTTGAACTCCTGGGCTCAAGCAATCTTCCTACTTCAGCCTCCCAAAGTGCTGGGATTATAGGCATGAGTCACTATGCCCAGCCAAAACAGATGTTTTAAGGAAGCACAGTGAACTTCAAGAAAACACAGAGAATCAGTTCAGAAATTTACCAGAAAAATTTAACAAGGAGATTGAAATAATTAAAAAAAAAAAAAAATCAAAGAAATCCTGGAATTGAAAAATATAATGAATGAAATGAAAAAGTCAACAGAGAGTATCAACAGCAGAATTAATCAAACAGAGGAATCAGTGAGCTCAAAGATTATATGAAAATATACAGTCAGAGGAGAAAAAAGGAAGAAGAATGAAAAGGAATAAAAGCTTGCAGGATCTATGGGACAACATCAAAAAAGAAAATATTAGGGTTGCTAAAGTTAAAGAGGGATATGAGAAAGACAAAAGGGGTAGAAAGCTTATTCAAAGAATAACAGAAAACTTTCCAAATCTGGAGACTGGGTGGGTGTGCACGTACCCCACCATGCCATTACTGCCAGCATAAGCACACCCACTTCCACTGCCACTGCCAGCATGAACATTAAGCATGGACACCAGTGGCCCTGCACCCTGGCCCATCCAAAGGATGGCACCTTCAAAGATTGAAGGAATACCAGCCCACACAGATGAGAAAGAACCAGACAAGAACTCTGGCAAATCAAAAAGCCAGAGTGTCTTTTTACCTCCAAATGACCACACTAGTTCTCCAGCAATGGTTCTTAAACAGGTTGAAATGACAGAAATGGAATTCAGAATATGGATGGGAATGGAGATCACTGACATTCAGGAGAAAGTTGAAACCCAATACAAGGAATCTAAGGAATAAATAAAATAATATGGGAGATGAAAGATGAAATGGCCATGTTAAGAAAGAAGCAAAGTGAGCTGATACAGCTGAAAAGCTCACTTTAAGAATTTCAGAATACAACTGCAATGTTAACAGCAGAATCAACCAAGCTGAGGAAAGACTCAGAGCTGAAAGACTGGCTCTTCAAAATAACTCAGTCAGACCAAAATAAAAAAATAGTAAGGAAGAATGAGCAAAACCTCTGAGAAATATGGGATTATGTAAAGAGACCAAAAATATGACTCATTGGTATCCCTGAAATGCAAGGAGAGAAAGCAAGCAATTTGGAAAACACATTTCAGGTTATCATGCATGACAATTTCCCCAACTTTGCTATAGAGGCCAACATTCAAATTCAGGAAATGCAGAGAACCCCTGTGAAATACTACACAAGAAGACCATCCCCAAGAAACATAGTAATTGGATTCTCCAAGGTCAAAATGATAGAAATGTTAAAGGCAGCTAGAGAGAAAGGACAGGTCACCTACAAAAAAAAACCCATCAACTAACAAACAGCAGACCTTTCAGCACAAACCAGAGGAGAATGGGGGCCTATAGTCAATCTTTTTTTTTTTTTTTTTTTCTGAGACAGAGTCTTGCTCCCGTCATCCAGGCTGGAGTACAATGGTGCGATCTTGGTTCACTGCAACCTCCGCCTCCCAGGTTCAAGTGATTCTCATACCTCAGTCTCCCAAGTAACTGGGATTACAAGCATGCGTCACCGCACCTAATTTTTTGTATTTTTAGTAGAGACAGGGTTTCACCATATTGGCCAGTCTGCTCTTGAACTTCTGGCCTCAAGTGATCCACCTGCCTCAGCTTCCCAAAGTGCTAGGATTACAGGTATGAGCCACTGCGCTGGGCTCAACATTCTTAAAGAAAAGAATTTCCAACCAAGAATTTCATATCCAGCCAAGCTAAGCTTTGTAAGTGAAGGAGAAATAAGATCCTTTTCAGACATGCAAATGCTAAGGGATTTCATTACTATCCGACCAGATATGCCTTACAAGAGGTCTTGAAGGGAGTGCTAAACTTGGAAAGAAAAGACTGTTACCGGCCACTACAAAAACACACTTAAGTAAATAGACCATTAACACTATAAAGCAACCACATGAACAAGTCTGCATAATAATGAACAAATCCTCACATATCAATATTAACTTTGAATATAAATGAGCTAAATGGCACAGAGTGATCAGTTGAATAAAGAAGCAAGACCTGATGGTATGCTGTCTTCAAGAGACCCATCTCACATGTGATGACACCCATAGGCTGAAAGCAAACGGATGGAGAAAAATCTACCAAGCAAATGGAAAAGAGAAAAAAAGCAGGGGTTGTTGAAATTATTCTAAACTCAGACAAAACAGACATTAAACCAACAAAGATTAAAAAAAAAAAGACAAAGAAGGATATTATATAATGGTAAAGAGCTCAATTCAACAAGAACTATCCTAAATATATATGCATCCAACAGAGGAGACCCAGATTCAAAAAGCAAGTTGCTTTTAGAGACATATAAAGAGACTTGGATAAACATACGATAATTGTGCAGGACATGAATACCCCAATAATAATATTAGATCATTGAGGCAGAAAACTGACAAAGATATTAATGACCTGAACTCAATACTTGACCATATGGACCCAATTGACATCTACAGAACACTCCACCCCAAAACAACAGAATATACATTCTTCTCAGCTGCACATGGCACATATTCTAAAGTCAACCACACAATCAGATATAGAACAATCCTCAGTACAATTTTAAAAAAAAATGAAATCATACTAACCACACTCTTGGAGCACAGCACCATAAAATAGAAATACTAAGAAAATTGCTCAAAACCATATAATTACATTGAAATAAACCTGCTCCTGAATGACTTTTGGGTAAATAATGAAATTAAGGGAGAAATCAAGATATTCTTTGAAACTAAAGGAGAACAAAGAGGCAACATACTGATACAGGAGGTAGAAAGAAATTATTTAGGCAGATAGGGTAAAAGAGTCCTCAGCAAAGCTTCCCTTTTAGCAAGAAGCAGCCCAAGAAATTATTTTTTTCTAACAAAGAGCAGCCTGAAAAACTGAGCTGAAAACATAGATAAGCAAGCTGGAAGTTTGCATGGGGGAATGCCAGCAGTTGTGCCAATAGAAAAGGGCTACCTGGGAGCCAGGCATGTCCAACATGGAGGCTCCATCTTTTCTTTTTTTGTTAATATGTGTACAGTAAAGGGATGGGCAACATGGTGCAGGCCAGGCAGAGGACCTGCCTGCATATTAGAAGATTAGTATGGGGGCGACCATTTTTTTGTGCCCTATGCAAATGACAAACCTAGTTCTAATGAGTTTTTCATACCCTATGCAGATGGCACACCTGGTCCAACCAATCTTTCACACCCTATGTAAATCAGATACTGCCTCCTCATCAGGCACCTATAAGAGCCCCTGCATTTAACCACAGATCTGACAAGCCATTTCTCTGGGATCCCCCTCTCCAGCAGAAAGCTATTCTCTTTCACCTATTAAACTTCCACTCTTAACCTCACTCTTTGTGTGCCCAGGTCCTTGATTTCCTCAGCCATGAGACAACAAACCTCGGGTATCACCCCCAACAATGAGGCCACTTCATTGTGGGGCCCATCTGGGATCCAAGGTAGATTCATCAGAAGGGTGAGTATAGGAGCAGACCCCAAATCTTTACTTTCATTTTGGGGCCTTCTGCCCTCCATTTTAAAATAAAACCAAAAACATTCGGTGTCTGATGGCCACCTAGATGCCCTTAGGGAATGCCACCCATCTCAAGACTTAGACAACAGGCTTGCTCGGGAGAACTTAGTGAATCCCTCGGTACCCTCAGGGTGCTGGGAATGTTGACTGTGTTTCAAACCAGTTTCCTTTCATGGAGAGCCTAGCTATTGCATGGGGCTGGAAGAGGTCCAGAGGCAACTGATAGTTCCTGGCCAGGGCTACACCCAGGTGTTACCCGAAGGCTTCTGGATTAACCTCAGACTCTGACTGCCCACTGAGCATCAGTAACAGGATCTCCAAGCTTTTCCTATTGCATTTTTCCTTCTTTCCTGTCGACTGCCATGTCTCCTATCCCCTCTCTGTATGAAATGCTGTGGGAATTTTTACACTTCAGGGAAATAATCCTGTTAGATAGCATCAGCAAATGCCATAGTAACCAGGAATATAATGCAAAGGATTGCCATTTTTGTGATTTTCTAGGAATAGAAAGGATCTCCCTTTCCCTGGCAGTGAGCATCTCTCTCCCCGCTTGCTCTGGAGATCACATGGTATTTCAAGGTCTACAGCACCACCTAGTGGAATAGAAATCCTCTCCATGAGGTACCTTGTCAGCCCTTTGCCTAAACACTCTAGTTTTCCAATTCTCCTCCCCTTTTGTACTCCTCTACTAGAGGCCAGGCTTTATGCTCCTTCTGTGAATGGGAAAACTCAACAATGAGGAGGAAAATGCCCTCCAAAACCAAATTTTAGTTTTGATATTGTCCCATCAGCAGGAAAACCACCATTCAGTTCCTACATTCTTTTAAGGCACTTATTCTGCCTCTCATTAAAATGGTACTTAAATAGTAAGGGGATGTAATGTCTTAAAGTTAACCAGAACCACTGCCTAACAATAAATATTTTAGTCCAGGCCATAATAGCAGTATAGAGCTCAACCCAGTACACTCTCTCCATTAAAGGGCCTTGCAAATACAACTGTTATATAGTCTTTCCCAAGAGCCATCTATCAGGTAGCCACATAGATCACAGAAGTTAGGAAGTCAAAGGGAAATCACCAGTGGAGGATTAGAGTTGCATGGGTGAGTGTGACTAAATCCATCACTTAGCTTCTCTAGATCCATGCCTGAGGGACATGCCTGCATCCAAGAGTAGCACCTTTTAACAGATGCCGAGGCTCAGGGAACCAAGAAGGGAAAACAGTTGGGGGATGCTCCCATTGTCTTCCTGTCTACCTTGGGCCATTCTAAAGGAAGGAGGGGAATAAGGGACTCCTTGTCTCCCCTAGCTTTCTAGCCATCTTTAGCCTGCACCCCGCTCAAGTGCATTCTGAAGCACTGAGACTCCTTTAATCCTGAAACTGCTTTTGCACAAGGGCATGGCCTTCTTACTAGACCTTTGCATGCACTGGACAATCAACCAAGCTCTTTTAGCAGTCATATCAGGCAATCCAAAAGGTAATGATTCCCCAAAACTAAAAAAGCAACTTCAGGCAGCTATTGAGTGTCCCGGCTCTTCCTGTCCCCCTTATTTAGGGCCCCCTCCAACTGTGCCATCAGCTCCTCTAGTTCCACTATCTCCAAAATTCCCCACTCCCCCAGCTTCACTCTTACCCCTGCAGGAAATGACCAATGGAGGTGATGCCACTAGGGTTCAAGTTCCTGTCTCATTGCATGACCTTAGGCAAATAAAGGGATACTTAGGCTGATTTTCTGATGACTCCGATAGGTATAAAGAAGCTTTCCAAAATTTAACTCAGGTGTTTGACCTCTCATGGAGAGATGTTATGCTGCTCCTAAGCCAAACCCTAACCGCAGCTGAAAAGCAGGCAGCTCTGCATGCATCAGAGAAATTTGGAGACAAGCAGTATGTTTCTTACAGTAGGCCAAAAAGGAAAAGAGAAAATAGGGAAGGTGAAGAGATAGGGGAACCATCATTCCCAGTAGAGAAGAGAGGCAGTACCTCTTGACAACCCTGATTTGGAACCCTGATGACTCCACAAATGAATGGAAAAGGAAACACTTATTAATGTGCATATTGGAGGGCCTATAAAGAACTAGGAGAGCCAAACCTCTTCATTACTCTAAACTGTCCAAGATAAACCAAAAGCCAGATGAGAATCCTGCAGCCTTTATGGAAAGGCTGAGAGAAGCACTAATAAAACACACCTCCTTATCCCCTACTCAGTCAAGGGACAGCTAACCCTCAAGGACAAGTTTATTATACTGGCAGCTCCCAATATTAGAAGGAAACTGTAGAAGCAGGCTATAGGACCAGATAGCACCTTGAAAAACCACTTGAGGGTGGTTACCTTGGTCTTTCATAATAGGGACCAGAAGGCGGCCCTGGAGAAAGAGAGGAAACGCGAGAGAAGGCAGAGGCTCTAGTAGCTGCTTTGCAAACTTGCAAAGTCCAGGATCCCCAAGGTGTATCCATTAGTTGCTACCAGTGTGGCAAGTCAGGGCACTTTAAGAAGGAGTGCCCAGGCAGCAAGTAGAAGCCACCCCAACCATGTCCAGCCAGTGGTTGGGACCACTGGAGATCAGACTGCCCCTGGAGATGGAGGTCACTGGGTTCAGAACCAGTCTCACAGATGGTCCAACAGGACTGTTGGGTCCTGGGGTTCAGACCCCTGGCTCCAGCAGCTGAAACTGTCATTACTGCACAGGAGCCCCAGGTGATTCTGAAAATTGAAGGAAGGAAGGAAGGTGGACCTTCTTCTAGACATTGGAACCAGCATCCCTCTTCTCCCTAATCCCCTTTTCCCATAGCATGACCATGATGGGCATCTCAGGTAAAGTTCTAACCTGATATTTTTCTCAACCCCTTAGTTGTAGTTGGGAGGACCTATTATTTACTCATGCCTTCTTACTCATGCCTGAAAGTACCACTCCTTCATTAGGCAGAGACATTTTAGCTTGCATGGGGGCCAGCATCCTTATAGCCCCAAGACAAACTCTTTGTTTCCCCCAGGTGGAAGCTATTATTAATCCAGAAGGGTGAGCAACTCAAGGAAAAATAGGCCAGTTCAGATCCATCTTAAGGATCCCACTGCTTTTCTTAACCAGAGACAATATCCCCTAAAGCCAAGGCTAGGAAGGGGCTAGAAGCCATTATTAATAACCTGAAAATGCAGGGCCTCCTCGAACCTTGTAGCAGCCCCTGCAACACCCCAATATTAGGAGTGCAAAAACCCAATGGAGAATGGAGACTAGATCAGATCCTCCACATCATTAATAAGGCCATAGTTCCAACTCATCCAGTGGTCCCTAATCCCTATACTTTGCTAACCCAAATACCTGAGGGAACTAAATGGTTCAGTCCTAGATCTAAAGGATGCCTTTTTCTATATAGCGTTACATCCTGACTCTCAATACCTGTTTGCCTTCGAAGATCCCTCTGGCCAGATGCCCAGTTAACATGGACAGTGCTGCCTCAGGGATTTTGAGACAGTCCCCACTTGTTTGGACAGGTACTGTCAAAGGACCTCTCTGAGTTTTCCCATCCTCAGGTCAGGGTCTTGCCATATGTAGATGACATACTGTTTTGTGCCCCAACTGAGGAAGCATCTCAGGAAGGCAGTGAAGCTCTTCTTAATTTCTTAGCCAACAGAAGATATAAGGTTTCAAAATCTAACATCAAGCTTTGCCAAACCTCAGTGAAGTACCTGGGTGTAGTGTTGTCTGAAGGGACCAGAGCATTAGGGGAAGAAAGGAGTAAGCCAATTTCCTCCTTCCCCCTCCCTAAAACCTTCAAGCAACTAAGAGGATTTGGGGGCATTACAGGATTCTGCAAACTCATCTTGGTATGGTGAGATAGTTTACCCCCTATATCACCTCATAAAAAAAACTCAAGGCCAGGCACGGTGGCTCACACCTGTAATCCCAGCACTTTGGGAGGCCGAGGTGGGCGGATCATGAAGTCAAGAGATCAAGACCATCCTGGCCAACATGGTGAAACCCCGTCTCTACTAAAAATACAAAAATTAGCTGGGCATGGTGGCACACGCCTGTATTCCCAGCTACCCAGGAGGCTGAGACAGGAGAATCGCATGAACCCGGGAGGTGGAGGTTGCAGTGAGCTGAGATCACGCCACTGCGCTCCAGCCTGGGTGACAGCAAGACTCCGTCTCAAAAAAAAAAAAAAAAAAAAAAAAAAAAAGAAAGAAACTCAAGTGGCTAAAACTCATTTCCTAACCTGAGAACCTGAAGCTCAAAAGGCCTTTAATTAGTTAAAACAAGCCTTACTTAAGGTACCAGTCCTCAGCCTTCCCATAGGGAGGGTCTTCAATCTTTTGTATCAGAAAGGAAGGGAATGGCCCTGGGAGTTTTAACTCAAGCCCGAGGACCAGCTCAACAGCCAGTGGGCTCCCTAAGTAAGGAACTTGATTTGGTGGCTAAAGAATGGCTATCATGCCTCTGAGCCATTGCCAAAGTGGCCCTACTGATACCAGAGGCCACCAAATTAACCCTGGGAAATAGCTTAACTGTTTATACCCCACATAATGTAGCACGATTGCTGTCCTCTAAGGGATGCCCTTGGCTAACAGAAAGCTGACTCCCTAAATATCAGGCTCTGATATTAGAAGGGTCTACAATCCAGTTAAAAACTTGCTCTTGCCTAAACTCAGCCACTTTCCTCCCCAAGGAAACTGAGGAACCTGAACATGACTGTGAACAAGTTGTGGTACAGACCTATGCAGCCAGGGAAGCTCTCAGGGAAACTTCCCTAGAAAATCCAGATGGGACGCTCTTCACAAATGGAAGTTCCTTTGTGGAACAAGGAGTCTGTAAGGTGGGATATGCAATGTACACTCTGAATGACATTGAAAGTGCACCCCTCTCCCCAGGCACAAGCATTCAACTAGCTGAACTGATAGCTCTTACAAGAACACTTGAATTAAGCAAGGGAAAGGTAGCTAACATTTACACAGAATCCAAGTATGCTTTCTTAGTTCTTTATGCTCATGCTGCCATTTGGGAGGAAAGACACTTTCCTACTACTAAAGATAACCTATAAAATACCATCAGGAAATTAACAAGTTATTATCCTCAGTTTTCCTTCCACGAGAGGTAGCAGTGATGCATTGTAGGACATCAGAAGGGAGCAGATGAAGTAGCCTAAGGAAACAAGTTAGCTGATGAGGCAGCCAAGTCAGCAGCAAGTCAGCCTCAGGGCCTCAATGCACCTGAAGCCCCCTCTAATCTGGGAAGGCTCCATAAGAGAAATTAAGTCTCAGTACTCCCCTGCAGAGGCAGAGTGGGCCACTTCTCAAGGGTATACTTTTCAGCTCTCAGGATGGCTACAGTAAGAGGACGGCAAACTCCACTTGCCAGCCTCCCGCCAGTGGAAAGTCCTTAAGATCCTTCATCAAGCTTTTCACTTGGGAAAGGATAAAACTTATCAGTGTGCCCAGAGATTTTTCAGGAGAGAACTTAATAACAGTCAAGCAGCTTGTTAGTGCTTGTGAAGTCTGTCTTAAAAATAATCCCTTTGGCTGGGCACGGTGGCTCACACCTGTAATCCCAGCACTTTGGCGGGTGGATCACTTGACATCAGGAGTTCGAGACCAGCCTGGCCAACATTGCAAAACCCCATCTCTACTAATAATACAAAGAAATTAACCAGATGTGGTGGTGCACGCCTGTAATCCCGGTTACTTGGGAGGCTGAGGCACGATAATTGCTTTAACACAGGAGGTGGAGGTTGCAGTGAGCTGAGATCACACCACTACACTGAAGCCTGAGCAACAGAGTGAAACTGTGTCTCAAAATAATAATAATCCCCTTAACAGGCATCTCCTTCCTCCTCAAACCTAAAGGATGGGAAGCCATCCAGGGAAGGACTGGCAGATAGACTTCACCCACGTGCCAAAGAAGAAGGACATCCAATACATCCTGGTATGGGTAGATACTTTCACTAACTGGATAGAAGCATTTCCATGCTGTACAGAAAAGGCCTCCAAGGTAATAAAAGTGTTTGTTACTTAATGAAATAACTCCCCACTTTAGTCTACCTAAGTGCCTTCAAGGTCACAATGGCCCCTTGCTTAAGACAGCTGTCACATAAGGGGTCACAAAGGCACTAGGCATACAGTATCATCTCCATTGTGCTTGGAGACCCCAGTCCTCAGGAAAGGTAGAGAAGACAAACGATATTATCAAAAGACATCTCAGAAAACTGTTCCAAGAAACTAACCTTCCTTGGGTCACTCTTCTTCCCATGGCTTTACTGTGGGTAAGAAATACCCCTTCAAAGTTAGGTCTGACCCCGTTTTAAATGCTGTATTAACAGCCTTTCCTTACAAGTGACTTTCTATTAGACCAAGACACCTCTAAATTGGTTAAGCATGTAACCTCCCTAGCTCACTTCCAACAGGAATTAACACAACTAGCAGAAGCCCAACCCCCCAAAATAGGACCATCATTATTTAACCCAGGATATGTGGTATTAATAAAGACTCTGCCCTCTGTCTCCCTACCTAAGCCCAAGTTAGGAAGGGCCCTACACTGTTCTTTCAACCCCTCAGCGATAAAAGTCACAGGAATGGACTCCTGGATGCATCACTCAAGTCAAAGCCTGGAAACCTGAGAGAGAGAGCAACCCCAGACAGCCCAGAGGAATGTCCTGGATATCCATGTGAAGAAATAGGAGATCTTAAGCTGAAAATCATAAAAGATAAGTAAATGAGTAAGGGCTATTCATCCTACTCAGTCCCACTCCTACCTTATCAGATACTTTCAGTTATTTCTACTTTTCCTCTCGAGATTCGCTGTGAGATACTAGAACTTCTTTTTGATGCATACTTGTGGGAAGATTTTGATTATCCATGAGATTACAGTTGTAACTTCATAGACTCCCAAAGGGAAATTCTTGGTGAGTAAAATTTAAGATGGAAATTATCTACTACACCACCCTTGTGTAAATTGTTATACTTACTCTGCTATTTGCAGTAGGACTATATACTGTGGTACCTGCAATGTAGAATTCTGGATGGAATATTCTAATTGCTGTAATATTCTGCCTAATTTTTACAACAGGATTAATAATTACAGGAAAGATTTAGCCAAGGTTAACACTAAAGTTACTCTAGCCACCCAATAATGTGTTCCTCCCAATCACATCACAAGTCATAAAAGATAGCCCAGGCCTACAATTATCTTCTAATGGCAAGTCAAGGGGGAATATATGTTTTTTTTCAAAGAAAAATGTTGCTTTTATATTACACTTCTGGTAAAGTACAGCGACATCTGGTGGAGGCAACTAGTATTACAACCCATCAAATGGCTATCAGGTATCAAACTCTACTGTCATGGTTATAGCCTATAGTACTCCCACTAATAATGGGATTCTTTTTTTTTATTTTTTATTTTATTATACTTTAAGTTTTAGGGTACATGTGCACATTGTGCAGGTTAGTTACATATGTATACATGTGCCATGCTGGTGCGCTGCACCCACTAACTTGTCATCTAGCATTAGGTATATCTCCCGATGCTATCCCTCCCCCCTCCCCCCACCCCACAACAGTCCCCAGAGTGTGATATTCCCCTTCCTGTGTCCATGTGATCTCATTGTTCAATTCCCACCTATGAGTGAGAATATGCGGTGTTTGGTTTTCTGTTCTTGCGATAGTTTACTGAGAATGATGATTTCCAATTTCATCCATGTCCCTACAAAGGACATGAACTCATCATTTTTTATGGCTGCATAGTATTCTATGGTGTTTATGTGCCACATTTTCTTAATCCAGTCTATCATTGTTGGACATTTGGGTTGGTTCCAAGTCTTTGCTATTGTGAATAATGCTGCAATAAACATACGTGTGCATGTGTCTTTATAGCAGCATGATTTATAATCCTTTGGGTATATACCCAGTAATGGGATGGCTGGGTCAAATGGTATTTCCAGTTCTAGATCCCTGAGGAATCACCACACTGACTTCCACAATGGTTGAACTAGTTTACAGTCCCACCAACAGTGTAAAAGTGTTCCTATTTCTCCACATCCTCTCCAGCACCTGTTGTTTCCTGACTTTTTAATGATTGCCATTCTAACTGGTATGAGATGGTATCTCATTGTGGTTTTGATTTGCATTTCTCTGATGGCCAGTGATGATGAGCATTTTTTCATGTGTTTTTTGGCTGCATAAATGTCTTCTTTTGAGAAGTGTCTGTTCATATCCTTTGCCCACTTTTTGATGGGGTTGTTTGTTTTTTTCTTGTAAATTTGTTTGAGTTCATTGTAGATTCTGGATATTAGCCCTTTGTCAGAGGAGTAGGTTGTGAAAATTTTCTCCCATTTTGTAGGTTGCCTGTTCACTCTGATGGTAGTTTCTTTTGCTGTGCAGAAGCTCTTTAGTTTAATCAGATCCCATTTGTCAGTTTTGGCTTTTGTTGCCATTGCTTTTGGTGTTTTAGACATGAAGTCCTTGCCCCTGCCTGTGTCCTGAATGGTAATGCCTAGGTTTTCTTCTAGGGTTTTTATGGTTTTAGGTCTAACGTTTAAGTCTTTAATCCATCTTGAATTGATTTTTGTATAAGGTGTAAGGAAGGGATCCAGTTTCAGCTTTCTACATATGGCTAGCCAGTTTTCCCAGCACCATTTATTAAATAGGGAATCCTTTCCCCATTGCTTGTTTTTCTCAGGTTTGTCAAAGATCAGATAGTTGTAGATATGCGGCATTATTTCTGAGGGCTCTGTTCTGTTCCATTGGTCTATATCTCTGTTTTGGTACCAGTACCATGCTGTTTTGGTTACTGTAGCCTTATAGTATAGTTTGAAGTCAGGTAGTGTGATGCCTCCAGCTTTGTTCTTTTGGCTTAGGATTGACTTGGCGATGTGGGTTCTTTTTTGGTTCCATATGAACTTTAAAGTAGTTTTTTCCAATTCTGTGAAGAAAGTCATTGGTAGCTTGATGGGGATGGCATTGAATCTGTAAATTACCTTGGGCAGTATGGCCATTTTCACGATATTGATTCTTCCTACCCATGAGCATGGAATGTTCTTCCATTTGTTTGTATCCTCTTTTATTTCCTTGAGCAGTGGTTTGTAGTTCTCCTTGGAGAGGTCCTTCACATCCCTTGTAAGTTGGATTCCTAGGTATTTTATTCTCTTTGAAGCAATTGTGAATGGGAGTTCACTCATGATTTGGCTCTCTGTTTGTCTGTTGTTGGTGTATAAGAATGCTTGTGATTTTTGTACATTGACTTTGTATCCTGAGACTTTGCTGAAGTTGCTTATCAGCTTAAGGAGATTTTGGGCTGAGACAATGGGGTTTTCTAGATATACAATTATGTTGTCTGCAAAGAGGGACAATTTGACTTCCTCTTTTCCTAATTGAATACCCTTTATTTCCTTCTCCTGCCTAATTGCCCTGGCCAGAACTTCCAACACTGTGTTGAATAGGAGTGGTGAGAGAGGGCATCCCTGTCTTGTGCCAGTTTTCAAAGGGAATGCTTCCAGTTTCTGCCCATTCAGTATGATATTGGCTGTGGGTTTGTCATAGATAGCTCTTATTATTTTGAAATACGTCCCATCAATACCTAATTTACTGAGAGTTTTTAGCATGGAGGGTTGTTGAATTTTGTCAAAGGCTTTTTCTGCATCTGTTGAGATAATCATGTGGTTTTTGTCTTTGGCTCTGTTTATATGCTGGATTACATTTATTGATTTGCGTATATTGAACCAGCCTTGCATCCCAGGGATGAAGCCCACTTGATCATGGTGGATAAGCTTTTTGATGTGCTGCTGGATTCGTTTTGTCAGTATTTTATTGAGGATTTTTGCATCAATGTTCATCAAAGATATGGGTCTAAAATTCTCTTTTTTTGCTGTGTCTCTGCCTGGCTTTGGTATCAGAATGATGCTGGCCTCATAAAATGAGTTAGGGAGGATTCCCTCTTTTTCTATTGATTGGAATAGTTTCAGAAGGAATGGTACTAGTTCCTCCTTGTACCTCTGGTAGAATTCGGCTGTGAATCCATCTGGTCCTGGACTCTTTTTGGTTGGTAAGCTATTGATTATTGCCACAATTTCAGCTCCTGTTATTGGTCTATTCAGAGATTCAACTTCTTCCTGGTTTAGTCTTCAGAGAGTGTATGTGTCCAGGAATTTATCCATTTCTTCTAGATTTTCTAGTTTATTTGCATAGAGATGTTTGTAGTATTCTCTGATGGTAGTTTGTATTTCTGTGGGATCGGTGGTGATATCCCCTTTATCATTTTTTATTGCATCTATTCGATTCTTCTTTTTTTCTTTATTAGTCTTGCTAGCGGTCTATCAATTTTGTTGATCCTTTCAAAAAACCAGCTCCTGGATTCATTAATTTTTTGAAGGGTTTTTTGTGTCTCTATTTCCTTCAGTTCTGCTCTGATTTTAGTTATTTCTTGCCTTCTGCTAGCTTTTGAATGTGTTTGCTCTTGCTTTTCTAGTTCTTTTAATTGTGATGTTAGGGTGTCAATTTTGGATCTTTCCTGCTTTCTCTTGTGGGCATTTAGTGCTATAAATTTCCCTCTACAAACTGCTTTGAATGCGTCCCAGAGATTCTGGTATGTTGTGTCTTTGTTCTCGTTGGTTTCAAAGAACATCTTTATTTCTGCCTTCATTTCGTTGTGTACCCAGTAGTCATTCAGGAGCAGGTTGTTCAGTTTCCATGTAGTTGAGCGGTTTTGAGTGAGATTCTTAATCCTGAGTTCCAGTTTGATTGCACTGTGGTCTGAGAGATAGTTTGTTATAATTTCTGTTCTTTTACATTTGCTGAGGAGAGTTTTACTTCCAACTATGTGGTCAATTTTGGAATAGGTGTGGTGTGGTGCTGAAAAAAATGTATATTCTGTTGATTTGGGGTGGAGAGTTCTGTAGATGTCTATTAGGTCCGCTTGGTGCAGAGCTGAGTTCAATTCCTGGGTATCCTTGTTGACTTTCTGTCTCATTGATCTGTCTAATGTTGACAGTGGGGTGTTAAAGTCTCCCATTATTAATGTGTGGGAGTCTAAGTCTCTTTGTAGGTCACTCAGGACTTGCTTTATGAATCTTGGTGCTCCTGTATTGGGTGCATATATATTTAGGATAGTTAGCTCTTCTTGTTGAATTGATCCCTTTACCATTATTTAATGGCCTTCTTTGTCTCTTTTGATCTTTGTTGGTTTAAAGTCTGTTTTATCCGAGACTAGGATTGCAACCCCTGCCTTTTTTTTGTTTTCCATTTGCTTGGTAGATCTTCCTCCATCCTTTTATTTTGAGCCTATGTGCGTCTCTGCACATGAGATGGGTTTCCTGAATACAGCACACTGATGGGTCTTGACTCTTTATCCAATTTGCCAGTCTGTGTCTTTTAATTGGAGCATTTAGTCCATTTACATTTAAAGTTAATATTGTTATGTGTGAATTTGATCCTGTCATTATGATGTTAGCTGGTTATTTTGCTCGTTAGTTGATGCAGTTTCTTCCTAGTCTCGATGGTCTTTACATTTTGGCATGATTTTGCAGCAGCTGGTACCGGTTGTTCCTTTCCATGTTTAGTGCTTCCTTCAGGAGCTCTTGTAAGGCAGGCCTGGTGGTGACAAAAATCCCTTCAGGAGCTCTTGTAAGGCAGGCCTGGTGGTGACAAAATCTCTCAGCATTTGCTTGTCTGTAAAGGATTTTATTTCTCCTTCACTTATGAAGCTTAGTTTGGCTGGATATGAAATTCTGGGTTGAAAATTCTTTTCTTTAAGAATGTTGAATATTGGCCCCCACTCTCTTCTGGCTTGTAGGGTTTCTGCCGAGAGATCCGCTGTTAGTCTGATGGGCTTCCCTTTGAGGGTAACCTGACCTTTCTCTCTGGCTGCCCTTAACATTTTTTCCTTCATTTCAACTTTGGTGAATCTGACAATTATGTGTCTTGGAGTTGCTCTTCTCAAGGAGTATCTTTGTGGCGTTCTCTGTATTTCCTGAATCTGAACGTTGGCCTGCCTTGCTAGATTGGGGAAGTTCTCCTGGATAATATCCTGCAGAGTGTTTTCCAACTTGGTTCCATTCTCCCCATCACTTTCAGGTACACCAAATCAGACGTAGATTTTGGTCTTTTCACATAGTCCCATATTTCTTGGAGGCTTTGCTCATTTCTTTTTATTCTTTTTTCTCTAAACTTCCCTTCTCGCTTCATTTCATTCATTTCATCTTCCATCGCTGATACCCTTTCTTCCAGTTGATTGCATCGGCTCCTGAGGCTTCTGCATTCTTCACGTAGTTCTCGAGCCTTGGTTTTCAGCTCCATCAGCTCCTTTAAGCACTTCTCTGTATTGGTTATTCTAGTTATACATTCTTCTAAATTTTTTTCAAAGTTTTCAACTTCTTTGACTTTGGTTTGAATGTCCTCCCGTAGCTCAGAGTAATTTGATCGTCTGAAGCCTTCTTCTCTCAGCTCGTCAAAGTCATTCTCCATCCAGGTTTGTTCCGTTGCTGGTGAGGAACTGCGTTCCTTTGGAGGAGGAGAGGCGCTCTGCTTTTTAGAGTTTCCAGTTTTTCTGTTGTGTTTTTTCCCCATCTTTGTGGTTTTATCTACTTTTGGTCTTTGATGATGGTGATGTACAGATGGGTTTTTGGTGTGGATGTCCTTTCTGTTTGTTAGTTTTCCTTCTAACAGAGAGGACCCTCAGCTGCAGGTCTGTTGGAGTACCCTGCCGTGTGAGGTGTCAGTGTGCCCCTGCTGGGGGGGTGCCTCCCAGTTAGGCTGCTTGGGGGTCAGGGGTCAGGGACCCACTTGAGGAGGCAGTCTGCCTGTTCTCAGATCTCCAGCTGCATGCTGGGATAACCACTGCTCTCTTCAAAGCTGTCAGACAGGGACATTTAAGTCTGCAGAGGTTACTGCTGTCTTTTTGTTTGTCTGTGCCCTGCCCCCAGAGGTGGAGCCTACAGAGACAGGCAGGCCTCCTTGAGCTGTGGTGGGCTCCACCCAGTTCGAGCTTCCCGGCTGCTTTGTTTACCTAATCAAGCCTGGGCAATGGCGGGCGCCCCTCCCCCAGCCTCGCTGCCGCCTTGCAGTTTGATCTCAGACTGCTGTGCTAGCAATCTGTGAGACTCCGTGGGCGTAGGACCCTCCGAGCCAGGTGCAGGATATAATCTCGTGGTGTGCCGTTTTTTAAGCCCGTTGGAAAAGCGCAGTATTTGGGTGGGAGTGACCTGATTTTCCAGGTGCCGTCCGTCACCCCTTTCTTTGACTCAGGAAGGGAACTCCCTGACCCCTTGCGCTTCCCAAGTGAGGCAATGCCTCGCCCTGCCTTGGCTCGCACACGGTGTGCGCACCCACTGACCTGCGCCCACTGTCTGGCACTCCCTAGTGAGATGAACCCGGTACCTCAGATGGAAATGCAGAAATCACCCGTCTTCTGTGTCGCTCACGCTGGGAGCTGTAGACCGGAGCTGTTCCTATTCGGCCATCTTGGCTCCCAGCGGGATTCTTAATATTCATATTCAAACCCTATATTCTAAACCTTCTTGTAAAATTTATCTCTTCTTGCCTAGAAGCTATTAAACTCCAAATGGTGCTGCAGATGGAACCACACATGGACATGCCTTTCTTCCAAGAACCTTTAGATCAACTCCAGAAGGAGCCTTAGCTGCTGTTCCCCACATGATGCCCCTCTTCAGCAGGAAGTAGCCAGAAAGAGTTGTCCTCCAATACCCCTACCAGCTGTAGTGTTTCCACTCCTCAGGGGGGAAATATGATACAGGGGGTAGAAAGAAATTATTAAGGCAGATAGTGAGGGTAAAAGAGTCCTCAGCAGAGCTTCCCTTTTAACAAAACGCAGTACAAGAAATTATTTTTTTCCAGCCAGGCACGGTAGCTTATGCCTGTAATCGCAGCACTTTGGGAGGCTGAGGCAGGCAGATCATTTGAGGTCAGGAGTTTGAGACCAGCCTGGGCTAACATGGTGAAACCCCATCTTTACTAAAAATACAAAAATTAGCTAGGTGTGTTGGGGCACACCTGTAATTCCAGCTACTCAGGGGGCTGAGGCAGGAGAATCACTTGAACCCACTGCACTCCATCCTGGGTGACAAAGCATTACTCTGTCTCAAAAAAAAAATTATTTTTTTCCAACAAAGAGAAGCCTGAAAAATCAAGCTGCAAACATAGATAAGCGAGCTGGAATCTTGCACAGGGGAATGTCAGCAGCTGTGTCAATAGAAAAGGGCTACCTGTGGGCCAGGCATGTCCAACATAGAGGCTCCATCTTCCCTTTTTTTGTTTGTTACCACATGTACAGTAAAGGAATGGGCAGTGTGGCACAGGCCAGGCAGAGGACCCACCTGCATAATAAAATTTGGTTAGGGGTGACCAGCTTTTCATACCCTATGCAAATGGCACAGCTATTCCTAACCAGTTTTTAGTGTCTATGCACACCTGGTCTAATCAATCTTTTGCACCCTATGTAAATCAGAAACTGCCTCCTCACCAGGCACCTATAAAAACCCCTGCATTTCACTGCAGATCCAGCAACTTATTTCTCTAGGACCCCTCTCTCTAGCAGGGAGCTATTCTTTCTTTCACCTATTAAACTTACGCTCTCTTAAACTCACTCTTTGTGTGTCCATATCCTTTATTTCCTTGGCCATGAGACAATGAACCTTAGGTATCACCCTAGACAACAGGGCTGCTTCAATACCAGAATCTCTGGGACACAGCTAAGGTAGTGTTAAGAGGGAAATTTATAGCATTAAATACCCACATCAAAAAGTTAGAAAGATCTCAAATTAACAACCTAATATCACAACTAGAGAAACTAAAGAAACAAGAGGAAACCAACCCCAAAGCAAGCAAAAAACAAGAAATAACCAAAATCACAGCTGAACTGAAGAAAATTTAGATGCAAAAAACTATTCAAAAGATCCACAGCCTGGATATGGTGGCTAATGCCTGTAATCCCAGCAATTTGGGAGGCTGAGGTGGGATGGTTTCTTGAGCTCAGGAGTTTGAGACCAGCCTGGGCAACACAGTGAGACCTTGTCTCTACAAAATATCAAAAAATTAGCTGGGTATGATGAAGTGCACCTATAGTTCCAGCTACTTGGGAGGCTGAGGTGGGAGGATTGCTTGAGTATGGGAGGTTGAGGCTGCTGTGAACTGAGATCACGCAACTGCGCTCCAGCCTGGGTGACAGAGTGAGACCCTGTCTCAAAGAAGAGAAAAAAGATCAACAAATACAGGAGTTGTTTTTTTGAAAAAGTTAATGAGATAGAGACTGCTAGCTAGATTAATAAAAGAAAGACAGAAGATACAAATAAAAACAATTAGATATGACAAAGGGGATGTTACCACTGACCCCACAGAATTACAAAAAACATCAGAGACTACTACGAACATACGAGGTATAAAACCTAGAAGAAATGGATAAATCCATGGACACATACAACCACCCAAGACTGAACCAGGAAGAAACTGAATCCCTGAATAGACCAATAACAAGTTCTGAAACTGAATCAGTAATAAAAAGCCTGCCAACCAAAAAAAGCCCAGGACAAGACAGAGTCATAGCCAAATTCTATCAGGTGTATAAAGAACTGGTACCATTCCTATTGAAACTATTCCAAAAATTGAGGAAGGACTCCTCCCTAACTCATTCTTTGAGGCCAGCATCATCCTGATACCAAAACCCACCAGAGACACAACAACAACAACAAAATTTCAGGCCAATATCCTTGATGAACATAGATGCAAAAATCCTCAAAAAAATACTGGCAAATCAAATCCAGCAGCACATCAAAAAGTTTATCCACCATGATCAAGTAGGCTTTATTCCTGGGATGCAAGGTTGGTTCAACATATGCAAATCAATAAATGTGATTTATCACATAAACAGAACTAAAAACAAAAACCACATGATCATCTTAATAAATGCAGAAAATGCTTTTGATAAAATTCAACATCATTCATGTTTAAACCTCTCAATAAACTAGGCATTTAAGGAATAAACCTTAAAATAATAAGAGCCATCTATGAGAAACCCATTGCCAACATCATGCTGAATGGGCAAAAGCTGGAAGCATTCCCCTTGAGAACTGGAACAAGACAGGATGCCCACTCTCACCACTCCTATTTGATATAGCACTGCAAGTCCTAGCCAGAGCAATCAGGCAGGAGAAAGAAATGAGAGGCCTCCACATAGGAAGAGAGGAAGTCAGACTATCTCTGTTTGCAAACAATGTGATTCTACACCTAGGAAACGCCATAGTCTCTGCCCAAAAGCTCCTAGATCTGATAAACAACTTCAGCAAAGTTTCAGGATACAAAATCAATGTACAAAATTCAATAGCATTTTTATACACCAACAACCTCCAAACTGAAAGCCAAATCAAGAACACAATCCTGTCCACAATAGCCACAAAAAGAATAACATACCTAGGAATACAGCTACGAGGAAGGTGAAAGAGCTCTACAACAAGAGTTATAAAACACGGCTTAAAAAAAAAAATCAGAAATGACACAAACAAATGGAAAAACATTCCATGCCCGTGATAGGAGGAATCAATACTGTTAAACTGGCCATATTGCCCAAAGCAATTTATAGATTCAATGCTATTCCTATCAAACTACCAATGCCATTCTTCACCAAATTAGAAAAAAGTATTTAAAAATTTATAAATAACCTTTAAAAAAAGCCTGAATAGCCAAGGAAGTCCTAAGCAAAAAGAACAGAGCTGGAGGCATTATGTTACCCAACTTAAAACTATACTACAAGGCTACAGTAACCAAAACAGCATGGTACTGGCACAAGAACAGATACATAGGCCAATGGAACAGGTTAGAGAGGCCAGAAATAATGCCACACGCCTACAACCATCTGATCTTTGACAAAGTTGATGAACATAAACAACAGGAAAAGATTCCCTATTCAATCAATGATGCTGAGATAACTGGCCAGCCATATGCAGAAGATTGAAACTGAACCCCTTCCTTACACCATCTACAAAAACAAACTCAGGATGCATTAAAGACTTAAATGTAAAACCTAAAATTATAAAAATTCTGGAAGATAGATAGCCTAGGAAATACACTTCTGGACATAGGACTGGGCAAAGAGTCCATGACAAAGATGCCTAAAGCAAATGTGACAGAAACAGTAATTGACAAATGAGACCCAATTAAACTAAAGGGCTTTTGCCTAGCAAAGGAAACTATCAACAGAGTAAACAGATAAAGTATAGAATCAGAGAAAATATTTTCAAACTATGTAACCAACAAAGGTCTACTATCCAGAATCTATAAGGTACTTAAATTTATAAGCAAAAAACCACCCCATTAAAAAGTAGGCAAACGACATGAACAGATACTTTTCAAAAGAAGACATAGTGGGGTGGAGCCAAGATGGCCAAATAGGAACAGCTCCAGTCTACAGCTCCCAGCATGAGCGACGCAGAACACAGGTGATTTCTGCATTTCCAACTGAGGTACGGGGTTCATCTCACTGGGGAGTGTCGGAAAGTGGGTGCAGGACAGTGGGTGCAGCGCACCGAGTGTGAGCCAAAGCAGGGCGAGGCATTGCCTCACCCAGGTAGCGCAAGGGGTCAGGGAATTCCCTTTCCTACTCAAAGAAAGGGGTGACAGACGGCACCTGGAAAATCGGGTCACTCCCACCCTAATACTGCGCTTTTCCAACAGTCTTAGCAAACGGCACACCAAGAGATTATATCCCGCACCTGGCTTGGAGGATCCTAGGCCCAAGGAGCCTCACTCATTGCTAGCACAGCAGTCTGATATCAAACTGCAATGGGGCAGTGAGTCTGGGGGAGGGGCACCCGCCATTGCCGAGGCTTGAGTAGGTAAACAAGGCAGCCAGGAAGCTCGAACTGGGTAGAGCCCGCCGCAACTCAAGGAGGCCTGCCTGCCTCTGTAGACTCCACCTCTGAGGGCAGGACATTGCCAAACAAAAGGCAGCAGAATCCTCCGCAGACTTAAATGTCCGTGTCTGACAGCTTTGAAGAGAGTGGTGGTTCTCCCAGCATGCAGCTGGAGATCTGAGAATGGACAGACTGCCTCCTCAAGTGGGTCCCTGACCCCCGAGTAGCCTAACTGGGAGGCACCCCCCAGTAGGGGCAGACTGACACCTCACATGGCCAGGTACTCCTCAGAGACAAAACTTCCAGAGGAACGATCAAGCAGCAACATCTGCTGTTCACCAATATCTGCTGTTCTGCAGCCTCCACCGCTGATACCCAGGCAAACAGGGTCTAGAGTGGACCTCCAGCAAACTCCAACAGACCTGCAGCTTAGGGTCCTGACTGTTAGAAGGAAAACTAACAGAAAGGACATCCACATCAAAACCCCATCTGTACGTCACCATCATCAAAGGCCAAAGGTAGATAAAACCACAAAGATGGGGAAAAAACAGAGCAGAAAAACTGGAAACTCTAAAAATCAGAATGCCTCTCCTCCTCCAAAGGAATGCAGCTCCTCACCAGCAACGGAACAAAGCTGGATGGAGAATGACTTTGACGAGTTGAGAGAAGAAGGCTTCGGACGATCGAACTACTCCAAGCTAAAGGAGGAAGTTCGAACCCATGGCAAAGAAGTTAAAAACCTTGAAAAAGAATTAGACGAATGACTAACTAGAATAACCAATGCAGAGAAGTCCTTAAAGGACCTGATGGAGCTGAAAACCATGGCACGAGAACTACGTGATGAATGCACAAGCCTATTTGATCAACTGGAAGAAAGGGTATCAGTGATGGAAGATCAAATGAATGAAATGAAGCGAGAAGAGAAACTGAGAGAAAAAAGAATAAAAAGAAACAAAGCCTCCAAGAAATATGGGACTATGTGAAAAGACCAAATCTACGTCTGATTGGTGTACCTGAAAGTTACGGGGAGAATGGAACAAGTTGGAAAACACTCTGCAGGATATTATCCAGGAGAACTTCCCCAACCTAGCAAGGCAGGCCAACATTCAAATTCAGGAAATACACAGAACGCCACAAAGATACTCCTCGAGAAGAGCAACTCCAAGATACATAATTGTCAGATTCACCAAAGTTGAAATGAAGGAAAAAATGTTAGGGGCAGCCAGAGAGAAAGGTCGGGTTACCCTCAAAGGGAAGCCCATCAGACTAACAGCTGATCTCTTGACAGAAACTCTACAAGCCAGAAGAGAGTGGGGGCCAATATTCAACATTCTTAAAGAAAAGAATTTTCAACCCAGAATTTCATATCCAGCCAAACTAAGCTTCCTAAGTGAAGGAGAAATAAAATCCTTTACAGACAAGCAAATGCTGAGAGATTTTGTCACCACCAGGCCTGCCTAAAAGAGCTCCTGAAGGAAGCACTAAACATGGAAAGGAACAACCAGTACCAGCCACTGCAAAAACATGCCAAATTGTAAAGACTATCGAGGCTAGGAAGAAACTGCATCAACTAACGAGCAAAATAACCAGCTAACATCATAATGACAGGATCAAATTCACACATAACAATATTAACCTTAAGTGTCAATGGGCTAAATGCTCCAATTAAAAGACACAGACTGGCAAATTCGATAAAGAGTCAAGAACCATCAGTGTGCTGTGTTCAGGAAATCCATCTCATGTGCAGAGACACACATAGGCTCAAAATAAAGGGATGGAGGAAGATCTACCAAGCAAGTGGAAAACAAAAAAAGGCAGGGGTTGCAATTCTAGTCTCTGATAAAACAGACTTTAAACCAACAAAGATCAAAGGAGACGAAGGCCATTACATAATGGTAAAGGGATCAATTCAACAAGAAGAGCTAACTATCCTAAATATATATGCACCCAATACAGGAGCACCCAGATTCATAAAGCAAGTGCTTAGAGACCTACAAAGAGACTTAGACTCCCACACAATAATAATGGGAGACTTTAACACCCCACTGTCAACATTAAACAGATCAATGAGACAGAAAGTTAACAAGGATATCCAGGAATTGAACTTAGCTCTGCACCAAGCAGACCTAATAGACATCTACAGAACTCTCCACCCCAAATCAACAGAATATACATTCTTCTCAGCATCACACCACACTTATTTCAAAATTGACCACACAGTTGGAAGTAAAGCACTCATCAGCAAATGTAAAAGAACAGAAATTATAACAAACTGTCTCTCAGACCACAGTGCAGTCAAACTAGAACTCAGGATTAAGAAACTCACTCAAACCCGCTCAACTACATGGAAACTGAACAACCTGCTCCTGAATGACTACTGGGTACACAACGAAATGAAGGCAGAAATAAAGATGTTCTTTAAAACCAATGAGAACAAAGACACAACATACCAGAATCCCTGGGACACATTCAAAGCAGTGTGTAGAGGGAAATTTATAGCACTAAATGCCCACAAGAGAAAGCAGGAAATATCTAAAATTGACACCCTAACATCACAATTAAAAGAACTAGAGAAGCAAGAGCAAACACATTCAAAAGCTAGCAGAAGGCAAGAAATAACTAAGATCAGAGCAGAACTGAAGGAAATAGAGACACAAAAAACCCTTCAAAAAAATCAATGAATCCAGGAGCTGGTGTTTTGAAAAGATCAACAAAATTGATAGACCGCTAGCAAGACTAATAAAGAAGAAAAGAGAGAAGAATCAAATAGATGCAATAAAAAGTGATAAAGGGGATATCACCACTGATCCCACAGAAATACAAACTACCATCAGAGAATACTATAAACACCTCTATGCAAATAAACTAGAAAATCTAGAAGAAATGGATAAATTCCTCAACACATACACCCTCCCAAGGCTAAACCAGGAAGAAGTTGAATCTCTGAATAGACCAATAACAGGAGCTGAAATTGAGACAATAATTAATAGCTTACCAACCAAAAAACGTCCAGGACCAGATGGATTCACAGCTGAATTCTACTAGAGGTACAAGGAGGAGCTGGTACCATTCCTTCTGAAACTATTCCAATCAATAGAAAAAGAGGGAATCCTCCCTAATTCATTTTATGAGGCCAGCATCATCCTGATACCAAAGCCTGGCAGAGACACAACAAAAAAAGAGTATTTTAGACCAATATCCCTGATGAACATTGATGCAAAAATCCTCAATAAAATACTGGCAAACCGAATCCAGCAGCACATCAAAAAGCTTATCCACCACGATGAAGTGGGCTTCATCCCTGGGATGCAAGGCTGGTTCAACATATGCAAATCAATAAACATAATCCAACATATAAACAGAACCAATGACAAAAACCATATGATTATCTCAATAGATGCAGAAAAGGCCTTTGACAAAATTCAACAGCCCTTCATGCTAAAAACTCTCAATAAATTAGGTATTGATTGGACATATCTGAAAATAGTAAGAGCTATTTATGACAAACCCACAGCCAATATCATACTGAATGGGCAGAAACTGGAAGCATCCCCTTTGAAAACTGGCACAAGACAGGGAAGCCCTCTCTCACCACTCCTATTCAACATAGTGTTGGAAGTTCTGGCCAGGGCAATCAGGCAGGAGAAGGAAATAAAGGGTATTCAATCAAGAAAAGAGGAAGTCAAATTGTCCCTGTTTGCAGATGACATGACTGTGTATCTAGAAAACCCCATTGTCTCAGCCCAAAATCTCCTTAAGCTGATAGGCAACTTCAGCAAAGTCTCAGGATACAAAATCAATGTGCAAAAATCACAAGCATTCTTATACACCAATAACAGACAAACAGAGAGCCAAATCATGAGTGAACTCCCATTCACAATTGCTTCAAAGAGAATAAAATACCTAGGAATCCAACTTACAAGCAATGTGAAGGACCTCTTCAAGGAGAACTACAAACCACTGCTCAATGAAATAAAAGAGGATACAAACAAATGGAAGAACCTTCCATGCTCATGGATAGGAAGAATCAGTATTATGAAAATGGCCATACTGCCCAAGGTAATTTATAGATTCAATGCCATCTGCATCAAGCTACCAATGACTTTCTTCACAGAATTGGAAAAAACTACTTTAAAGTTCATATGGAACCAAAAAAGAGCCCGCATCGCCAAGTCAATCCTAAGCCAAAAGAACAAAGCTGGAGGCATCACGCTACCTGACTTCAAACTGTACTACAAGGCTACAGTAACCAAAACAGCATGGTACCGGTACCAAAACAGAGATATAGACCAATGGAACAGAACAGAGCCCTCAGAAATAACGCTGCATATCTACAACCATCTGATCTTTGACAAACCTGACAAAAACAAGAAATGGGGAAATGATTCCCTATTTAATAAGTGGTGCCGGGAAAACTGCCTAGCCATATGTAGAAAGCTGAAACTGGATCCCGTCCTTACCCCTTATACAAAAATTAATTCAAGATGGATTAAAGACTTAAATGTTAGACCTAAAACCATAAAAGCCCTAGAAGAAAACCTAGGCATTACCATTCAGGACATAGGCATGGGCAAGGACTTCATGTCTAAAACACCAAAAGCAATGGCAACAAAAGCCAAAATTGACAAATGGGATCTAATTAAACTAAAGAGCTTCTGCACAGCAAAATAAACTACCATCAGAGTGAACAGGCAACCTACAGAATGGGAGAACATTTTTGCAATCTACTCATCTGACAAAGGGCTAATATCCAGAATCTACAATGAACTCAAACAAATTTACAAGAAAAAAACAAACAACCCCATCAAAAAGTGGGTGAAGGATATGAACAGACACTTCTCAAAAGAAGACATTTATGCAGCCAAAAGACACATGAAAAAATGCTCATCATCACTGGCCATCAGAGAAATGCAAATCAAAACCACAATGAGATACCATCTCACACCAGTTAGAATGGTGATCATTAAAAAGTCAGGAAACAACAGGTGCTGGAGAGGATGTGGAGAAATAGGAACACTTTTACACTGTTGGTGGGACTGTAAACTAGTTCAACCGTTGTGGAAGTCAGTGTGGCAATTCCTCAGGGATCTAGAACTAGAAATACCATTTGACCCAGAAATCCCATTACTGGGTATATACCCAAAGGATTATAAGTCATGCTGCTGTAAAGACACATGCACATGTATGTTTATTGTGGCACTATTCACAATAGCAAAGACTTGGAACCAACCCAAATGTCCAACAATGACAGACTGGATTAAGAAAATGTGCCACATATACACCATGGAATACTATGCAGCCATAAAAAATGATGAGTTCATGTCCTTTGTAGGGACATGTATGAAGCTGGAAATCATCATTCTCAGCAAACTATCTCAAGGACAGAAAACCAAACACTGCATGTTCTCACTCATAGGTGGGAATTGAACAATGAGAACACATGGACACAGGAAGGGAACATCACACACTGGGGCCTGTTGTGGGGTGGGGGAGGGGGAGGGATAGCATTTGGAGTTATACCTAACATTAAATGATGAGCTGCTGGGTGCAGCACACCAACATGGCACATGTATATATATGTAACTAACCTGCACGTTGTGCACATGTACCCTAAAACTTGAAGTATAATAAAAAATAAAAATAAATAAAAAAATAAAGACTTCAAAAGAAAAAAAAAAGGAGACATACATCCTGCCAATAAGCATATGAAAAAATGCTCAACATCACTAATCATTAGAAAAATGCAAATCAAAACCATAATGAGATATTAATATCATGTACGCCAGTCAGAATTACTATTATGAAAATGTCAAAAAAACAACAGATGCTGTCAAAGTTGTGGAGTAAAGGGAAGGCTTATACACTGCTGGTGGAAATATAAATTAGTTCAGCCATTGTGGAAAGCAGTTTTGCAACTTCTGAAAGAACTTAAAAACAGAATTACTATTGGATCCAGCAATACCACTATTGGGTATATACCCAAAGGGATATAAATCAATCTATTACAAAGATATATGCACATGTATGTTCACCGCAGCACTATTCACAATAACAAAGACATGGAATCAACCTAAATACCAATCAATGGTAGACTGGATGAAGAAAATGTACATATTTTGGTGTGATACATATACACCATGGAATACTATGTAGCCATAAAAAAAGAATGAAATCATGTCCTTTGCAGAAACACAGATGAGCTGGAGACCATTATCCTAAGAAAATTAACACAGGAATAGAAAACCAAGTACTGAATGTTCTCACTTGTAAGTGGGAGCTAAACATCAAGTACATATTAACACAAAGAAAAGAAAAACAGGCACCAGGATCTACTTGAGGGTAGAGGGTGGGTAAAGGGTGAGGACTGAAGAACTACCTGTCCAGTACTATTCTTATTACCTGGGTGATGAGATAATCTGTACATCAAACCCCCCATGACATGCAATTTACCTATATAATGAACTTGTACATGTACCCCATGTTAGTCCGTTCTCACATTGCTATAAGAACTGCCTGAGACTGAGTAATTTATAAAGAAAATTGACTCACAGTTCTGTATGGCTTAGGAGGCCTCAGGAAACTTACAATCATGGCAGAAAGCGAGGGGGAGGCAGGCACCTTCTTCACAAGGTGGCAGGTGAGAGAATGAATGAAGAAGAAACTTGCCAAACACTTAACATAACTATCAGATCTAATGAGAACTCACTATCATGAGAACAACATGGGGAGAACTGCCACCATGATCCAATGACTTCCCACTGGGTGGGGATTATGGGGATTACAATTAATTCAAGATGAGATTTGAGTGGAGACACAGCCAAACCATATCAACCCTTGAACCCAAAATAAAAGATTAAAAAATCAAGATTTTCTCTTAAAAATGTCATCTATACTATTATAGATAAAATTAACATAGGTAGTAATAAAAGAAGATATAAAACTGTCCAGGGATATGAAATACCAATTCATAGAAGTAGAAAACCAAATAGCTAAGTAAATGGAGAATGCTTAACACTGACCGCAGACAGAAAAGTGCACATTAAAACAAATATCAGTAACCAAAGAGGGCAGAGCAAGATGGCAGAATAGAAGCCTACACCATTTGTCCCCCCGTCCCCTAAACACCAAATTTTAACAGTTATCTACACACTGAATAGCACTATCACAAGAACAAAAACGCAGGTGAGCAATTACAGTAACTGGTTTTAACTTCACATCACTGAAAGAGGTATTGAGGAGGGCAGGAGAGACAGTCTTAAATCATCAATGCCACTCCTCCTCCATCCCCTGGCAGAAGCCATGTGGTGCAGAGACAGAATCTGTGCATTTTGCGGATGGAGAGCACAGCAACCGAGGGACCTTACATTGAACTCCGTGCTGCCCTGTCACAGCAGAGAATAAAGCCATGCTGGGCTCAGCTGGTGCTGGTGCACAGAGGCAGAATTTGGACTAGCCCCTAGCCAGAGGGGAATCACCCATCTCAGCTGTTGGAACTGAAGTTTCTTGGCCAGCCTTGCCACCATTGGCTGAAGTGCAATGGAGTTCTAGATAAACTTGAAAGGCAATCTAGGACACAAGAGCTGTAATTCTTAGGCAACTCCTAGTGTTAGGCTGGGCTTAGAGTCAGTGAACTAGGGTGGCACATGACCTAGAGAGACACCAGCTGGCGCAGCTAAGGGAGTGCTTGTGCCACCCCTCCCCTAACCCCAGGCAGTGCAGTTCACAGCAAGAAAAGTGTCTCCTTCCTTCTACTTAAGGAGAGGAGAGCTAGTAAAGAAGATTTCGTCTTGTATCTTGGATACCAGCTTAGGCACAGGATAGGGCACTGGGAAGACTTGTGAGGCCTCATTCCAGGCCCTAGTTCTTAAACATTTCTAAACACACTCTTGGCCAAAAGGGAAAACTGCTTTCAAGGGAAGGACTCAGTCCTGGCAGGATTCATCACATGGCCCTTGATAACCCTAGCTCCCTGACAACATTTCTAAACACACCCTGGGCCAAAAGGGAACCTGCTGCTTTGAAGGGAAGGACCTAGTACTGGCAAGATTCATCCCCTGTTGACTAAAGAGCCCTTCGGCCCTGAATAACCAGCAGCAATACTGAGGGAGTACACTATGGGCCTTAAGGCCTGAGATGTCCTGGCTTCAGGGGTGATGGAGCACATTTCCAGATGTAGTGGCTATGGTGAAAGACTCAAACAGAAGTTTGAGAAAAGCAGAGGGAAAAGTAAAAGAGAGTTTGTCTTGCACCATTGGCACTGGCTCGGCCACAGTAAGGTAAAGCAACAAGCAGCCTCTTAAGGTCTCTGAGTCCAGACCTAGGTTCCTGGACAGCATTTCTGGGCCCACTCTGGGCAAGAGAGGAGTTCACTGCTCTGAAGGGTGAGTCCCAGGCCTGGTAGCATTTACCACAACCTGTGGGAAGATCCCTTGGGCTTTAAGCAAATATTGTCAGTGGCCTGGCAGAAACCCCCATGAACTGGTGGTGGTAGCCACAGAGAGGCTCCTCTGCCTGTGGAAAGGGGAGGGAAGCGTGGGAAGGACTTTGTACTATGGTTTGAGTGCCAGCTTAGCTGCAGTAGAATAGAATATCGTGTAAATTGCTAAGGTGCTTGACTCCACTCGCTGGCTCCCAGACAGCATCTCTGGACACACCCAGGGCCTGGGGAAACTTGCCAACCTGAAGGGAAGGGCACTGGGCAAAGCCCAGTGCTGTGTTGGCTTCGGGTCTGACACAGCACCAGTGGTGGGGGCCACAGGGGTGCTTGCATCACCGCACCCTCAGTTTCAGATGGCTTGGAAAAGAGAGAGATTCCATATGTTTGGCAGAAAGTAAGGGAAAAGAACAAGAGTCTCCGCCTGGTAATCCAGAGAATTCTTCCAGATCTTACCTAAGACAACCAAGATGGTGCATGTACAAGTTTGCAAAAATCACAGCATTATTGGGCTTGGGGTCCAAGTCCCTTCAAATACCTGGAAAGCCTTCCCAAGAAGGACAAGCACAAATAAGCCCAGATTATGATGACTACAGTAAATCACCAGAGACATTTAAGAGTGTCAACATGATCCAGGAAAACATGACCTCACCAAATGAACTAAATAAGGCACCAGGGACCAATCCTGGAGAAACAGAGATGTATGACCTTTCAGACAGAGAATTCAAAACAGCTATTTTGAGGAAACTCAAAGAAATTCAAGATAACACAAAGAAGGAATTCAGAATTCTATCAGATAAATTTAACAAACAGATCGAAATAATTAAAAAGAATCAAGCAGAAATTCTAGAGCTGAAAAATGTAATTGATATACTAAAGAATGCATCAGTCTCTTGAGAGCAGAAAGGATCAAGCAGAAGAATTAGTGAGCTCAACAGACTATTTGAAAATACCAGAGAAGACAAAAGAAAAAAGAATAAAAAAACAGTGAAGTATGCCTACCAGATCCAGAAAATAGCCTTAAAAAGCACAAATCTAATGGCCTTAAAGAGGAGGTAGAACATGAGATAGGGATAGAAAGTTTATTCAAATGGATAATATCAGAGAACTTCCCAAACCTAGAGAAAGATACCAACATTCAAGCATAAGAAAGTTATAGAACACCAAGTAGATTTAAGCCTAAGAAGCCTACTTCAAGGCATTTAATCAAATTCCCAAAGGTCAAGGATCCTAAAAGCAGTAAGAGATAAGAAACAACATACAATGGAGCACCAATATATCTGGCAGGAGGCTTTTCAGTGGAAACCTTACAGGCCAGGAGAGAGTGGCATGACATATTTAAACTGCTAAAAAAAAAAAAAAAAGAAAAAAAAAAACTTTAACCCCAGAATAGTAGATCCAGTGAAAATATTCTTTAAGCATGAAGGAGAAATAAAAACCTTTCCAGACAAACAAAAGCTGAGGGATTTCATTAACACAAGATATGTCCTACAAGAAATGCAAAAGGAAGTTCTTCAGTCTCAATAAAGGATGTTAATGAGCAAGAAGAAATCATCTGAAGGTCCAAAACTCACTGGTAATACTAAGCACACAGAAAAACACAAAATAGCATAATTCTGTAGTGGTCATGTGTAAACTTCTCTTGACTTAAGTAGAAAGGCTAAATGATGAACCAATAAAAAATAATAATTACAACAACTTTTCAAGACATAGTATAATAAGACATAAATAGAAACAACAAAAAGTTAGTAAGTTGGGGGACAAAGTTAAAGTGTTGAGTTTTTGTTAGTTTTCTTTTGACATGTTTGTTTGTGCAATCAGTGTTAAGTTGTCATCAGTTTAAAATAACGGGTTATAAGATAGTATTTGCAAGCCTTATGGCAACCTCAAATCAAAAAATATACGATGGATACACAAAAAATAAAATGCAAGAAATTAAAACATATTACCAGAGAAAATCACCTTCAGTAAAAGGAAGACAAGAGGGAAAGAAGGAAGAGAAGACCATAAAACAACAAGAAAATACAACAAAATGGCAGGAGTAAGTCCCTGCTTAATAGTAACATTAAATGTAAATAACTAAACTCTCCAATAAAGACAAGGTAGCTAAATGGATGTAAAAACAAGACCCAGTAATTTGCTGCCTACAAGAAACACACCTCATCTAAAAAGATACACATAGACTAAAAATAAAGGGATGGAAAAAGATATTCCATGCAAGTGGAAACCAAAAAGGGGAAGGAATAGCTATACTTATATCAGACAAAATAGATTTCAAGACAAAAACTTTAAGAAGATAATTAAAAAAACAAAGAAGATAATTATATAATGATAAAGGGGTCAATTCAGCAAGAAGATATACTGATTACAAATATATATGCACCCACCACTGGAGCACCCAGATATATAAAGCAAGTATTATTGGAGATAGAATCCAACACAGTAATAGCTGGAGACTTCAACACCCCACTTTCAGCATTGGACAGATCTCCCAGACAGAAAATCAACAAAGAAACACTGGACTTAATCTGCATCATAGAAAAAATGGACTTAACAGATATTTACAGAACATTTCATCCAGTGGCTTCAGAATACACATTTTTATCCTCAGCACATGGATCATTTTCAAGTATAGACCATATGTTAGGTCACAAAACAAGTCTTAAAACATTTTTAAAAAATCTTGAAATAATATCAAACATCTTCTCTGACCATAATGGAATAAAATTAGAAATCAATGATAAGAGGAATTTTGGAAACTATACAAACACATAGAAATTAAACAATATGCTACTAAATGACCCATGGATCAATGAAGAAATTAAGATGGAAATTTTAAAATTTTCTTGAAACAAATGATAATGGACACAACATACCAAAACATATAAGATACAGCAAAAACAGTACTAATAGGAAAATTTATAGCTCCAAGTGCCTACATAAAAAACTAGAAAAACTTCAAATAAATAACCTAATGATGCATCTTAAAGAACTAGAGAAGCAAGAGCAAACCAAACCCAAAAGTAGTAGAAGAAAAGAGATAATAAATATCTGAGCACAAATAAATGAATTTGAAATGAGGCAAACACTACACAAGACCAATGAAACAAAAAGTTGGTTTTTTGAAAAGATAAACAAAATTCAGTAACCTTTAGTTAGGCTAAGAAAAAAACAGAAGACCCAAATAAATAAAATCAGAGATAAAAAAGGAGATATTACAGCTGTTACTGAAGAAATTCAGAGGATCATAAGTGGCTACTATGAACAACTATATGCCAATAAATTGGAAAATCTAGAAGAAATGGATAAATTCTAGACATATACAATCTACCAAGATTGAACTATGAGGAAATTCAAAACCTAAACAGACCATTAACAAGTAACGTGATTGAAACCATAATAAAAAGTCTCCCAGTAAAGAAAAGCCTGAGACATCATGGCTTCACTGCTGAATTCTACCAAACATTTAAAGAACTAATACCAATCCTATTCAAACTGTTCGGAAAGATAAAGGAGGAGGGAATACTTCCAAACTCATTCTATGAGGCCAGCATTACCCTGATACCAAAACCAGACAAACACACATTAAAAAAAATAATAATACTGACCAGCCTGGCCATCATGGTGAAACCCTGTCTCTACTAAAAATACAAAAAATTAGCCAGGCGTGGTGGCAGACACCTGTAATCCCAGCTATTTGGCAGGCTGAGGCAGGAGAATCTCTTGAACCCAGGAGGCGGAGGTTGCAGTGAGCCGAGAAACCGCCACTGCACTCCAGCCTGGGCAATAAAAGCGAAACTCTGTCTCAAAAAAATCAATAAAATAAATAAATAAAATAATAATAATAATACAGGCCAATATATCTGATGAATATTGATGCAGAAATCCTCAACAAAATACTAGCAAAACAAATTCAACAGTATATTAAGAAGATCATTCATCGGCCAGGCGCAGTGGCTCATGCCTGTAATCCCAGCACTTTGGGAGGCCAAGGTGGGCGGATCACCTGAGGTCGGGAGTTCAAGACCAGCCTGATCAACATGGAGAAACCCCATGTCTACTGAAAATACAAAATTAGCCAGGCATGGTGGCATATGCCTGTAATCCCAGCTACTTGGGAGGCTGAGGCAGGAGAATCACTTGAACCTGGGAGGTGGAGGCTGCGGTGAGCCAAGATCGTGCCATTGCACTCCAGCCTTGGCAACAAGAGTGAAACTCCATCTCAAGAAAAAAAAAAAATCATTAATTATGGCCAAGTGGGATTTATCCCAGGGATGCAAGGATGTTTCAACACACACAAATCAATCAATGTGATACATCACATCAACAGAATGAAGGACTAAAACCATATGATCATTTCAATTGATGCTGAAAAAGCATTTGATATAGTTCAACATCCCTTCATAATAAAAACCCTCAAAAAACTAGGTATAGAAGAACCACACCTCAACATATTAAAAGCTATATATGACAGACACATAGTTAGTATCGTACTAAATGGGGAAAAACTGAAAGCCTTTCCTCTTATATGTGGAACATGACAAGGATACCCACTTTTACCACCATTATTCAACTGATTACTGGAAGTCTTAGCTACAGCAATCAAAGAGAAAGAAATAAAGGGGATCCAAACCGGAAGGGAGGAAGTTGAATTATCCCTGTTTGCAGATGATATGATCTTATATTGGAAAAACCTAAAGACTCCACCAAAAAATGATTAGAACTGATAAGCAGATTCAGTAAAGTTTCAGGACTCGAAGTCAACATACAAAATTGGTAGCATTTCTATATGCCAACAGTGAACAATCTGAAAAAGAAATAAAAAAGGAATCCCATTTACAATAGCCACCAATAAAATACCTAGGAATTAACCAAAGAAGTAAAAGATCTCTACAATAAAAACTATAAAACACCAATGAAAGAAATTGAAAAGGACACATAAAAATGGAAAGATATCCCATGTTCATGGATTGGAGGAATCAATATTGTTAAAATGTCCACAGTACTGAAAGCATTCTAGAGATTCAATACAATCCCTACAAAATACCAATGACATTCTTCACAGAAATAGAAAAAAACTATCTTAAAATTTATATGGAACCACAAAAGACCCAGAATGGCCAAATCTATCCTGAGCAAAAAGAACAAAACTAGAGGAATCACATTACCTGACTTCAAATTATACTATAAAGCTACAGTAACCAAAACAGTATGGTACTGGCATAAAAATGGACACACAGACCAATGGAACAGAATAGAGAACCTAGAAATAAATCCACACACCTACAGTAAACCGATTTTCGACAAGGGTGCCAAGAACACACATTGGGGAAAAGACAGTCTCTTCAATAAATGGTTCTGGGATAAGAGGATATCCATATGCAGAAGAATTAAACTTGACTCCATCTCTTGCCTTTTATTTGAATTAAATATAAGACCTCAAACTGTGAAACACCTACAAGAAAACATTGAGGAAACTTTCCAGGACACTGGTCTGGGCAAAATTTTCTTGAGTAGTAATATCTCACAAGCACAGGCAACCAAAGCAAAAATAGACAAATGGGATCACATCAAGTTAAAAAGCTTCTGTACAACAAAGGAAATAATCAACAAAGAGACAACCCACAGAATGGGAGAAAACATGTGCAAACTACCCATCTGACAAGGGATTAATAATCAGAATATATAAGGAGCTCAAACAACTCCACAGGGAAAAATCTAATAATCTGACTAAAAAATGGGCAAAAGATCTGAATAAACATTTTTCAAAAGAAGTCATTCAAATGGAAAACAGCATATCAAAAGGTTCTTAACATCACTGACCATCAGAGAAATGCAAATCAAAACTACAATGAGATATCATCTCACCCTAGTTAAAATGGCTGTTATCCAAAAGTCAGGCAATAACAAATGCTGGTGAGGATGTGGAGAAAAGGGAACCCTCATACACTGTTGCTGGGAATGTAAATTAGCACAACCACTATGAAGAACAGTTTGGAAGTTCCTCACAAAACTAAAAATACAGCTACCATATGATCCAGCAATCCCAATGCTGAGTATATACCCAAAAGAAGGGAAATCGGTATATCAGAGAGATATCTGCACTCTTATGTTTGTTGCAGCAGTGTTCACAATAGCCAAGATTTGGAAGCAACCTACGCATCCATCAACAGATGAATGGATAAAGAAAATGTGGTACATATATACAATGGAGTACTATTCGGCCATTAAAAAGAATGAGATTCTATCATTTGCAAGAACGTGGATGGAACTGGAGGTCCCTATGTTAAGTGAAATAAGCCAGGCACAGAAGGACAAAAATTGCATATTCTCACTTATTTGTGGGATCTGAAAATCAAAACAATTGAACTCATGGACACAGAGAGTAGAAAGATGGTTACCAGAGGCTGGGAAGGATAGTGGGGGCCTGGGGGAGAGGTGGGGATGGTTAATTGATACAAAAAAAATAGAATGAATAAGACCTAGTATTTGGTAGCACAACAGGGGGACTATAGTCAATAATACTTTAATTTAATTGTACATTTAAAAATAACTAAAAGAGTATATTACATGCCTATACCAAAATATCTCATGTGCCCCATAAATATGTACATCTACTATGTACCCACAAAAATTATAAATTAAAAAGTTTTTAAAGATAAATATCACTTTACACCTACCCAGAATAATAAAACTTAGAAAAACTATAAAGTAAGATAATACCAAGTATTGATAAGGACATAGGAAGACAAGAACCCTTATGTACTACTTGTGTGAGTGTACACTGAAGCAACTATTTTGAAGAACAATCAGGTGGCAATTTTTAAAACTACATATACATATACTCTGTCATCCATCAATCCCACTTCTGGGTAAATACTCCAGGAAAACCCTGGCACAGTGGTATATGCAAAAGATGTTCACAAGGTTGTTCATTGTAGCACCATTTGTAGTAAGAGAGTTATAAGCAACCTAAGTGTTCATCAGTAAGGGAAGAGATGTGTGAAATGTGTTTAGAGCATATATTGTAGAATACTCTGCATTAGTTAAAAGTCAGTAACTAGGCTGGGCGCGGTGGCTCACGCCTGTAATCCCAACACTTTGGGAGGCTGAGGCAGGCAGATCATGAGGTCAGGAGATCGAGACCATCCTGGCTAACATGATGAAACCCTGTCTCCACTAAAAATACAAAAAATTAGCCGGGCATGGTGGCGGGCGCTTGTAGTCCCAGGAACTCAAGAGGCTGAGGCAGGAGAATGGCGAGAACCCAGGAGGCAGAGCTTGCAGTGAGCGGAGATCGCACCATTGCACTCCAGCCTGGGCAACAGCGTGAGACTCCGTCTCAAAAAAATAAAATAAAAAGCCAATAACTAGATGGACATATGGCAAGAAGGAAAGGTCTTAAAAACAATGTTGACTGAAAAAATCAAGTAACAGAAAGAGCTCAAGACCATATTACCATTATGTAAATTACAAACACATTACACACAAAATAATATATATTTTACAAAGATAAATACATATATGCAGGAAAATATATCCAAGATAAAAGTAGACATTTATATGAAAACAGGAAATGGGAGTAGGAATTAAGGATGAAAGAAAAAAAATAAGAGGGTAAGAAGAACTTTGAAGAGATTAAAAATTATACTGTATTAGGACCTGAGTTGTATTGTAAACAGAAGTCTCTGCTCCTAAGTTATACATATGTACACATGATAAAGAACCTAAGAATGAGGTTCAATCTTTCAGTCTAAAGAATCATTGGTATATAATTTTAAAAATTAAAACCAATCTAAATTATTGTTAGAGTTTATTACATTATGGGAAGTGATGGGAGTAGGGTGGCATAGATAGATGCATATTAAAATTTTCTTATTAAAAAAGAAGACATGTATTTGGTTGATTCTAGGTGTTGATAGACAAAAGTGAGTTTTAAAATGTGAATTAAAAGTTTTAGGGTAATAGCCAGGTGCAGTGGTCCCAGCTACTTGGGAGGCTGAGGCAGGAGGATCACTTGAGCCCCAGAGTTCAACAATACAGTTTGAGCACGATCGTGTAACCGCACTTCAGCCTGGGGTGATAGGGTGAGACTCTGTCTCTAAAAAGAAAAAAAAAAAAGTTTTAGGGTAACCATTAGAGATACAGACATGAGATTTCTTGCTTTAAACAATTAGTGAAAAGATTGGAATTGAAAGAAAACTTAGTGCTCACAAGAAGAAAAAAAAGAAAAAGCATAGGTAAATAGAAAACACACTAATGGTAGAAATAAGGTGAAATGTATCAATAATCACCATGTGAGTTAAATTCTTCTATGAAAAAAGACTCATTAAGAATCATATAAGCAAAAATATGCAGTACTATATTGTTTTTAAGATATCCTAAAATAAATATTCATATCAAACAAAATAGAGGCCCAAGTCAAAACCAAAATTATTTATCTACCTGGGATATTTTACAACGATTAAAATACACAACCTACCAAGATAAAAGTCACAAACCTAATAACAGAGAACCAAACCAACTTCACAGTAAAAAAAAAAAAAAAAAAAGCCAGAAATGCAAGGAGATACTGACAAATCTACAACAGTGGGGACAGACTTTAATATACCTATTTCCAAAGTTAACAAACCAAGCAGACAGAAAATTATTTTAGGGAGAATCTGAATAACATAATTGTGCCCTTTATTAAGTTGTTACTATTATTATTTGTAGAGACAGGGTCTCACTCTGCTGCCAGGCTGGAGAGCAGTGGCGTGATCATAGCTCACTACAGGCTCAAGGGATCCTCCTGCCTCAGCCCCCAGTAGCCAGGACTATAGGTGCATGCCATCACACCCAGCTAATTTTTTAATTTTTTATAGAGATAGGGTCTCGTTCTGTCATCCAGGCCAGAGGGCAGTGGCATGATCATAGCTCACTGCATGCCTGAAACTCCTGGCCTCAAACAATTCTCCAGCCTTGGCCTCCCAAAATAACTGCCACTGTGCCCGGCCAGTTATTAGTATTATTTTTAACTTTGAAATCCATCTTTCTTTATTCTGCTTTAGAATGCTGGAGCTGAGGCTCTCAAAACCGTATTTCTGCTTTGACCGCTGGTTTCCTGTTAGACTCTGACAATATGGGTGGTGCTAAAGGGAGACTGCAAAGCTGGAAGAGGAAAAAGGGGCTTATCTCTTCCTATCTGCTTCCCATGGGTTTCCTAACTGCTTGTGCTTCCTGTGAATGCCACTGGAATAATGTGGTTTTTGATTTGTTTTGTTTTTGCTGTAGTCTAGCAAGTCTTTCCCCAGCAGTAGCTGAATCTAGTTTGCAGTTTTTCCAACTTTTATAAACTAGCTTCACTGTGACTCCTCCACAGGCACCAGCACCAGCTGGCCAGTATCCTCAGAGATCTGGGTCTCAGCTACATGAAGCCCATCATAGCTCGGAGACACCAGCAGCCAAGCAGCACCGCTTCCCCAGAGGTCTAAATTTCAGGTGTCAGGAGCACCTCTTCCAAGCTTCTAAAGTTGCATAATTTCAACCTCATTCTACAAAGAAAACTCCAGGCTCAGGTGGTCTCATGGTGAATTCTTCCAAAATTTAAGGATAAAATAATAATAGTATATAAACTTTCCTAGGAAACAGAAATAAAACTTCCAAAACACATTTTATCAGGCAAGCATAACCTTGATTATAAATCCTAACAAGAATACTGTAACAAAAGAAATCAATACACCAACACATCTCCCAAACATAGATGCAAACATCCTTGACAAAGAATCAGCAAATTCAATTCGTGATATTCACCATGACCAAGTGAGACTTTCAGAATAAACTCTCAGAAGTGTATTTCCACCATGAGGGTAGAATTTCTGGGACAAGGGGTGTCACTCACCTGTCCGGTCAACATCCTTTTTCATGGGCAGTACAGTATAATCCAGTTGCTCATCTGAGTCCTCAAGCATCCTTGGCTTGGACTGCAGCATGAATTGGGGCTCTTTATGGGGACTTCCCCTGCCTCCATTCCAGTCTACTGACTCGTCATAGAGCTGAACTTGCTGTAGGTATGGGATCCTGATAATCCTGTTTTCATCCAAGCTTAACTTCTTCAGTCTTCAATTAAGGAAAGTGAATATAGAATCATAGCAATAATGATACCTCAGGATTGTTTACCAAGCAACTTTAGGGAAAAAACATGGAATCAGGCTTGGATACTTATTCCTCTTGTGTGACGTTGAGCCGGTGACTTACTCTCTCTGGGATTCAATATCCCTGTCTCTAAAATGGGGATAATATTTATTAACCTTTCAGGGTTCTTGTGAAGATTTAATGAGGCAATATGTAAATGGCCTGGCACAAAGTAGTATTCAGTAAATGGTAGTTGAAACCAAAGTAAATTTTCCAGAGAAGTAAAGCTTAACAATGTAAATGCCACTATTTTCTTTACTTCAGTTAGAATTCAGGAATTAAATTTCTCTTTCTGATTCTCAATATTTTAAAAAATTTTCCTGTCTCTACTGTCAGGGTCCGAATCCTATCTTGGGTAAAATCTCCTCCTGTTTTCCTTTCTCTTTGCTGCTTCTAATTCAGTCATGTGATCAGAAATGTCCTCACTCATGGCCATTTTTATGGAGGAGCCAAAGCTCAGAGGGGAGAAATGACTTACCCATGGCCACACAGTAGAGATAAATTGTGGAGCTAGGCTTTAAACCCAAACCTTTTGGCTTCCAGAACAGCACTCAGAGTGTGAGCAAGCCTGGGGATTAGAGGAGGCCCAGCAGAGAAAGGCTTATGGCTTTACCTCCTGAGCCCAGCCAGGCTGGCAAAGCAACTGGGGTTGGAGAGTCTGTTGTCATCCAGCATCAGTGTCTCCAGCGCTGGGAACCTCAGGATGTACCTCTTGCTTGTCAGCGATGTTACAGATGCCTCCCTGTGAGTGCAAAGATCTTGGGTAATGAGCAAGGTCGAGGGACAAATTCCACCATTCCCAGGAAGCCATGGAGGACAGGGAATCAATTAGGAGGACTAACCAGCTTAGGAACGGTTCTAGTGCCCAAAAGAGGTCCCCATAGGGATGCACAGAAAGTATAATTCCTTCCCCACCTTCTCCTTTCCCAAACACTATTATACATACCATATTGTCTTCTGTATGGAGAAAGGTTACACACATCATTGAAACCAGGTTAGGGCAGGATGGGGGATTGTATAGGTAGTGCTTATAGAAAATGCCAGGTGAAAGAGGCATGACCAAGCTGGAGGGAGCATTCTGCAGATCACTGCACAATTTTGACTCAGGAAGACTCCTTGTTATGCTGTGTCACCTAGTAGACTGGTAACTGGGAGCACCAGGAGACAATGCCCTTGTTATAGACCACAGCTTTGCCACCTAGTAGGGTAAAGTAGGGTGGGTTGAGGGCACCACCCCTGGCTGCAGTGAGGCTCTCTTCTCAAGTGGCTTCATAAAATGAACACATGAGTAAGGAGTGGAGAAGTTTCTCCTTAAACTCAAACTCTCTGAAGATTCCCAGAAATACCTAAGAGTGAGATTTATGGGGGTGATGCCCTGAATTACAGGGGTGGGCAGGAAGTGGTGGCATTTTAAGTACCGCCATTAATGTGACCTCACTTGTGTCCTCCAGGTAGATGAGACCTAGGTAACTCTCTTCCACACAGGCAGATGACACAAATAACGTTTTCATTCTTCCCTCCATACTGTATGCCACCCACACACCAAAATAGTACACATAGGCACAAATGCATATAGTATACACATATATAAGCCACAAACACACACACAACTAGAGGAAGGGAAACAAACATTTCTTTAGCACCTAATGCATTTCTGGCATTGTGCGATATGTTTTGTATGTGTTATCCAAGGATAGGTATTATTTATCTCCTTTACAGATTAACAAAATGAAGCTCAGAGCAACTTGCCTGAAGTCGCATAGCTAGAAAGTGGGATGACTCAAACTAGAACCTGGGTCTGCCTGACTCCAAATCCCATGCCCTTTCCACTGCCAAATCACACCTTTCACATTCACCTCTACTAGCCCCATGTGGATTAAAGGGTGGGGAAATGGAAGGGGGAGCTGATGCCTGAGCTAGAGAGAGCTTAACAAAGGTTGGCAGTGAGTTCAAAAGCTAGGACAGTAATGTATACCTGAAGTCAGGGATATTTCACAGGTGCATTTAGAGAGGGTATATTCTAAATGAATGTATTACTAATTAATTCGTTCATTCACACTCATGAATTTCTTTAACATATATTTATGTGGCCAGGTACTGAGACTACAAATAAAAGAACACATCCCTCCCCTCTAGGTGGAGTAGGTGGACACGCAGCCTGTGGTGAGACAAACACCATAAAAGAAGTATGTGGGGAAGGCGCCTATTCGGGAAAGGCAATGTTTAAGCAAAACCATGAGGAATGGAGAGGGAATTGTCATGCTTTTAACCAATGTGAAAAAGAGAGAACAGGGAAAAAAATAATCTCTTCGTGGCTGGATCTGTAACATAATTAGTAGCTATAGGCAGCCATGTTTCCCATCATGAGGTCTAGAAAGACACAGGCAGCCCACCTGTAAAGAAAAATGTGGCAAGTCACAGAGAGGAGGAGGTGTGAAAGCTGAGAGACAGAACTTCCAGGCTGCTCCACGGTGCTCAGGGTCTATGTTCAGCATGACCCTCAGGCACGGCTGTGAGATTCCCCAATGTTCTTACAATCAATTCCCCCCTGCCTTTTTTTCTGTATCCTAACACTGACAGACTTCTATAGATTATGACAGTTCTGACTGGAAAAAGGGACAGGTCAGATAAACTTTCAGAAAGAGACCTGGCAGCACTGTAGAGAACAGGCTTGAAGTCCAAAGACCAGAGACACTTAACAGAGAAGGCAGGAAGCTTTTATACTTCATAATATTTCAAGGTCATGAGTGTGCCCTTTCCTCTTTCTGGAAGGACCAACTTTCATACATTGAATTTTTAATCTCTATCTGAGCTATTACAGAACAGTGCACAGCAGCTGTGTTGATTTATAATTGATTGGCCAATCTTAATTTTACTCTAGTGAAATATGAAACAGCTAAGAAATAAGCCTTTAAAAAATTCCTCTTAAGCTCCATAATGCAGAAGCTGGCTCTGTCTCGTCTCTTGTGACAAGTTACACTACTTCGTCTTTTTAAAGTTCTACCCTAATTATAGCATGGGAAAGTTTCATTTTTTGTCTCTAAAATAGACATCTTAAAATAGAGGGGCAGCCATCAGATGGGTGAGAAGACAGATGTCTAGCTTCAGAGGAAAGCAGCAGGCTTTCCCACCGAGCCCCTCCTGTGGCAGTTTTGGAAGAAAAGCTCTTCAAAGTGGCAAAGTCTGTCAGTAGTGGAGAAGCCGGGGTTTCCAGCTGTTCAGAGTGGTGCTATTTTTATTATCACTTCTCTTGCCAAACAGAATTACTACTACTTAAAATCTGAGAGATTTAATGAAAGTTTTTCAGAAGCTAAGGGTATGTGCAGTGGTTGGATTCAGCAATGGGAATTTGTGTACCATATTAGAAGATGCATGGGAAGGGTGGCCAGGATCCCTGAGCTCTGGCTCCGGTGCTGCTGCTGCTTTGCTTGCTGTGTGACTTCCGGCTGGTGTTGAGCATCTCTGGGCCTAGATCCTCTATCTGTATGGTAAAGGGGGATTTCTTTTACTTTACACTGTAAGACTTTCGATTAGGCTAAAAATATTGCTCAAAAGACTGAACCAAGGGCTGCAACAAACAAGATGAAACTTAGCAAGTACTTACATTACGACAAATGTCAGATCAGCTTCTGTGTTAAGATACAGAACACCAACTGTGCAAACACACAGAATAAGGGAGACATGGCTTAACAAACTGTGTGTGTGTAAAAGGGGATTATGATGTGGCTACTAAAAAGCTAGTGCTCTTTCAGGTGGCGTTATTTGGAATATAGTGACTAAAAGAAAGGAGGTAACAATTCATCCTCTGCTCTGTGCTGGTCGTGCCTGAGAACGCCGACTTGTATGGTCTGAAGCAGAAAGAGAGTAGGCCTAATGAAAGAGCCAAAGTAGCAGATTCCAGCTCAAAACAAGCAATAGAGTAGTCTACGTATAGAATGGGTCAAATATGATTCCCCTAACTCACCCAGACAAAAAAAATAGCAAGAAATGGAGACACAAATAGTTCAGAATAGATGAGGTATATGATGAATGGAAAAAGTGAAGAGAAAGGAGGATGGAGAAGCAGGCAGAGTCAGGCCATGAAAAGCTTTGAGCGATGTTAATGGAGTTTATCTTTAGGATAGTGGGAACCTGCTAAAGGACTTTAAGCAGGGCAGTGATAGAATCACATGTGCATTTCAGAAAGATCACTCTGGCTGACAGATAGGAGGATGGGCTGGGAGGCAAGAAACTGCAGACTGGGACCAAACAGGAGGATAACAGCAATGAGCAGGTTTGAGAAGAATTTAGAAAGTACAATTCACAGCACCTGGTGATTGAATGTATGTGTGGAATGAGGGAGGCCAAAATTTGGGCTAATGCTCAGGTTCTAGCCTGGACAACTACATAGTAGGTGGGAAGAAGTGCCAGTCAATGAGGCCAGGAAAGGAAAGAAAGGAGGAGAGAGCGAGAAGGAGGGCTTAATGGCATGGGGATGTGTGTGAGGAGTTTGATAAGTAGGCTAAACAGGCTTATAATTCAGAAGACTTGCGAAGAGGAGGCCACCAATAAAGAGTATAAAGATAAAGAAAAATAGTAGGTTAAGGGTGGATGACTGGGGAGCACCAACGTTTAAGAGGCTAGCAGAAAAGGAACCCACAGAGCATACTGAATCTAGATAGATGAGTGGGAAGAAAATAATGACAATGGTATTGGTCTGGAGCCCCACAGCTTTATTTTTATTTTTGTAGAGATAAGGTCTCACTACGTTGCCCAGGCTGGCCTCAAACTCCTGGGCTCAAACAATCCTCCTGCCTCAGCCTCCCAAAGTGCTGGGATTACAAGTGTGAGTGACCATGCCTGGCCAACCCACAGCTTTCAAAGCGTGCTGATTTCAACTGCTACTCTGATGCAGGTAGGAATACATTTATTCTCCCCCTCATATATAAGAACATGAAAGTGCAGGGTGGGGGAGACTTGCCTTATTTTATGTAACTAGGCTTTCCACTGAAAACAACTAGAATGATGAATAAAATATAAAAAGAAAAAAGATCCATCATTTTATTTATTTTCTTTTGTAGAGATGGGGTCTTGCTATGGTTGCCTAGGCTGGACTTGAACTCCTGGCCTAAAACGATCTTCCCACCTTGGCCTCCCAAGTAGCTGGCACTACAGGCACACACCACCATTCCCCGTGGTGGTGGATCCATCATTTTAATATGTATAAGAGATGTGAAGAGAGAAAGGAAGCAGTATGCCAAATCTAAAAACCCAGAGGGAGAAACTTAACATAGGAAGCCACTCAAGCCTTGAGGGCATATACTTATCCTGTTGAAACTGAACTATGGTTTAACAGTATCATGGGGCTAGAGAATCAAAGCCCAGGGTACCCTGAAGGTGGGGAGTTTAATCAGAGACCCTTTATATGAATTTCGGATCCTAAAGGGATACACCCTCAGGGTGAAATTAACCAAAACTAAACCTATTCTCCTTATCCCATAGCCAGGAGAAAACTGTCTTGGAGTGAACAGAGAAAGACAAGGGGAAGGGCAGACTGGTCCTCTTGCAAAACTGTAGCCCAAATCTGTATCATCAGAGTGATTCAGAAAACACCCAGTCAGGAATTTAGCTTAAGCTGATTCCATCCTGAGTGACTCTAGGTACCAAAATAAATAGAAAGGTTTATAGTGTTGCAAACTAAATAATGTGGGACCAACTCTTCCCTGAGTAAAAAACTAGAAAACCCAGACAAAATATACATTTAAAAACAATCTGCCTTAAGATACCTGGGAACTAACAAGCTGTGAAGAATTATGGCGCTAAGATTTGAAAAAAGAAGGAAATCCAAAGGGGTTCATGCAACACTTTTCCCCTAGGACTGTCTGCTGACTCCAGAAGTGGCTGAGAGGCTGAGAAGTTGAGCAGAGATTCTGACAACCCTGCTGGGCCAGGGGCGAAAATTGGAATCCAAGGCATGCCACAGAATAGAAGCCTGACTACTCATGCTCTAAGTTAGGTCATTAGAAAACCAAACCCTCGGAGGACGTATACACTAGAAATAGTATGGACGTTGCAGAGACTGAAGACTAGCTTCAAATAATTTCAATTTTTATAATTGAATTAAGATGATTTGAAATTATTAGTGATGTAGATCACCAGAAAACCCTTGATCTGGTGGGCAAAAAGTGATTTGAGTTGTCCAAAGAAAGAGCCATGGCCTCTCATTCAGTTCCTATTTACATTTAACTTAAAACTAATTAAGCTTAAATAAAATTGAACATTCAGTTCCTGTATCACACTAGCTACATTTCAAGTGCTCAAGAGCTCAATATGCCTAGTAGCTACACTATGAACAACACAGATATAGAACATTTCCAACACTGTAGTAAGTTCTACTGAACAGTGCTAAATTAGGCCTTGTAAGGATTACTAGACAGTGTCTGCAAATTGGTGCTCATCTCTGGGGATATGAAAGGCATGGTGGACCATCACTCAAAAGTGGGGGATCATAAAGGTCAGATGGAAGAATGAAAATTTAGCCAAAGTCTGTTTCACAATGGACCCAGTGAAGTCACATATCTACCCTGAACGTGTAACTGAAACTGACATACTAAACAACTGGCAGAACACCCACATTTATTTACTGAGCAACAAAGTATATAGCCCATTATAGTAGGAAGTGTCCAATTGAAACCCCAGGAACTTTTCTTCCCAATAGTAAACCAAAAACAATACTGAATCCCTGAGGTAATTGCAGAGATTACTGCCATCACTAAAGATTAAAAAGATGGAAGGATAATGATTCCTATGACATCCCTGTTTAACATCTCTTGTTTAGAAGATTGTTATGTATTGTGAAGAAGATATCCTTTGTTTATTTAGCTTGTACAGAAAACAGGTTTTGAAGAATGATTGTAGATTCCTGTAAGCTTAATCAAGAGGTGACTCCCACTTTCAGCTGCTATTCCAGGTGTGGAATCTTTTTACTGGAGCAAATCAACCAAGCCCCTGGCACTGTGGATACAGCTAAGGACCTATCAAATGTTTCTTTCTCTCTCTTTATCAATTAATAAGAACTACCAAAAGCAGTCTGCTTTCACCTGACAGGGACAACAGTACACCTTTTTCCTCTTCTCTTGGGGCCATATCAACTCCGGGATCTTGGTTATTTTGATATCCTACAGAATATCATACTGACTGGACCTGGCGAGCAGGAAAAGTTGCAAACACCCTAGATGCCTTAGTAAGATACCTGTGTGTTACAGGATGGAGGTAAGCCCCCTCCCCCATCAAAATTCAGGGTACTACGATATGGATTAATTTTTTGTTGTTATCCAGGTATCTGAAGCATGTTGTGATGTACTTCTAATGTGAAAGACATAATCCTGTACCTTGCTTCTTATTTATCTTACACTACTTGTAGGAAAAAAATCACAAAGTTTCACTGGCCTTTGTGGATTTTATTTTTATTTATTTTATTTATTTATTTTTTGAGATGGAGTCTCACTCTGTCGCCTGGGGTTGGAGTGCAGTGGTGTGATCTTGGCTCACTGAAACCACTGCCTCCCAGGTTCAAGCGATTCTCCTGCTTCAGTCTCCCGAGTAGCTGGGATTACAGGCGCCCGCCACCACATCTGACTAATTTTTGTATTTTTAGTAGAGACAGGGTTTTGCCACATTGGCCAAGCTGGTCTCGAACTCCTGACCTCAAGTGATCCACCTGCCTCGGCCTCCCAAAGTGTTGGGATTACAGGCGTGAGCCACCGTGCCCATCCCCCTTTTAAATTTTAGAAGTGACATAAAATATTTGGTGCTGTTCTAACTCATTTACTAAGTATCCCACAAGGCTGCTAGTTTTGAGTGAGGTCCAGAGCAAGGCAAGGTTCTACAACAGGTCCCAACTGTAATGCAAGTTGCTCTTCCATTGGGCATATGACTCAGCAGGTCCAAATGGCTTCTAAAGGACTATGGCAAATAGGTGTGCTGTACAGATAGGGTACCATACATCCTGGATTTCAATGATAGCCTGAGTTTTCACCTGTTATCGCCAAATAATTATTACTACTGTCCCTTTTCCCTCTCATATATGTCCTGGTTTGGATGATAAAGTACATGGTCATTCTATGAATAGAGCCTTTTCTCGGTACCCATAGCAGATTCATTTTTGAGCAAAGTTATGCCCTATTCTGCAGATAACCTTTTTTTTTTTTTTTTGAAAAACAATTTCTTGCTTACTAGTGCATGTTGGTAGAGGCCAAATACCTGACCACAGGATACTATGTGATCATGCAACCTGAGCCACTCATCATGAACTGAACATGCAACAGAAATCCCCCATCAAGTGAAAGCAATATTTGAAATCAGGCTCCAGCAAGACTGGAAAAGTTGCAGGAATATATGGCTTAGATTCCTATGGCGCATACTCCTGCTGTACTGCTACCTCTTCATCAACCCTTAACTAAGGTCCTGTGGCCATCTAATATAGGAAGAAAAACCTCTAGCTTGGTTTACAAATGACTTAGCATGATATGCTGATACCTTCTCAAAGTCAACTATTACAATATTATAGCCCCACACAGGAGTGACCAAAAACACAGGGGAAGAGAAATCTTCTAAGCAGGCAGAACTTAGAGCAATGTATCTGATTGGCCATTTGCTTGGTCAGAGAGATAGCCAGAAATACAGATCTATACTGATTCACGGGCAGTGGCTGATGGTTTAGCTGAATAGTCAAAGCTTGGAAAAAATATGGGAAAGTTGCTTAAAGTATAGAGAAAAATTATGTGACTTAACCTCTCAGAATGGATAGAGTGTGAAGACCGTGTCTCATATGACTGTTTCCCCAAGACAATCCCCTGTGGCGGAGACTCTCAATGGTCAGGAAGATAAGGTAACCCAATCCATGAATGTCAGTTGCCCTCTTTCCCTTGGTGGCAGGGATGAAGGCTACACACTTCCTTTCACCATAGCAAATCTGGTTATGACCCTTGCTGAGTACTCAACCTGCCAATGGCAGAGGCCACTGCTGAACCCCTAATATGGCACCGAATTTCTAGAGGGATTATACAGCTGTCTAGTATCAAGTTGACTTTAAAAAGCAGCAGCAAGTTTCCTTTACTAGATTATAAATGTATTTTTGGATATAGATTTGCCTTCCCTGCCCACAATGTTCTACAAGTGGAATAGAAACTGTTGATACAATAATACTAGCTTTTGTAATTGCCCATGTATTTACCTTTAATGAGAGCTTTATTCCTTCTTACAGCTTTGAGTTACTGTCTAGCATCCTTTCATTTCAACCTGCAAAACTCCCTCCAGTATTTACGCAGGGCGGGACTGGTGGTAATGAATTTTTTTTACCTTTTGTTTATCTGGGAATGTCTTAATTTCTTCCATACTTTGGAAGAACACTTCTGCTGGATGTAGGATTCCTGATTGACAGGTTTTTTTTTCTTTTAGCACTTTAAATATTTAATATATCAGCCCACTGCCTTCTGGCCTTAAAAGTTTCTGACAAGAAGTCTGCTGATAATCTTATTGAAGATTCCTTGTATGTGATGAGTTGCTTCTCTCTCACTGCTTTCAAGATCCTCTGTCTTTTAACAGTCTGATTATAATATGACTCAGTGGAGGTCTCTTTGAGTTCATCCTATCTTGGAGTTCACTGAGCCTCATGTATGTTTATATTCATGTCATTCATCAAACTTGGGAAGTTTTAGGCTATTATTTCTTCAAATAATCTCTCCGTGCTTTCTCTCTTCTCCTTCTGGGACTTTCATAATACATAGGTTGGTTTGCTTGATGGTATCCCAATCCCACAGGTCCCTTAGGCTTTGTTCAAGTCAATCTTTTTTTTTCCTCTTGTTTCTCTGACTTGATACATTTAATTGTTCTGTCTTCAAGTTTGCTGATTCTCTCTTCTGACTGCTCGAATCTGCCTTTGAAACTCTCCAGTGAATTTTTCATTTCTTATTCTAATTTTCAGGTTCAAAATTTCTTTTTAGGTTGTCTATCTCTTTGTTGATATTTCCATTTTGTTAATATATCATTTTCTTGACTTTATTCATATCTTTCATTAGTTCTTTGAAAACCTTTAAGACAGCTGTTTTAAAGTCTTTATCTAGTAAGTACTCACTTTCTCAGGGATAGTTTCTGTTGCTTAATTTTTTCCTTTGGATGGGCCATATTTTTCTGTTTCTTTGTATGCCTTGTGATTTTTTTGTTGAAAGCTGAATATTTGAATCTATTAATATGGTAACTCTAGAAATCAGATTCTTCCCTTTACCAGGGTTTGCTGGGTTTTTTTGTTTCGTGTTTGATTATTGCAGGCTGTCTCTGTGTCAAGGATCAGGCTGATGTGTAAATGTAAGTTCTTCTCAGGTCTTTTCTAAGCCTGTGCATTTCTCTGGATATATGTGGTGACATTCTAATTTCCTCTGTATATGCAGCTGATTTTGAATGTCCTAGACTTTAATGCCTGGCTCCCAAAAGATGGGGAAAGGAATGAGGATTAAGAAAAGAAATCCTTTAAATTCCCTGGAAGTCTCTTCAGCTGGAGCAGAAAGGGCTTATGACAGTTGTGGATGGGTGTGTGTGCAACAATGGTTGTGTGCCTCTGTGTGCACCTCAATGATGAGAAGTAGCAATCAGTGATCACAGCACAAATCTCTAAAATTTGGAGGACAGAGATCTTTTTGTCCACCCTGGCTCCTGCAAGCTGCATGTGAATTACCCAATGAATATATTTCTTATTCTAATTTTCAGGTTTAAAATTTGAACCATGAGATTGGGAGTTAGGGGATGGGTAGCTGCTACCGGGTTAAAGCTGTAATTGACTGAAATTAGTTGCAGTTTGTCATCTAAATCTTCCCCTGGAAGACGTAAACTTTTAATAGAGTGTGAAGATTATTTGTGTCCACAGTTTCAAAATTGTTACATCAGACTGATTCTGGCAATGAAATTGTTGTCTAGATGAGGAGACAGATTCTTGGTGCTTCCTACTCCATCATCTTCCCAGAATCCTCTAGTGAAATAGTCTTTGATGATTTATCTACTATACCAATTAGATATAGTTAGGGAAGTTGGGACCCTAACTTAACAGCATAGGATATCACATAAACCAAAACTGATACTGTTTTTCTCATAACCACAACCTAAGGTCCTAGGAATTAATGGAAATGAAAGTAGCTCCTCTTACAATTATATCTAATAGTCCACTTGCAGAATTTTTGCTTCTCATTCTACAACTTTTGGCACTTCTGATTTACAGGTCTTAGTTCCTAAGGAGGTACTTTTACCAAGAGACACAATCATGGTTCCACTGAACTGGAAGTCGAGATTGCTACCAGCCACTTGCATTTCTCATTTCACTGAACCAACAGTCAGACAAAGAGGGGTTCATTCTACTGGCTAGGTGACTGATATTGTTTATAAAAATAAATATAATTGCTGTTATACCTTGAGGTTAAAAAAAAAAAAGTATCTCTGGGACTAGAGTATTATCTGGTGCTCCTCTAAGAAGTTCCATGTCTTTTAGTCTTTTAATGAAGACTACAGCAACCCAGTAAAAGCAGGACCTTAAAGGACTCAGACCCTTCAGAAGTGAAGGTTCAGAAGACCACATCAGTTAAAGAACCCCAACCAGCCAAGGTGCTGGAAGATGACAGAGGAACATTAAATAGGTGATGGAAAAAAGGATTTACAAATATCCACTATGGCCTCCTGACCAGTTAAGAAAAGATCACTGTAGCAACTATGCATATTTTCGTGTGCATTTTCTTCCTTCCTTAGTGTGTGTGTGTGTGTGTGTGTGTGTGCACTCGCATGCACACTTAAACTGCTAGTGGTGACTGACTTTACAACTTAGTTTTTAGGATATAAAATATCCATAAATTTCTTTAGAAGAGAAAATAATATCATCCAGCAATGGCTACAGTAACTGATGGAACTGTGTCTCATCCTTCTTGAGGGGATGGTGAAAGTGTCTTCAGTATAAGAGGAAGAGTTCCTTCATGTTAGGTAAAAGCATGTTGCAGTTGCTATTGTTGTATGGAAATTAAATATGGAGGGAAGCAGGAGGGTAGCTATTGGGGTTCCAAGGGTTGAATGGTGCCAGTTATCTGCCTATTTGCTCTCAGCCTTCACCCCTTCCTTCTGTGTTCTTCTATGTATTGTAGGGGGCTGGAGCCATCTCCTTAACTACACTTCCCAGACTGCCTTTCCAACTAGTTGGATACTGCCAATAGAAGGGATTCATGAGAGACTGGAAGGCCAGAGCCAGGGAGAAGCAACTCTCTTGTCTGGCTTCTGATAGCATTTCTGTCAGCAGCAGCAGTGATAGTGCAACAGCAATGGCAGTACTAACCATGGTAACTGCGTTGGCAGAGATTCCAGCCTTGGTTGAGGCATCACATCTTCAGCAGGTCTACAATTACAGTGACACCCTCCCTGAAAGCCCAGCAGTGGATATAGACTTGTTGACTTCAGTTTAGCAGTGATGCAGCTTCTGATCTCTGGTTATCAACGCTTCTTACTTTTTGTTCTTCCCATACCCCTCTTCTCCACTTAGCTCTTCCATCCCTTCTAACAGCCATGTAACCAATTCCCTCTCTATCACTGGTGATATTTTAGGTGGAATAATGGTTCTCTGGGTATGATTTTTAAGAGTGCTTACCTTTTAGAGCTACATACTGGAATATTTATAGATGAAATAATATGAAACATTTATGGCTGTATATATCTGAGATTTTTCTTCAGAATATTCCAGGAGGGGGCGTGATGGGGGCATAGATGAAACAAGATTGGCCATGACTTGATAATTGTCAGGTGATAATTGTTGGTGATAGGTACCTGGAGTCAATTTTATGATAGACTCTAATTTTATATGTGTTTAAAAACTTTCCATAACAAAATACCAATTACCTCTCCCTGCCAAGAATTAATAAATGAATAAACCAATCAGTAAACCAATTAATACCATCTATTTGTAATACCTTGAGTGGGTTTTGTATTTCTGTCTACAGCCTGACTGGCTCATGGAGAAAGCCTACCTAAGAATGAAGCCGGGACCCGGCAGAATGGCTCCTGTGAAGAAGGGTGGCAAGAAGAAAAAGGGCCGTTCTGCCATCAATGAGGTGGTGACCCGAGAATACACCATCAACATTCACAAGTGCATCCATGGAGTGGGCTTCAAGAAGCATGCCCCTTGAGCACTCAAAGAGATTCGGAAATTTGTCAGGAAGGAGATGGGAACTCTAGATGTGCACAACTGATACCAGGCTCAACAAGGCTGTCTGGGCCAAAGGAATAAGGAATGTCCCATGCCGAATCCATGTGCAGTTGTCCAGAGAATATAATGAGGATGAAGATTCACCAAATAAGCTCTGTACTTCGGTTACCTATGTACCTGTTACCACTTTCAAAAATCTATAGACAGTCATTGTGGATGAGAACTAATCACTGATTGTCAACTATATCAAACAAAGTTATAAAACTGCAAAAAAAAAAAAAAAAATGAAGCCAACACCAAGGAAAACAAAGATGTCTTCATGTGTATGACAGAACAAGTAACAGACTAACAGAAGCTGCACACATGCTCAAGAAATAGAGATGCACGCAGAGACCTGACAACATCCTGTGCGCCTATATCCAGCCAAAGCATCCAGCAGACTGACCTCATGATTTTTCACATACATGAACCAATAAATTCCCTTTTTTGTTTAAGCCACTTTGAATTGGACTTCTGTTACTTGCAAACAAAACAACCCTAACTAATGAAACCCCTAATAAATGATCACTACTATTATCTCAACCCCCTTGAGCAACTAGCCAACCACAATCATCACCATATAAAATCTAAGTAACTTATTACATATATACACATATATATATTAGGCATAAGCCACAATAGAATGTGCTAAGTATTAAATTAACTGTGGAAACACTAAATTAAACTGATCCTTAGAGAAGGGATTAAGAGGCATGGGCTAAAGCAGTCAGAGAAGGCTCCTGGTAGGGAAAGGAGGAAGGTCTGAGCTGGGCCTTAGAAAATGTACAGAATCTACATGAGAATATAATATAACAGTCATGAGTATGGTCTCTGGAGTCTGATAGACTTGATTCAAATCCTGGATCTGTTACCAACTAGCTTTGCAACTTTGGGCAAGTTACTTAAATGTCTGTACTTATTTCCTCATCTAAAAAATGTGGATAATAATAGGAGACCTACCTCACAGAGCTGTTATGAGGATTTAATGAGTTAACATACATAATGCCGAGAATACTGTCTGGCACATTGTAAGTACTACATATGTGTTTTTATTACTATTAAGAGGAAGGACCAGCCAGAGGAATGGCCTCAGCAAAGGTGCAGAGTGGGAAGGTACAAAGGTTATCTAGAGACCAGGGAACAGACTTACTGAGCTGACACAGGGGGCTCATGAAGGAGAATTGTCTGGCAAGACAGTTTACAGATGACCAGTCAGAGGCAGGGAAAGTGGCTTGCCAAACACCTGGATCTCTCCTAACAGCACACAGGAAATTGGGGGCGTGTGTCTGAGGCCTTTCTGGGAGCTTCAGTAGGTGCCATTATCCCTGCTTTGAGCACTTACAGCCTATCTTTATGGCACTTCAAGCTGCTATGGGCTATTTCCTTGGATATTTGTACACAAAAACACAGAATGGACTCCAGGAGGTAGAACTTACTGTTCTGCGACGGCCAAATTGGGCGGCAGGGAGGTAAGGCCATTGCCTGTGAGGAGCAGGACACGGAGGTGTGGCAGAATCCCCAAATCACAGATGGCCTCCACAGTCAGGCTGTTGAAGGAAAGGTCCAAGAACTGCCATGCAAAGATGAAAGATGGGGAAGGTAAGCACTCTGTGTGACAACAATGCTCATATATGATGTGGGAGCTACTTTCTAGAGTGCCCCATCGCCCACAGGACAAAACCCTCCTGGATCTCCAGATTAATATTCAAGGTCTACTAGAGTCAGTACCCAACTGGTTTTCTAGCCTTAGTTGCCACTACAAATCTTTGTTTATCCTGTAGTGCTAGGCAAATAGACTCCTCCCCGCTGTTTGCCTCATCCACCTATAGATCTTTGCTTGTGCTTTTTGCTTAAATGGGAATGCCATTCTTCCATGTATCCTAATCCAAGCCCCCAAAAGACAGCTCAAAAGCTGCCTCCTTGTAAAACCTTCTCAATTCCCCAGACAGATGGAATCTCTACCTCCCCTAACTTTGACTGCTTTATCTAAACTGCTTTCAGGGTACTTATCAAAGTCGGCTAGGTATCTGGCATATGTATATGCCTAGCACAGTGCTTGGCACACAGTGGTGGACTAGATCATAAACTGGTACTTGGAAGACTGTGGGGTCAAGTGCCATGCCACTGTAACACTGTATCCTTGTAAGTTAGCATAAGACCTGGCACAAAGTAGGTGCACAGAAAAAATGAGCTGAATAAACTGGCTTCAGTGGCTCACGCCTGTAATCCCAGCACTTTGGGAGGCAGAGGTGGGCAGATCATGAGGTCAGGAGATTAAGACTATCCTGGCTAACACGGTGAAACCCCATCTCTACTAAAAATACAAAAAATTAGCCAGGCATGGTGGCACACGCCTGTAGTGCCAGCTACTCAGGAGGCTGAGGCAGGAGAATCGTGTGAACCTGGGAGGCAGAGGTTGCAGTGAGCTGAGATCACACCACTGCACTCCAGCCTGGGCAACAGAGCAAGACTCTGCCTCAAAAAAAAAAAAAAAAAAAAAAGACAAAAGAAATAAACTGGCTTATGAGGACAATAACCCCAAATTGTCACCCTATTGTCAACCACCTTCTAACTGGCCTTCTGGATTCATGACATAGTTGACTGGGGTCAAGGGGCCAAGGGGTCAGTCAGAAAACCGTGTTTCTCTGCAGAGACAAAGACAATCAGGATAAATGACATCTGTCCAATATTTGTTCTCCTTCTCCTAAGCCTCCATAGACACTATATATACAAGTTGGCTCCCTTCCATCACCCCTATTTCTTATGTGCTTCCCTGTGCCCCCCTCCTCAACATACATTGAAGTCTATTGAATGGGGTCAGTTTCAGCAACTTATTCAATTGGTACAGGAGCAAGTCTTTGGTCAGCCACATCAGTATTACATAGTCAGACATATACACGCTACAGGTTACCCTCAGAGAAGGACTGGGTTTGGTCTGACTCTGCTGTAATAATTGATAGCTCTGCAGACCTGGGTGTTTAAGTCCTGACTAACCATGTGATATTAGGCAAATTACTTAATCTGGGTTTCCTTATCTGTAAAGTAGAAATAAGTGGTTCTTATGTAGATAAAGCCTTTATACTGGAGTCTAGTATACAGTAAATGCTTAATGTTGGCTGTCATCATCATCATCATCATTTCATTCCTCAACCCTATGTATAAGGCTTACTTTGTACCTGTCCCTGCCCTTTAGGAGCTCCCAGCCTACTCAGCTAAATACATGTATATGTTCATTATGTAGCAATGCTGCTGGGATAGATGTCTGAAGACAGACCAATCAGGGCACAAAGGAAGGATATGGTCAGGTCTACCAGGGGATCAGGACAGGCTTCACAGGGTAGGTAACATGTGAGCTGTCCTCAGAGACCAGTAGGTATTCACCAAATTGTTAAGGGCAAAGAGACATTCAGGGCAGAAAGTGGCATGTATAGAAGCCAGGAGGCAGGAGGCAGCCTTTCTTGTTCTGAGAACCATGAATAGTTTGGGTATGACTGAAGTCCCTGGCATAAGAAATGGCTTGATAGGACTAGCCAAGTACTACAGAAGCTCCAAGTTCATGCCACCATCAGCAAATTCCAAGGTTTGAGGGTTCAGACAATGAGGCAATCCCACTTGGCTGGAGCAAACAGAGAAGCCTACAGGAGGAAGACCTGGAAAGGTGCCTGAGATAAGCACAGGGAAAAGTGGGGAACATTCTCCCCTCATACTCATGTGTGAACAGTCAGCCTATGGATTCTATCTACCTCCTTAATATCTCTCATGCTTGTTCTCTCTAATCTATTTTTTATACAGAAGCCAGAATGGTTTTTCTAAAATGCAGTTCTGACCCTACCACTTAGCTTAAAACCCTTCAATGGATCCCTATTCTCCTTAAGGTTTAAACTCCTCAGCAAAGTTTCCAAGGTTCTCCCCAGTCTCTTTTCTGCTACCCCTCCAGGTTCACATATCACTACACTCTACTGTGTCTCAGTCTCTATTCCAGCCATACGGAGCTGTTTCATTAGGGTTCTAGCTCAGAAGCTGACCTACTGCTATTTTGTGTAACCCAGGAGCTAAGAATAATTTTTGCTTTTTTCTTTTTGAGACAGGGTCTCATTCTGTTACCCATTGGTATGAACATGGCTAGAGGGCAGTGGTGTGAACATGGCTCACTGAAGCCTCAAGCTGCTGGGCTCAAGTGATCCTCCTGCCTCAGCCTCCTGTGGGTCCACAGGCACGCACCACCATGCTAATTTTTTTTATTTTTGTAGAGACACGGTCTCATTTTGTTCCCAGGCTGGTCTTGAACCTCTGGGCTCAAGCGATCCTCCCATCCTGGCCTCCCAAAGTGCTGGGATTACAGGTGTGAGCCACCCTGCCCAGCCAATTTTTACATTTTTAAATGGTTGAAAAAAATAAAAAAAAAGAGTAAGAGTGGGCCGGGCGCGGTGGCTCACGCCTGTAATCCCAGCACTTTGGGAGGCCGAGACGGGCAGATCACGAGGTCAGGAGATCGAGACCATCCTGGCTAACACGGTGAAACCCCGTCTCTACTAAAAATACAAAAATTAGCCGGGCATGGTGGCATGCACCTGTAGCCCCAGCTACACGGGAGGCTGAGGCAGGAGAATGGCGTGAACCCGGGAGGCGGAGCTTGCAGTGAGTCGAGATCGCGCCACTGCACTCCAGCCTGGGCGACAGAGCGAAACTCCGTCTCAAAAAAAAAAAAAAAGAATAAGAGTGTGTTTCATGTGCAAATTATGTGAAGTTCAGATTTCAGTGTCATGAAGTTTTAGGCTGGGCGTGGTGGCTCACGCCTGTAATCCCAGCTTTTTGGGAGGTTGAGGTGGGCAGATCACTTGAGGCCAGGAGTTCGAGACTAGCCTGGCCAACAAGGTGAAACCCTTCTCTACCAAAAATACAAAAATTAGCTGGGTGTGGTGGTGCACACTCATAGTCCCAGCTACTTGGGAGGCTGAGGCATGAGAATCGCTTGAACCCAGGAGGCGGAGGTTGCAATAAGCTGAGATTGTGCCACTTACTCCTGCCTGGGTGACAGAGGGAGACTGTCTCAAAAAATAAATTAATTAATTAAAATAAACAAAGTTTTATTGGAACACAGCCATGCTCATTTCTCATTTGTTTACATATTGTCTATGGCTGTTTTCCATTATACAACAGCAGAGCTGACTAGCTATGATTAGTTATGACCATATGAACCACAAAGCCTAAAATATTAGGCCTGCTGTACAGAAAAAGTTTGCTGACCTCATTCTAGCTGCTTTGGCTATTTAATGTAGGATCCGAATTTGCTTTCTATAGAATTAAGGGCAATTTAAAGAAATGAATAGCCTTAGAATCACAGGCTACAGAATTTCAGAGCTGACCCAGAATTTACAGAGGGGAAATGTCCCAGAGAGGGTACGTTGTTTGGCCAGGTAGGCATGGCAAAGTACTGGCAAAACCAAGACAAAAGGTCTTCTGACTGCCAGGGCAGGGCTCCAGCTGAACCTTCTTCAGATCTGTAATCCGAGAATCAAACCATGGCAAAGTTAAGTTTTTCTAAATTGACTCCTGAAGAATTATTCTACTCTGGGCTTTTCCTCCTGGGGCAGCCTTTTTGGCAAACAAGAACAGAAGATTCCTAACCTGGCTACTACATCTGCTGAGTCACATCAAGTTTTATTACACATCAAAATATTACATTACTGTGAGCTGCAAATTCAGGATATTTGACAGGTTTATACTTCTTCTTAGGGAGCCCTTGCAAATCACAGATAGATGAAAACAGATGACTGGGCAAGAGATTTCCTGTTTTCATTTATATTCTGCATCTTAACTTTGGTCTGTTCTCTTACGTAAATACCCTTTCGTAAGGGTAGGTCTGCTGGATAAATCATCTTCATCAGATGCGATCACACTATAAAGTAAAGTAAGGCCTCCAAAAAAGTCACTCATGATCAATCACTAGATCCAAGCTAGTCAGTTGTGGGGTCAGAGCCTATAGTCATGTCTCCTCCCTTCAGCCCACTGGTACTTGAAACAGGGGTTTGAAATGGTAGGGGAAGAAGACAAGATGCATGGTACAACGCACAACACAGGAGCTCAATGACTACTCTCTGAAAAAGTAAAAGAACAAATAAATGCAAGTTCTTAAGAAGCTCCCAGGCTCAAAGGTCAGGGACATGGCTCCCTGTATCTCTAGACCATCTGAAACCTGTTTCCTGCTGTCTATTCCAAAATCTACTGTTAAATATTTATAAACACAGAAAAAAAATGCATCAGTTGTTGTAAACTTACTTTCTCTCTATTTTATTCAACTTTCAAGAGCTTTGCTTCCTAGACAAGTGTGAGGACTACTTTTGTCTCAAATCATAGAAAATTACTGTTATCTTCAATATGACTTGAGACCATGGAGAGAAGGTTCCATTACAGTCAGCAGAATATGCTTTAAAAATGCAAAGATATATAATCCAATTAGGAAGGTGGCCATCCCAAGAGGTTAAAACCTTTTAAAGCTTTGGCATATGAAGGCCATCAACTCTGAAAAACTCACTCTTGTAGAAGGTCCCCCTCACTGACAAGACCAGGTTAAGTGAGGCTTTTGTGAAGAATGGCTGACCCTTGATGTTTGCAGATGAAATCATTTAAGTTAACAGCTTTTTGGGGTTGACCTCAAGGTTCATGACACGCACACATTTTACTGAAATTTGACTCTGAAACACTTCTACTCCAGGATGTGGAGAAGAGTCTATTACTCAGTGAGTGAGCGTGGTCAGATGCCCAGCCCACACACGTGGCTCCACCTCTGTTGTCCTTTACTCTCCACATATGTTGTCCTTTACTACTGCCGTGACTCTCAGGTAGTGACAAAAGCTTTGTTCCTTTGTAAAAAGTGGCCCACAAATCTTCATGAAAGCTAAATAAGTAATCAACTTGAACTATAAGGACATGTGCAGAAAATGCATGACTATGGGAAAATTTAGGAGAAAACCAAGAATGCAAACAAAATTTTCTGTATTTTCTAATTTGCGGTTTGAAGAACAGCTGTGAATGTACAAATGTTCAAGACTCTGCTGCTGATCCCAAAGGATCCCTATTCATACTCATCTCCGAGGTTATGGACTAGGCCTATAGCCTGCTCTATCCCAGCCACCGAGACTGATTCAGCTCACTTAGACCAGGATGAGTCTCTGGAATCAGTCTATAATGTCTCTAGTTCAGCCGATCCAATCTGCTGCACCTAGCTCTTAAGCTCCATGGCTCCTCAATCCCCACTAGATCCAGATCTCCCCTCAAAATTCTCCCTCCTTCAATACTCTGTTTTAAAACTCACTTTTCTGCACAGACTCCCTTGGACATGACCTTTGGCATTTATTTTCCAGGACCATGCACCATGGTTAAGTCTTTGGTATCAACTATTTGCTGCCACTTCTACCATTACCACTATCTCCATCACTGTAACTACCCTTACAACCCCCACCCCCACCCTCCCTGGAGGCCAGCAATGAAGCAAGGGCCTGGCTGTACAGGCCCAGCAAGCCCCTTCCCAACAGTTATAATCAGTAAAGCTCTATGCTCATTCCTTACAGGGGAACTTGGTGGGCACCAAAAACTCCCTACCTCCAACTTACTTCTAATAACTTAAAGTCTCCATATTTCACGTAGATAGTTTTGATGCCATTAAATGCGAGATCCAGTTCCTTTAGGGCTGGAAACGTGTGAAATGCCTCTACATGGGGAAGAGAAAGAGAGAGTCTGCAGCTTGTAAAGGACTTAAGAGAAAGATATTAATAATTACCATTTACTGTGTCCCTACTGGGTTAGGCCAGGCACTGTATAAGGTACTTTACATACATGGCCTCTAAATCTCTAACAACCCAGAAAAATAGGGATTACTACTTCCATTCTATGGCTGACTAAGGCTCAGCCAAGCTAAGTGATTTGCCAGAATGGAATTGCTGGTAAGTGAAAGAGCCAAGAATTGAATCTAAGTCTGCTCAACAGCAAAGCCCATTTTAAAAATTATCTTTATTAATCCTGATTACAAAAATTAAAACACAACTAAGAAAAACAGTCAAACATCACAGAAAAATAAAAAGTTCTGTTTAATCCCAACATCCAGAGACAAGTATTAAAAGTTCCATATATAGCACTCAACTTTTTCTCATGTATATATCAAAATACATACCTCTTTTAACAAAAATAGAGTCATACTGTACACACTGTACTGACTTGCTTTTTCCCTTAACAATGTAACTTAAAGATTATTCCATGTCAAAACATATAGATATGCCTAATGTCTTCTGATGTTCTACAGTATAGATATATCCTAGTTTACTAATCCATTTCCCCATTGGTAGCCTTTAGGCTATATGAATAAAAGGTAAGAAACTATATGAATAAATGTTTCTCTCTTTGAATGAGAACTGAACTTTTTCTAGCCTTGTTCCTCTGGTAACCTGAAACCAATGATACAGTAACTGCATTTCCAGGCAGTATCACTTGCGGTAAAAATCACCCTAGGTTGGCAAATTACATCTGGGCTAGGAGAAACTATAAATGAATGATAAACACCTGAAGGGGGCACCATAATTTTGGGCTTCCCTGTGTGTAGTGATTCCTATAATTGGATATATCCTTTGCAGAAACTCTAGGAGCTATGCCTATACGTGTTACAATGTATATTGGCTCCTGTGAGGAATGAGATTTCTAAGCCAGGGTGGCTTTTGCATCCACCCAATGACAGTCTCACTGTCTTGTACCTGAGCTGACACTGGGGGCCAGATGGAGGGGCACAAAGAATGCCTCATGGATGGCTTTGGGAACTCCATTGAAGAGAAACTCCTGATGCTGTTGTACTGGCATTCTGTGTGGAATTACTTAGAGCCTTCTAAGTGAACCTGATGTTAAATATGGTAGTCTTGTAAGTCAGAATGTTCAGTAGAACCTAATAAAGGCTGCTTTGTGAATATTTCTGGATGTTTCCAATGAACAGCCTTGTACGAGTGTGTTACTATAGAATAATTTCCTGGAAGTAAAGCTACTAGATTAAAGGCAATGACTACTTTAAATTTTAAGAAACATTACCAAATTACCTCCAAGATGCTACACCAATGACTATACTTCCACAGTTCAATGCAAGAGTATCCATCTCCCTACCAATGCTGGCTGTCATCAGCCCTTTTCACTCCTGCCAATATTTGACAGGCAGAAAACAGTATCTTGATCCACTGTAATTATTAGTGAGGTTGAACACCTTTTCATATACCTATTGGCCTTTGTATTTCCAGCCCAAGCTCCTGACAGACCACCCTGTCTCCTAAAGGGCAGGGACCTCATCATATGCTTCTTTGAAAACAATCTTCAAACTCAATGCAACAAAACTGAACTTATCCTATTTCCCTCTGACTTGCCTTTTCTCTAATGTGCCCTATCTCAATGAAATGCCCCTTGATTCCTCCCTCTCCCTACATCCCTATCAGTCTATCAACTACCAAGTCCTGTGGTTTCTACTCCTCCTAAATCTCTGTCTGTCTCTCTCTCTCTCAATCCTCTGCACCCTTCTTGTCACAATCCTGGCTCAGGCCTCATCTCCCCTCCCCTGAAAACCTGAAATAATCTCCCAGGTTTCCTGGCCTCCACCTTCTTCTTCTCTTATAATCCACTCTCCTCACAGCTGCCACTGAGCTTCTCTATTTAAAACCCTTCCAAGACTCTCTTTTGCCTGCAGCATTAAGTCCAATTCACTCCCGGTCCTTGATAATCCAGTCGCTGCCAATCTGTCTAGTTTCAATTGTCCCCCACATGCTTCCCTTGCAAGCATACAAAACCTCTTCAGTCTTCCTGATCAGACAATGCCATTCCACATCTGCTCCAGCAGCCGGAAATGCCTTCTTACCTTCTAGTTCCTGAATCACTCCTATTCATTTTTCTGGTCTCAGCTTAGGTGCTCCTCTTCTCAGTTCCTCCTGACACTCTGGCCTGGCTTGAAGTCCCACGTATATGCTTGCATAGTATTTCCTGATTCTCTCTTTCACTGCTCTCCCCTCATCCTGACCTAACTATCTGTATCTGAGTCCATCTCTCTCACCAAACCATGAGCTCACCAGAGCAGGACTGTATGCACTCATTTCTAAAAGCCAAGTATTCACACAGTCCTAATATCCAGCAGGGGTCGCTGTGGACTTGCTGAATAAGAAGGCTTTATGCTCCTACAGGAGTACTTTACAGGCTTAGAAACATTTTTATACACCCATCTCATATGAGCCTGCAAGGTATCCTGCAAGGGGAGGAAAAAAAGAAGGGAATTATCTCCATTGACAGATAGAGAAGTAGAAGATCACAGAAAAATGTTCTAAGTAGGTAGCGCCAGAGCAGGACTGGAATCGAGGTCTTTGTGCTCTCCAGCACCCAGCCTATTGTACTCCAAAAAAGAGATGTGTGGCCAATCATAGATGGTTGGACAGACAAATCCTAACACACGTGAATGGCTGTGCTGGCTAAGAGGAGGAAGAGAGCTTTCAAGAAAGAAAAAGCTTACCTAGAGGCAGCAGGTTTTCTGAGGCATTGATATAAATCACAGAATGAAAATGCTTGAAGTCATTTTCCTTGGCCTGTAGGAAAGCATTTCAGAAAAAAAAAAAAATCCACAAGATTAGTTCCCTGCCTAGAAGCCTTGCTGAAGCTTCAGGGCCACTGTCAGAAGAAACAAAGACCTAAAGGAATAAGGGACATCCCTAGCACAGGAGCAGACACTTGAGTGCTGTAAGGGTTTTCCTGCTTTTTTTCCACTATGAAACATTTCAAATGTACAGAAAAGTATACGGAATGACACTCTGAAGACCCATATAACCACTATCCAGAGGTAAGTATTTAATACAGCTGAATATTTTGCTGTCTTTGCTTTAAATAAATTTCCTTAAAGAAAATATTATATAGGGTGAACCACCACCATTACCACCCCTGTCCATGTATCCCCTCACTAATCCCATAACAGCTATCCTGAATTGGAGACTATCATTCCCATACTCAATAGTTTTTGTGTGTTTGTTTGTTTGTTTTTGAGACAGGGTCTCACTTCCATTGCCCAGATTGGAGTGCAGTGACACAATCTTGGCTCACTGCAGCCTCAACTTCCCCAGCTCGGGTGATCCTTCCACCTCAGCCTCTTGAGTATCTAGGACTGCAGGCACACGCCACCAAGACTGGCTAATTTTTTTGTATTTTTAGCTGAGATGGGGTTTTGCCATGATGCCCAGGCTGGTCTCGAACTGCTGCGCTCAAGTAATCCGCCTGCCTCAGCCTCCCAAAGTGCTAGGATTACAGGCGTGAGCCACTGCACCCAGCTCCCATATCTTTTTTTATGCTTATACGTGTGTGTGTGTGTGTGTGTATCAACTATATATAATGCTAGATACAGGTAGTAAAACTTTACGTTAAATGCAACAATATTTTAGGTATCATTCTGCAACCTGCCTTTTCACTCAACACTGTTTTTGAGAATTACCTGTGTCGATATATGCTGCTTTTGAAATTTACATATGTTGACAGTTGTAGTTCTAGTTCAATTTTTTTTTTTTTTTTGAGACAAAGTCTCGCTCTGTCACTCAGGCTGGAGTGCAATGGCACAATCTTGGCTCACCGCAACCTCCACCTTCTGGGTTCAAGTGATTCTCCTGCCTCAGCCTCCTGAGTAGGTGGGATTACAGGTGTCTGCCACCATGCCCAGTTAATTTTTTTATTTTTAGTAGGGACAAGGTTTCACCATGTTGTCCAGGCTAGTCTCAAACTCCTGACCTCAAGTGATCCTCCTACCTCAGCCTCCCAAAGTGCTAGGATTACAGGCATGAGCCACCACGCCTAGCCCTAGTTCAACCATTTTAATTCCTGTATAGTATTCCATTGTTTGAATATATTGCAAGTTTATTCATTCTCATTTAGTCTGTTTCTAAATTTTATTACAAACAATTATGTAATTAATATTCTTATACACACCTCCTATTCATAAGAGTTTCTTTAATGATATGCTCCTATCAAGCTGTGGGGAATACACAGCTTTATGAGATGGTAGCACATTGTTCTCCAAAGTAGTTAAAACAATTTACAGTCCTACCTGCAGTGTATGAGAAGTCCTATTTCTTTAAATCCTTGCAATTGGCATTATAAAACTAATTTTTGCCAGTCTGATTATTGTAAAATGGCACTGCATTTTCCTGATTATTTATGAGGCTGAATATCTTTTTCTATATTTATTGGCCTTTCAAGTTCCTCTTCTGTATACTAACATATTTATCTGTTGTCTATTTTTCTACTGGGTTTCTCTTTCTTCCTATTGTTTTGTAGGAGCTCTTGACACATTCTGGATCCCAATACTTTTTGGTTATATTACTTGCTAATATCTTCTCCCAGTCTCAGCTTATCTTTTACCTTTGTTTGTGGTAACTTTTGTTAGATAGATATTTTTAATTAAATTTCATAGATATTTTCCTTTATGGTTTAACCACAAAGCTAGCAAGCATCCACTCATCCCGTGGGTCTCAGCTAAGCTACCACCCTCTCCAGGGTGTGTTTCCTGTGTAAGGCTGAGTCAGGGGCCTGTCCTCTGAGGTCATATTTCGCACCCTCGTGTTTCCCTCATTGACTGCATTAGCTAGTCCTGTCTAACTCCATATCCATCTAAGCCCAGCCTCCTCCCTCTCTACTGGACTATATGCTCCAGAGGGCAGGCAGTGTCTGAGCCACCTCTGTACCCTCCAGCAAATAGCACAGAGACACACCAGGCCTCGGTAATGTTTGGTGAGCACGTGAGTGAATAAGTAAAAGAAGAACATACGGTATCCAATGAGGGGACTGAGCTTTGACCAGCCATGTTGTAGCCCTCAAAAGGTGAATTGATAAAGAGACCTCTGAAATCTTCTATGACTTTGTCTCACCGTTATATGTGAACTATATATTATAATCTCTGGGACCATGTGCTGGCCTAGAATGGAGGGCCTCTCAGCCACAAGATGAATATATTTCTAAGGTTAACCTGTCCCTAAGTAACTCAATTCTGAAAACATGAGTGCTAAATGAAGTGAAGCAGAACCCTGTTAAAGGAGCAGTCTGCTTTACCACAAACTTGGCCATCCTGTGGGTTAGAGCCTCTACTCTATGGTTTATACAAGTAATCTCTCTTGGTATGCCACGAAAGCCAACATACCAAAGATGTATGTTATAATATCCTGTATATACACTGGCTAATGGTGGGTCACAAATATGGCTCCAAGCTGCCTATAAGCCAATACAAAGAAAGAAACATGATTCATTGCATGAGTCACAGCACCTGTAAGTTAGGAACGAACCAGCTTCTTGGGAAAACCATTACAATTGCTGGCATTGAAACTTAAGAAATATCTCTTGTAGGGTCTTGTGATGGGAACTCAGTGTCACACAATGAATTATGTACCCACAAAATTACATGGCAAATTCAAAACCAGTTTCATAAGGCAATTTTCTTTTCTTTTCTTTTTTTTTTTGGTGACAGAGTCTCACTGTCACCCAGGCTGGAGTGCACTGGCACGATCTTGGCTCACTGCAACCTCTGCCTCAGGGGTTCAAGCAATTCTCTGCCTCAGCCTCCCAAGTAGCTGGGATTACAGGTGCCTGCTACCATGCTTGGCTGATTTTTTGTATTTTTAGTAGAGATGGAGTTTCACCATCTTGGCCAGGCTGGTCTTGAGCTCCTGACCTTGTGATCCACCCACCTCGGCCTCCCAAAGTGCTGGGATTACAGCCCTGAGCCACCACGCCTGGCCCATAAGGCAATTTTCTTTAATTCATATCAAATAGGACAAGGGCAATATAAAATTTGTAGCAAAAGTTTGTGTCTGAATATTGTTTCAACCCAATAAATCCTTGTCTGACTCTCCTCTCCCTCCTTCTTCGTGACCAGATTTCCAGTCCCTAGGGACTCTGGAGGTGCAAGAGACAAACCACAACAGCCAGGTGCGCCACCTCAAGTCTGGCTCACCCCAATCACATCTTTGCTGGCTGACCTCACCTTGGAGAACTTCAGGCCACTCACATTAATGGTGCACAGATCTGATGGCTTCCTCACACAGTGGTGCTTCAGCTGGAACATAATACAAAGAGTTGTCTCTTAAGGCCCCTACAAAGTTTAATTAATCTATTACCACTCAGCCTTCTCTTGTTGGGCAATCATATACTTGTCATAATTTGTTTGCTTGTTCATTCATTCATTCATTCATTCATTCATTATTCATCCATTCATTCGCCAAATATTTACCAAACACTAAATTGGGCCATACGCTTTGCTGAATACATTAACAAACTTTCTTCTAATCCTAATTAAGCCCTTTGATTATAAAGTAAGATTATCTCCTCTTTTTAATGAGAAAAACAAGGTTAAGAGAAGTTATGTGCCTTGCCAAAGGTCCCACAGTTAGTAAGTGACAGATCTTACTAATCCAAATCTGTAATCACTAGACTCTATGCACTTTTGACTGCCATATGTCACCCGACATAATTTAAAAGTTAGAGGTAAATTTTAGCTTTGGAGCTTCCATTTATGTTTAATCAAACCTCATTCTTTTTTTGTTAATCATTTATTTATGGTACCCACCATGTTTAGGCACTGAAAGGCATTGGGAAGACAATGAAGAAAAAGCAGAGACATTCCATAACCTCATAGAGCTTACAGTGTCATGGGAAGCCAAGTAGCAAGTACGTATTTATAAATGTGATAAATATTTTAAAGGAGAAATTTAAGATGCTATGAGACATATAACAGGAGGTCCTAACCTCAGTCTGAATGAGGAAATACTTACTTGAGGAAGTAATATTTCAGAAACCTAAGAGCTAAATAGGTCTCATGAAAGTGGGTAGTAGGGATTATGAAGTCTACCAAGGCAGGAAAAAGCAAGGTGCTTCTGAGAGGATGAAAAACAAGATAAGGTTAGTGAGACGGCCATTAGATCATATAAGTCCACGCTGGCTCTATAAAGGAGTGTGGATTTTATCCTACGACAAATAGAAAGCAGATTTTTAGCAGGGGGCTGATAGTAATTTTATAAAAATTGTAATGTCGGATACACATAGACATATCAGACAGAGTACATCACATAGATGAGAAGACAGGAAAGGAAGGGGAAAGACGAATGTACCAGATTGGTTAATTACTTTCCTAATAACCACTACTCCTCCTTGTTAAAGAACACCAATGTTATTCACATTTCTCCAAATGGAATGTTCTTAAGCCACAGCTCCAAGCAATAAGTCGTGATCTGTGTAAACCAATCATGGAGGTCTCATTCCCCTAACTCATGACTGTTCGGGCATGTTATATAGGTCTGGATAATGAGATACTGGCTGCTTGGAGTTGAGGAGGGGGACCGGTTTTGGAAAGCATTTTCTTACTTCTGAAAAGACATTAGTCAGTAACAATCCCTTCTCTACCTCAGGATGTTATATTCTGTATGTGATGACCACAATTGCTGCAGCCATCTCAGGATCATGAAGGCAATCAGCCCAAGAGGACAAGATAACATGTAAAGTGGCACAGCACAAAGACAGAAGGAACACAGGCCTTGCAAGACGTCATTAAGCCTGTAAATTAATCTACCCTAAACAATGCCTCTGGCTTATTTTTATGTGAAATAAAAGCATCCTAATTAGTTTACAACATATAGAAAGTTTCTGAATTAGTCCAATAAGAGATGATGGTGGCCCAGATAAGGGTCATGGCAGTCGAGATGAGAAGACAGATTTGACAACTATCTTGTAAAAGTGCCAGGACTTGGTAAAAGTTGGGGTGGGGACAGTGTGGGAGAGGCAAATGTCAAGGATAACCTCAGGTACTGGCTTGGCAACTGGGTAGATGGTAGTGCCAACAGAGAGAGTAAAGTAGATACTGGAAAAAGAGGTCTGTTTTGGGATTTGGAGTAGGAGCATTGGTGCTGTAATTCAACTGTCAATGAAACATTCAAGTGGAACTATCCAATAGGCAGAGTGGATACCCCATGATTCTGAAAAACATCCTTGTTGCTCCTGTCTCCCACGGTGGCAAGACGGGTAACAAGCTGTATTTATTGAATATGGGAATGTATAAGTATTTGGAAACAAGGGAAGAAAAAAAGGCCACTATGGGAAGTGTTTCTGCCCCTCCTCAGTATAATTATTTCAGTCCTCCTCATTCCCAATGAGAAGTGGACCTAATAATGAAACTGATTCCACAGGACTGCAAAAAGCTTATACTACCCACTTGAGGTGAGATGAAACCAACAAAGTTCTCTTTCAACATCTGATTTATGCAGGCACCCATCTCTTGGGAACCATAGCAGAATCTGGAAACAAAGTAGGCAGCCAGGGAGTTCTTAGGGAGCTATGAGAACTCGACTGCACATTAATATTGATTTACAAAATGCATCCTTCTTAGCAAAGCCACTGAGGCATTGCACAGAGCAGATGTGAAACTACCTGGCTGGTCTCCAACACAGCCACCCCAGTCCTCTTTGTAAAGCCTGCCCCCGGCACTAAGTAATATCTGGTCAGCTCCCTTGGCTTTCAGCCAGACACTAAAGTCAAAGGACAAAGGCTGTGGGAGAGCAGGACCCAGTCCCACTCAATCCTGTAGAGATCACCCCAAAGAGCACAGCAGGAATCTCTCAACCCTACTAGGTGCTGGAATGCAATTTTCAATTGACTGTTTCCCCTGACCTGCTCCTTTGTCTCTCCAACTCAGTAAGAGTTTTTACCTCATATAATGTAAAAGTACAGGCTTTGGAGTCAGTAGACCAGAGTTCTAATCCTGGATCAGCCATTTACTAGCTGTGGAACCTCAGCCAAGGCAAACTACTTCTTGGAGCCTCAGTTTTCCCATCTGCCCAATGGCAACAACACAAAAGGGACGACAATACCTATCTCACTAGGTAGATGTCAAGAAAGCTTTACATGTCAAGAAACTTTTGGGTCCCTTCATTATCCTGGCTGTACTCAATTTGCCAATATCACTCTAACAGTTTGGAGTAGATTGGGGGTAGTTGTGCCAGAGCAGGGCAAATCCTTCCCCACTTCCTCCCCACCCTAGCTGATGTGCTGGCCACTCCAGGATGCATTTACTCTCACCAGAAAAGCCTGGTCCAGGATATGTCCAGGAAGGTCCACCTGATTTTCCCGCCGAGACTCTTTCTTCCCCTTGAACTCAAAAGAAGTCGCCTTCAGGCTTTCCCGACGTTCAGCTTGTGCTCCAACCAAACCCTTGGGCTTCTTCTTGAGGTTACCTTTCTGAACCACTAACCAGTGTCCTTGGCCTGTTGAGAAAATTAGAACAGTGAAAAGGGGAAAACTCCAAAGCTACAACGAGTGCAGTTATAGACTTTGTTTATAATACTAAAACCAAAAATAGCTCCTGATTATCTAACATGCACCAGATACAATACTGCAGCTGGGGGTAGGGGAGATATCTACCTATCTATGTCATTTAATTGGCCTCCAAACCCAGTGAAAAACATGTCACTGTCATGATTTTATACATGAAAAGGCTGCGACAAAAGGAGGTGGAATGACTTGCCGAATTCCTTCCTTCACATTTTTATCTCCAAATTCTATTATTCCTTCAAAAACTAAGATCAAGTATTTCCTGTTCTGTGAAGTCTTCCCTTTTGCCCCTCAGTAGAGCTGATCCCTCTTTCTCATGCATGCCAGTTACTCTCCTATTGGTCATCTCTTGAGTAAAGCCCAATGTGTGACCTCAACTCAATAGGTTCCATCTTCCCAGACCTCTATCAGTATACAGAAAAGATGGTGTTAGAAACTTGGAATAAGAAAATGTAGGACAGATGGCATTAAAAAAAAAAAACCTAATAATACATGTCTACTGTAGAAAGAATTTTAAAATGTGTATAAGCAAAAAGAATATGAGGTTTACTAGTAAGCTCACCAAACAAAAATCATAACGTATTTTGGAATCTGTTCTTTCTCGCACCAGCAGTTTACTTGCTGTGTGGTATTCATTGCAATCTGTAATTATTTTATTTGTTCACTTATTCATTGTCTGTCTCCCTCTCTAGAGTGGAAGCTCCGTAAGAGCAGGGACTTTATCTGACTCATTCATCTCAGTATTCCCAAGGCCTGCACAGAGCTCACCGCATTGTGACTGTTGCTGAACAAATGACTGAATGAACCCTGTCTTATAGCCCCTGCCCACACAGTCATCCATTCCTATCTTTTCTGAGCATCTACTTTATGCTGGGAACTGGGAGTATGAGAATGAATAAAAAGGAAGCCCTAACTCAAAGGAGTCATAATAATATAACATCTTATATTATATACAATAGTATAATAATAATATAAGGGGTGCTGTGGGAACCAGCTTTGTGCCTCTAACCACTGGCTGTCTTCTGGAAAAGCCCACTATCTCTGCCTTGGGGGCTTGCCCTGGCTCACAGACCACTGCTGACAATCCTGCTTCTTGGATGCAGTTCCTGCCCTATGTCTCATATGAGTCATTTCCCATTTCCATTATGGGCCTGATACTCCAGTTACCCCATTTCCCAGGGCTGCCCCCATCTGGGGCATGAACTTTGCTTCTACTTTATCCTATCTTCATATCCCTGACTCCTGGGGACCTCAGTCTGAGTTGGTGCCAAAACCCCCAACAAGGTCAGAAAGGAAGGTTCAGAGTGTGTCAGGAGATCAACGGGAGAGAAAAGAGACTATGCAAATATCCTGTTTCTCATCATACTTTTACCCACTTATTCTAGTATCTGTGATGGTTAATTTTATCCATCAACTTTGCTAAAGCTATAATATGCAGTTATTCAATCAAACACTAATCTAGGTGTTGCTGTGATGGTATTTTGTAGATGTAATTAGTATTTACAATAAGTTGATGTTAAGTAAAAGAGATTATCCTTGATAATGTGAGTGCCCTCACCCAATGAATTGAAAGACATTAAGAGCAAAACAGGTTTCCTAGAGGAAGAGGAAATTTTGCTTTAACACTACAGCTTCAGCTCCTCCCCAGGGGTTTCCAGCTTGCCAGCCTGCCCTACGAATTTTGGACTTGCCATCCCCCACAATCACACAAAGTCAATTCCTTGAAAAAAAAAATCTGTCTACCCACCTACCTACCTATCTCCTACTAGTCCTGTTTATCTACTACCAGTTCTGTTTCTCTGAAGAACTCTAATGCAACATCCTATAATGGTTCTTACCTACAAAAATTATTACTGTAGTGTTTGAATAGTGACTTTCTATTTCCCTCATTCCTTCTACATTTTCTAGTTGGAATTCTACTATAAGAAAGAGCTGGCTGGGAGTGGTGGCTCATGCCTGTAATCCTAGCACTTTGGGAGGCTGAGGCGGGTGGATCACTTGAGGTCAGGAGTTCGAGACCAGTCTGGCCATCATGGTGAAACCCCATCTCTATAAAAAATACAAAAATTAGCTGGGCATGGTGGCAAGTGCCTGTAATCCCAACTACTCAGGAGGCTGGGGCAGGAGAATCTCTTGAACCTGGGAGGTGAAGGTTGCAGTGAGCCAAGATTGCACTGCTGCACTCCAGTCTGGGCAACAGAGAGAGACTCCATCTCAAAAAAAGAAAAGAAAGAGCTATTTTGTTTCCCCCCACATATTTACATATTCAAATATTTATATTAGTAGACTCATTTATTATTCCATGGTTTACAACCCAATTCCGCCATTATTTATTTCATTGCTCAAACTGTCCCAGCTTTGGTGATTGGGAGCACCTTCAAGTCAGCTGCGTCCTTTCAACATGCCCTCATTATTTTCCTGAGCACTTCTTTACTTCTGGCACCATAAGATACTCCAACTCAACTTGTATTTTTTCTGCCCTAGTCCTGCAAACAACTATTTCTCCAAGAAGCCCATGTTCTTTTCACTGGAGAATGGTATTTAGAAAGCAAGATGTAGATACTAGGTATGCTTTTTGCTGCTGAGGTGTCATTGCTGTCAGTGGACTGGTAAATATACATATGTACACTAAAACATATAGATATATACAACTATATTTATTTCTGTAGCTATCCATCTATGTGTGTCTGTGTGTGAGAGAGTGACATAGAGAGAGAGAGAGAGAGAGCGAGAGCAAGAGAGAGAGAGAGCGAGAGCAAGAGAGAGACAAAGAGAGAAACTATGAGCTCACACTGATAGCTCCATCTGAAGGTGTCTGATAGGTAGGTGGCCAGGGAAAGTCTCTGTGTGAAAAACAAAATCACTCTAGAGAAGCAGAGAGGACAGGCAGGAAGAGAAGTTTCTTCCAATATTCCATATACAGAGTGACCAACAAGTTACAACATCTGGAGTAAACAAGGTTTACTTCTCCTTTGCCCTACCCTTTCAAAGCAACAAAGCCAATCCAGAGAACCAATACTTAGTGTTTCACCTATAGGGCTCTTATTATGACAATTCCCTGCTCCAGGGAAGTTTTTAACTAGATAAATATTTGAAAATCTACCTGGCAGAGTCGAATTTAAGCCATTTTATTTAGGAGTTTGGCAGACCATGATCACTCATCAAATAAGAAATACAGACAGGAAGACAGCTCACGAGAGGATGGGCCCTGAGGACTAGGGTAGTCAGACATGCTTTACTGGAAGAAGTAGAAGAAGAGCTGGGATTTGTGGAATGGGAAGAGTTTGGCTAACAAGAATGAGGGCTGGAACATTCAGGGCAAATAAAAAAGCTATGTGAAAAGCAAGCACCGTGGAACAGAGCATAAATAAAGAAATGGGTTATCACAGAGGATAAGAGCAGGTTAAACTCAGAATGACACAGAATGCCAGTTAAAGGAGTTAGCAATGAGAAGTCACTGAACAGAAGGGGCACTGTGGTTAAATATGCACTTTAGAAGTCCCATGGAGGCTACTAGGACTGGAGGGGGAAGGATTAGGTAGAGCAGGGAACAGTAGTGAAGGGGTTGGAGAAGAACAAGTAGATGTGAGATGGTCTAAAGCACGAGCTAGGTATGAGGAAAAGGTAGCTATTTGAGAAGTCACCTGACCTTCCTCCGGCACGCGAAGCAGATTTCTGGCTGGGAAGCAGTTGTTCAGGTAAGGCTTCCCATCATCCAGCTTGTAGATTCCTGAGAAGGCCATCTCCCTGAGAGCCAGGCAAGGAAAGCAAGGAAGCAGAAGAGTGAAAAGGCACAGCAGAGCACTCTTACTCCAGTGCAGCTCATGAGCCCACCAGGACCACCACACCCGCACACACCCTGCCTCCGACACCCTGGAGGCCCCACTGCCCTTGCTTCAGAAATGGGCTGGCTGTTTACATGAAGAGAGAAACAAGACCCTGGGTTTTTCAGTTCAAATCAATCCTAACCCAATGGAACCCTAGAAAGAACATGATCCTCCAGCTCAGACTTGGTTTGAATCCTGGCTCTGTCTTTCCTTGCTCTGTGACTGGGCAAGTTACTCTACTCCTCTGAACTTCAGTTTCCTCACCTGCAAAATGGGGGTTATAATACCTACCTTAAAAGACAAGAGGATCAAGTGAGAAAGACAGTGCCTAATACATATTAAGTCTGTGCTAGATGTTTTGTTTTAACAGAGTTCAGAGAAGAGGCTCACATTTTAGAGAAAATAGTGTACAAATAATGAGACTTGAACTGGATAAATAGTATTTGAGGGATTGAGTTTTCTGATAGAGAGAAGGATAAACATTCCAAACAGCAAGGGCCACAGGAGGGCAGCTGTGCACAGTAAAGAAACAATGTGACCCAAGAAGGAGAGGGATGTATGTTTAGTAGTCTTGAACAATAAAGCTGGACAGGAAGGATGGTGCCTGCTCCTGAAGGGCTTGAGGTACCAGGCTAGGAGCTCAGGCTTCATCTTGTAGGTGACTGAGAGCCATGGATAATTTCTGAGCTGGACAGAGCCATAATCCAAGCTGTACTTTACAAAGAGAGATCTGACAAAAATAGCAGTAGGTGAAAGTGGCACCCAGTGGCAACTGGGATTGCAGTTAGGGGAGTATTGCAGCAACCCAGGGATAGCTGATGAGAGTTCATGTTAATAAACTAAAGAATTAAAAAAAGAAGGATGGACAGAAAAAAGGAATGAGAAAGGGAGGGACAGTAGAGAAAAAGAGGAGCAAGACCAATTAGAAGTATGAGCATTTCATGTGTGGACACAGCCTAGGCAACACAGTGAGACCCTGTCTCTGCAAAAAATTAAAAAAAATTAGCCAGCACAGTGGTACATGCCTGTGGTCCCAGCTACTTGGGAGGCTGAAGTGGGAGGACTGCTTAAGCCCAGGATGTCCAGGCTGCAGTGAGCCGTGATCATGCCTGGGTGACAGTGAGACCCCATATTTAAAAAAAAAAATGTGTGGACAAAGGAGGAGAAGCCCCTGGAGGATTCAGAAAAGAAAATAATTTTAGAGAAGTAGGAGAACCGGGGGGTGGAGAGTGGGAGCTGCCAAGTAAGCCAAGGGAAGAGAAAACTCTATGAAAGAGGCAGGGAAGTCAGGCAAGGTGGGGACCGAAAATAGGCCATGAGCAAGTAGGAGGTCAGTTTCAGAAGAAGGGTGGAGTTAAAGTCAGACTTTATGTATGAAAGAGTGAATGGAAGGCAAGGCAATACAAAAAGTGAATATAAGCAAGTTTTTCAAGACGCTTGATTGTGAAAGGGAGAAAAGCAAGACAGCAGTGAGATGGAAGGTAAAATTGCGAGATGGGTGAATATCAGGGCCAGCACTGGGGGAAGGTGAGCAAGGTGCCTGAGGAACACGTAGGGGGACATGTGCTCTCTCTCAGAGTTGTGCAAATGCAGTGTTAGCACTTGGCCTCCACCCTAGTCCCAGCCCTGGCAGACAGAGTCACTACCAAGAATAAATTCTGGAAGCTCACTGCATGGGTTCAGATCCTAGCTATGCCATTTACTAGCTGTGTGGCCTTGAGCAAGTTACTTGTCTATGCCTTGGCTTTTTCCTCAGTGAAATGTAGACAGTAAGTGCACCTACTTCATAGGGCTGTTTTGATGATTACAGGAGAAAATGCCTTAGTATCTGCCACATGGCTAACTCATGCTGCTCATTTTCCATTACTATGCTATTAACAGGATGAGAAAAGCTTCACTACATCTAGACTGAGAGGAAGGAGACAGCAAGGGAGGAAAGGCTGACAATGCAGGAGAGAGATGGGCAGACCCGCAGAGCCATCCCTGAGAAAGCAGGAAGAAGGGCACCCAGCATCCAGGGGAGGGGTTCCCTCACTGAGGATGAGGGAGGGCAGGCTCCTTCAGGGACAGTTGTGATGGGAGAGAGACTTCAAATATCCCAAGTGTTCCATTTCCCTAACACCTAGAGAATAAAAAGAGCACAAAAGAAATAACCTTCCATCCTCTATCTGCTATGGGGTGGCTCCGAGACTCTTCAATACCAATTTACAGTGAGTCAGAAATTCTTTAGGGGTGTGTGTGTGCCCATGCATGCACACACATGCAAAAAAGTTGGAAAAAGAATATAGTTCTGACTCTAGGGTATGACTCAGTCTTTTCTTCATCAAATGATTATTCTCTTCAGAGAGACAGGCATAAAAACGATTCCTCAAAGGCATGGATAGCCCTAATCACAACTGCACTTATCATTTGTCATTCACAGATTGTTCACCACAGTCTGATGTCAAACCTTGGAAAAACCTACATTTTACCGAGGACTTGCAAACACAAATGGTTACAGAAGTTGGGCAGGCTATGTGAGTGAGTGAAGAAAGCTGGAGGCGAGGGGAAGAGAGTAGGAGGGTGTGTGTGTGTGTGTGTGTGTGTGTGTGTGTGTGTGTATGTGTCAGAGAGAGAGAGAGAGAGAGTGCACCTGCTCATAGAGGCAGCAACTAGTCAGCTCTTACCAACTGCTGCCATGCAGAAACCTAAGTCACTGTTGCCAGAGCTTCACTTTTTTTTCAAGGAAAGTCTGCCTTATACGTGAAATCTCCTATTTGAGAGTCAGCAACTAATTTGCCATTTTAGAACAATGTGCAGGCCAAACCAAACACCTGAGAATCAGATTCAACTCCAGGCTACATTTCTTTTTTCTGATTCATCTTTTTTTTTTCTTTTGAGACAGTGTCTTACTTTGTCACCTAGGCTACAGTACAGTGGCACAATCACGGCTCATTGTAGCCTCAACCTCCTGGGCTCAAACAATCCTCCTACCTCAGCCTCCTGAGTAGCTGGGACTATAGGCACATGCCACCATGTCTGGCTAATTTTCGTATTTTTTGTAGGCACAGGGTTTCGCCATATTGCCCAGACTGGTCTCAAACTCCTGTGCTCAAGCCATCCACCCACCTTGGCCTCCCACTGGAAGGCCAGTGGAAATAACTGCTGCTTTTGCTAAGCTGTGAAGTCTTTCATCAGTATTTCTTTCGTGGCCCGACCTCACAAGATTATTAATGATCATGAAGGGGTACCTTCAATGGACTATGAATTTCCAAGTCTGGAAACACATCTAATTCACTGTCTCTCTTCCACCATTGGGACTTAGCTCATAGGAAGCACGCAATAGACATGTGAGCCAAGTGAAGGATATGATGGCACTCCTAGGACCAAGACATATATATCTGCTACACACGCACACACACATATCCTCAATTAGACTCTAAAACCTTCCTAAGAAAGGGCAATATCAATGGTAGTCATCAATTTATTCCTAACAAAGCACCTAACATAACAGATGTTATGACATAACAGATTCCATAAATATTTGTGGAATAAATGAATCAATGTTGGTACCTCCTTTGGTCCAACACAGGGCACTATGAGTTTCCTGATCCCTGATTTTCCCTGCAAAGGGATGGAGGCTTGTCTTATGTATTCCTACAACACTCCATACTTCGCCTAGTATAGCACTTATGACTTTATTATAATTGTTTGCTCCCCTCATCAACTTCTCACCTGTTGTGGGGCCTATAATTACCTTATTCACCTGTGTAATCCCAGCATGTAGCATAGAGCCTACGACTCACTAAAAATATGTTGGTAAGATTAATGGATAGATGGATGGATGGGGACAAATTTATATTCAGTCAATATGTCTTTCAGGAACTCTCTCTCATGACCAATCACACACATCTGCTAGAGGTAAATGAAAGAATGAATGAGTAACTTGCTGGCTGGAAAATGTTAGATGTGATGTAATTTGCTGGCTGGAAAATGTTAAATATGATGGCTGTTGGAGAAGCCTTCAGTAACTTACAGAATATGGTGACCTGGCTTCAGGTCTCCAGAGTACTTACTTGATCTTTGACTTTGGGAATGGCCCCTTAACTTCCTTTTTTTTTTGTTTCTTCACTTGTTTCTTTGCCTGTAAGATAAATATTATATTCCTTCTTAGCCTGCTATTCAGAGCTCTTGAACTTCCTCATTAATTATATTCTACTGTGAGCCTTCCACTCCAATATTTGTCTTGCCTTTAGTCCTTGCCCGTAGGACTAAGGATCCAAGAAACAGATAGATACCAATACAGAGATGGAGACAAAGACAAGACATAGATGGGAAGGTGGTATAGGAGAATATAATTATGATAGTGGGGTATGGCTGGAGTGCTTAAATCAGACACACGAAGCACAAACCTGAAAGGACGGGATCGTTTACATGATTATTTACACAAAATAAATTTCTGCCAGATAAAAATAGGAAAGTCAAAGTTGAAAGATAAGACACAGTCTGGGAAAAGATATTTGCCATGCATATAATACAAAAGATGACTCACACTGAAGCCTGTAGGAGGCATGCAGACCTGGATGCTATCGCAGAAATTCTAGTTCCCTATTAGGAATATTAGGTGAGAAGGTGTAGATCTACAACTAATGGGCCAAGAAGGGCACATAACCCCTGGTTACATTATCTAAGACAAGTAAGATCTTTATATGGTAGAAAAAAAAGTCAAAGTTCCAGATTTGGAGGCTGACTTCCTGGTTAGCTTTAGTTACCTCTGGTCTCCATCTCAAACTTGATGCAGCTAATGCCAATCTGACTGTAGCGCTTCCTCCAAAACAAACATCTCTCTTTCTCTCTCTCTCACACACACACACACAGAGTAAGGCATATTTTTGCTTGTTCCATTCCTTTGGCCTATCACATTTCTGCCCCTCTTCCTTGCCCGGCTACATACAGATTAGCTTTCCTGTATCTCCCTCTCCTTAGGCTGAGCCTCCTCAAGCCCACTTCTTTTTTTATTTATTTTTTCTTTTTTTCTTGAGACAAGGTCTCACTCTGTTACCCAGGCTGGAGTGCAGTGGCATGATCTCAGCTCACTGCAACCTCCACCTCCCAGACTCAAGCAATCCTCCCACCTTAGCCTCCCAAGTAGCTGGACCACAGACGTGTGCTACCATGCCCAGCTAAATTTCTATATTTTTGATAGAGATGGGTTTTCACCATGTTGCCCAGGCTGCCTCAAACTCCCAACTCAGCCTCTCAAAGTGTTGGGATTACAGGCGTGAACCCCCTTGCCCAGCCATCAGGCCCACTTCTTAATGGAGGCACTAACATGGTTAGGCTTTGTGTCCCCACCCAAATCTCATCTTGAATTGTAATCCCCATAATCCCCATGTGTTGAGAGAGAGACCTAGTAGGAAGTGATTGGATCAAGGAGGTGGTCCCCCATGCTGTCCTCACCATAGTGAGTGAGCTCTCACGAGATCTGATGGTTTTATAACTGACAGTTCCTCCTTCACACTCTTGCCCTCTCTTGCCTGTTGCCATGTAAGACTTGCCTCTTCCCTTTCCGCCATGATTGTAAATTTCCTGAGGCCTCCCCAGCCATGCAGAACCGTGAGTCAATTAAACCTCTTTCCTTTATAAATTACCCAGTCTTGAGCAGTTCTTTATAGCAGTGTGAAAATGGACTAATACAGGCACTATACCACACTGTATTATAATGCCTGCTTCCTTGTTTGTTCCCCACCTCACTACAGGCTGTGAGTATCTCCAAGGTCAGGTCAGGCCTGGGTCCTACTTACCTCTTTTTCTTTTTTTTTTTTTTTGAGACGGAGTCTTGCTCTGTCACCCAGGCTGGAGTGCAGTGTCGCTATCTCAGCTCACTGCAAGCTCCGCCTCCCGGGCTCACGCCATTCTCCTGCCTCAGCCTCCCTAGAAGCTGGGACTACAGGCGCCCGCCACCATGCCTGGGTAATTTTTTGTATTTTTAGTAGAGACGGGGTTTCAACATGTTAGCCATGATGGTCTTGATCTCCTGACCTCGTGATCCGCCCGCCTCGGCCTCCCAAAGTGCTGGGATTACAGGCGTGAGCCTGTACTTATCTCTTTATCCTGCATCTCACACAGGACCTGGCCTACTGAAGGAAGAGTCTCAATGATTGTTAATTGAACTAACCCAACCCATGAACAAAATGCCACAGGAGCACTTCATGCAGTGGGTGAAGAAAGAAGAAGCAAGTATCAGAAATAGTTTCACAGGGTAGGTGACATTAAAGCTGGATCTTGAAAGATGAGAAGTTGGCCTGGTGTGGTGGTTCATGCCTGTAATCCCAGCACTTTGGGAGGCCGAAGCAGACGGATCACTTGAGGTCATGAGTTCAAGACTAGGCTGTCCAACACGGCGAAATCCTGTCTCTACTAAAAATATAAAAATTAGCCAGGTGTGGTGGCATGTGCCTGTAGTCCCAGCTACAAAGACTACAGCTTGGGAGGCTGAGGCACAAGAACTGCTTGAACCCAGGAGGCAGAGGTTGCAGTGAGCCAAGATCCCACCACTGCACTCCAGCCTGGGTGACAGAGTGAGACTCTGTCTCAAAAAATAAAAAATAAAATAAAAAGTGACTAGGGCAATGCTGTATCATCTCACTTTATTTTAAATAAAAGAAAAATGAGAAGTTGTAAAAGATAAACTGCAACAACAAGCTACAGGGGATCTGACTAGTGTCCACGGATTGCTTCACAGAGGTAATGAAATATCATCTGATGTTATTGCTATTTAGTGATATTTATTTTCTTTTTAGTAATAATTTAGTTATTTAGTGATAATTATTTTCTTTTCTTTCTGATCTCGGCTCACTGCAACCTCCGCCTCCCCGGTTCAAGCAATTCTCCTGCCTCAGCCTCCCAAGTAGCTGGGATTACAGGTGCCCGCTACCACGCCCGGCTCATTTTTGTATTTTTAGTAGAGACGGGGTTTCACCATGTTGGCCAGGCTGGTCTTTAACTCCTGACCTCAGGTGATCCGCCTGCCTTGGCGGGGATTACAACCATGAGCCCCCACGCCCGGCCGAGATAATTATTTTCACATGAATTTTGGCTTCCCCAAGACAAGTTTTTGTCTGTTTTATTCAGGGATATATCCCTGGTGACTAGAATAGTGCCTGTTACATAGTAAGAAACTCAAAAATATTTGTTTAATTCTTTAGACGCTTATGGGGGATATATAGGAATTAAAAAACAATACAACGTAATAGAGCATGGTATAATACAATACTGCTATTTGATAACTCTGTCATGGAGTAGTAGTTCCACCAGAGTAGCAACCAGGTCTATCTTGATCCCCTGTATCCGTTAGTACAATATTGGTGCTCAATATACATTTGTGAAAAAAATTAATTAAAATACAACGTAATAGAGCATGGTATAATACAATACTGCTATTTGATAACTCTGTCATGGAGTAGTAGTCCACCAGAGTAGCAACCAGGTCTATCTTGATCCCCTGTATCCGTTAGTACAATATTGGTGCTCAATATACATTTGTGAAAAAAATAATTAAAATCTAGAATACTATTACATCCTAAAACCGTAAAAGCAGAGTGTCAGAAGGGATATATATTGGTTTTGATTTTTTTTAAATGCCGGCTTGAAAACCGAGTTCAGATACATGCTATCTGGCTTTGGGTAGGTTCTTTAGTTTCCTCCTCATCTAACAGGGCTGTTGTGGGACTCAGTGAGAGAGAGGATGGCTGGAAGTGCACATAGGATACTGCCTGGCAGACTGTAGGCACTCAGTAAACGCGAGTTCTCCGTTAACACGAAAACATTACAAACAGCTAAAATGACAGCTGCTTGAGAGAATAATCGGTAAGTGCCACAACCGGGCTAGAAAAGGATGAAGGACAAGCTCCTGCCCACTCCTTTGGAAACTCCACACCTGGGCCGGAGAAAGACTCGAATTCGAAAACTAAGTTTCAGTCGCACCTGCCTCCGGCGTCGCTTCAGCCTCCGAGGGGTCTGCGGAGGCGACGTCCCAGTCAGGAGGGATGCGCGCCTGCGAGCCCCCCGGGGATCTCGGAGCCGCTCCACTGCGGTGCCTGCCGCTATCTTCCCCACGCCTTAGTAACTGCGACGCGACGGCAGACAGTGTAGGCGGCAACCGACGGCCGGGACGTCTAACCTCAAGTCCCAGCAAGCCCCGCGGCCACGTCCTCTGACTACCTCGCGCCAGCAAGACCCAAACTACGGATCCCGATTGACTCCGCGCGGCGCGTCACGCTGTCAGCTCCAGCCAATCGGCTTCAGACAAGTCGGAGGGGAGGGAGACGCAGAGGCGGACAAGATGGCGGCGGCAGCTGTACAGGGCGGGAGAAGCGGTGGTAGCGGAGGCTGTAGTGGGGCTGGTGGTGCTTCCAACTGCGGGACAGGAAGTGGCCGTAGCGGCTTGTTGGATAAGGTGAGGAGCCGGTTCTTGGGAACAGTTGAATCCTGGGGAGGCCTGGGAGGCGGCGAGCCAACCTTCCCATCCCGGTCTCCCTTATTTTCTACGGCCTTTTGAGGGGAGCCCTTGTGTGACCACTATCACAACCCTACGCACGCTTGGAGCCTGCCCTTGCCCTCATCACACTTCAAACCTGGACCCGGTCCTCTTTAGAACTTCTTCTTTTCTCGCAAGTGTTCTGGTCCTGGTCGCCACACCTTTTTCGGTAATTTGATTTTTCCTATATTTAATCGTGTCCATCTCTTTTCTCCTGGGGGGCTGGGTGCACTGTTGTCAGTGCCCATTTCACAGACACGGAAAACCGAAGCCCAAAGATTAAAGAATCAGTATCCCCCAAACTCTCTACCACCATCACCCTTGCGTGCTGCTACAGATTCCAAAGTGCTTCTTGTCCTTTTGCTTACTGAAGTTTTTAGGCGTTTTATCATGATAGGCGAATACTGAAAATATTTGAGTATTGACTGTTCTACTGGGCTGACAAGAAGCCTTTAAGATTTTTCTTTTTTTCCTGTTGTTTTTCCCCGCCCTCTCCTCTCTTCCCTCCACCTCCCTCTTTGCTACCAAGTGCACTGCTGCCCGCTCACGCTTGCCCCTTTCCTCCCTCTGCTCATCCAAAAAAATTTTTTTTAACTGCAGTCCTAGCAACAAGGGTTTAAAAGAAAAGAAAAAAAGGAAAACTGTCCCTGGGTTGGCCTTTCTTGCTCTTTGCACAGCATCTTGGAAGAAACAGTTGCACGGAGAACAACGTCCTGGTGTTGATTTTGCCTCTAATTAGCTTTGTGACCTTGAAATATGCTTGCTCTCTCTATATCTGTTTTCTCATCTGCAAAGTGAGAGATTTAGCCTTAAAATGAGGGACTTAACTCTAAATTCCCTTCCAGTTCTCTCATTGTAGGGCCCTGGGCTGGTTTGATGAGAATTGTTAAGCATGGTGTCTTTAATATAGTAAGCAGAATTTTTGAATATAATTGAAAACAGCTTTCAGACTTCCCTGTGCATAACACATGGTAGGTGCTTAAGAAATGAAAACATGATTATGTTGAGGGGTTAAGATCCAGGTCTTTTTACTTGTCTTTTTGAGTGTCATTGGTTTTGAAAGACATGGTTCTCACACTCTTCTCTTGTGAGAGGGGTCACGCTCCATTGCCCAGAATGGATCTTAGCTCACTGCGGCCTTGAACTCTTAAGCTTAGGTGATCTTCCCACCCCAGCTTCCTGAGTAGCTGGGACTGCAAATGTGCACCACTATGCCTGACTAATTTTTTTGCTTTTAACTTTTCTGTAGAGTCAGGGTCTTACTGTGTTGCCCTGGCTGGTCTCAAATTCCTGGGCCTCAAGAGATCCTCCCACCTTGGCTCCCCAAAGTGCTGGGATTACAGGCATAAGTCACCATGCACCTGGCCTCACACTCAAACCTTAAGATACAGAAACATATTCTGGAGGTTGGGATGGTAAATTGCTTCAAGACATGTGAGAGTATGGGGAATTGATGGTCATTTGTGTACACAAATCCTTCCCTCTTGCTAGGTAAGCACCTCATAGCCTGTGCTTACCTGCCCCACTAACTGCTCTTGCTCTTCCTTGCACTTGGATCATCATCAGCAAACATTAAGTATGGGCATTCTGCTAAGGCAGTATAGAATACTATTATTATGGAATAGTGTATATGGCACCATTGTGTTATTGAAAGAACCCGGATGTGGGGATCATAAGATTTCAGCTTTGAAGTATTTCTGCTACTTGCTAACAGTATGAAGATTGGCAAGTCACTTAACCTTTCTTCATTTGGAATTTTGGAATCTCTGGCACCTAGATCACAGGGTTTTGGGAAGAACCAAGTAAGACAGTACACATTAATGATCTCCATTACCTGTAGTGTCCAGTACAGATGTGTGATGGTGGAGGAGTAAATCAAGAATCCTACTGTCAGAGAGCACTCAGAATAGCCAAATATAGGAGATGGGGTAATTGAATCTATTTAAGGAAGTATATGGTATATTCGCTCAAGTGTGTACTTGTTACGGAAGTTCAAATGAGAGAAATAGAGTGAACCCTGCGAGCTTATTGATAAGAGTAAGAGCCTCGGCCGGGCGCAGTGGCTCACACCTGTAAACCCAGCACTTTGAGAGGCCAAGGCAGGCGGATCACCTGAGGTCGGAAGTTCAAGACCAGCCAGACCAAGATGGAGAAACCCCATCTCTACTAAAAATACAAAATTAGCGAAGTGTGGTGGTGCATGCCTGTAATCCCACCTACTCGGGAGGCTGAGGCAGGAGAATCGCTTGAACCCGGGAGGTGGAGGTTGCAGTGAGCCGAGATCACGCCATTGCAGTCCAGCCTGGGCAACAAGAGGGAAACTCTGTCTCAAAAAAAAAAAAAAAAAAAGAGTAAGAGCCTGAAGGAAAGGCCTCATTCCTGAAAGTGGAACTGGCACCTTATTTGGGGGGAGAAAAGAAAGACATGCCAGGTAAAAAAGTCTCCTTGAGTAAAGTTACACAGATGTGATGGTGTTTTATGTTTCTCAGGTATTGAGTTGACTAGAAGGCTCTCTAAAGGAACTGTAGTGACAAGTAGATAGCATCTGATTAGGGAGGCCGTGGATTGCTTGAAGTAGAGGAAAGCTGTTGAAGGGTTTTGAGACTGTGTAAAGTGGTTTTTAGGAAAACTATTCAGATGGTTTGGAGAGACAGAAATTAGAAGACTTCTTAATAAGGCCGTATACACAGTAGTGTATAATATATAATAAAAAGAGACAAATTTGAGTTCTAGTGCCGCATGTTATTAGGTTGGTGCAAAAGTAATTGCTGTTTTTGCCATTGAAAGTAATGGCAAAAACCACGATAACTTTTGCACCTACCTAATAAAAGCCACATGACCTTGGATAAGTTGTGTGATATTACTGAATTTAAATTTCCTTATGTAAATATTGTGGACATTCATACATATTATAGGCTTGTTGTAAGGATCAAATTGTATAGTGCTGGTAAATGTTCTTTGGGTTTTTTAGTTTGGTTTCCTCTGCCCTTTTTATTTTATTTTTATTTTTATTTTTGGTAGAGACAAGGTCTCACTGTGTTGCCCAGACTAATCGTGAACTCCTGGCCTCAAGTGATCTGCCCACCTCAGCCTCCCAAAGTACTGGAATTACAGGCATGAGCCACCGCACCCAGCTCTGTTCCCTGTCCTTTGGAATCTACTAGAAGTAAATGTTCTTTGTAAAGGGCTGTCTGTGGTAAAAAATAGAATGACAAGGTGATGAGAACCCCAACATGAGTAGCAGAAATAGATAAAAGGTCTCACAAAAGAGTGCTTGGAAGATTTAACCAATAAGTGAGGGACAGAAGAGAATAGTCAAGAGCTGCTTGAGTGCCTTTTCTTGGAAAACTTAGTTTCAGCCTTACATTGAACTGTTCCCTCCCTGAATTCCTCTAGCACTTACACTGCACATGGGAATTAAGCTGTCACTTAATATGACATACTGTCTTGTATTATTTCACCAATTTGTATTTGCCCGTTTTCCTGTGAGTGCTTCTCTGTAGTGATCAACACAAGATAAGTACTTTTAGCATTGAATTTCGCAGAGAAAAAACTTGAGATCTGCCACCTCAGTCTTCAGAAACAGCTTTAGAGGATGGTGCCTCTAATTGTTTGAAGACTGAGGGTACTGTGGGAGAGAACTTGGGGAAAAAAATGTTATTCTCAGTGGAGCAGGATCTGAATGAATAGAGAGGCTTTTGCTGTGTGGGAATGAGAAGCTATTACCTTTAATATAATTTTTTTTTTTTTTTGAGACAGAGTCTCGATTTGTCGCAATCTCCACTCACTGCAACCCCCGCCTCCCAGGTTCAAACAATTCTCCTGCCTCAGTCTCCCGAGTAGCTGGGATTACAGGCATGTGCCTCCATACCCGGCTAATTTTTGTATATTTAGTAGAGACAGGGTTTCACCATGTTGGCCAGGCTGGTCTCAAACTCCTGACCTCAGGTGATCCAACGGCCTCGGCCTCCCAAAGTGCGGGGTTTACAAGCGTGCGCCACCACACCCAGCCTAATATAATTTATTTAATTTGATGTGTCTTGATTTGGGCGGGGAGGGTTTTTATTTTATTTCTGCAGCTGTAGTTTCACTTGCCATAAAGAAGTGTAATAAAGAGATGCAAATATGCTCCTAGTTTTCCCTAAGCAGATGTGAATTTCTACTCTTATGAAACTGACTTTAAGAACACAGCAATTCTTGTTTCCTGATCTTAAAAATAAGTATGCAAATATAATCTTTCCGCCTCCATCACAGAATAACTTGACTTAGATCATTGCAGTATGTTATTTTGCCCCAAATACATCAAAGCATTTTCTTCTGCCTGGCAGTTATAAAGAAAAGCTGCTTGCTTAATTTGTTTTGGCTATTAAAGTTGATATGTGGTGTTAAACCATGCTTTCCAGAAGCTATTATCTAGACCCTTTTAGCCTTATACCTGGATTTCTGTCTCCTGGCTGGCCTGTCAGCCTGATCTTAAAGCACAGCTTTAATCTGTTTACATCAGACTCCTTTGAGAATTAGTTAAAATTAACAGATTTTTGGACCTTTTTTTAGGCCTGAATATCTGCATTTTTCTTCACATGTCTCTATTACCTCTGCATTTTAACAGTTACCTCCAGGTTGAGAACTACTGGCTTAAATGATTTTTTAAAGTCTCTTCTGGTTCTGACATTTTAAGGTTTTTGTTTTGTTTTTAAAAGCTATTCTGCTTAATAGTGGTTTCTTTAAAATGTTTATAATGAAGAGATCCTGAAACTCATATGATACTTCAGCCTCATTTTGTAGACAAGGACACAAGCAAAGCAACTTGCCCAAGACCACACAGTGAATTAGTAACACTTACAGAACCTGGCTCCCCCAGTGCTTAATCCAGTGCTCTTTCTTTACTCAGCACATTGCTTCCCATACCAGAGTGTGCCTTGTGCTATCTAATGTGCTAGCTAACGTAGTAGTGGGATGAGCATCTGTTGTGAGGTGGAAGACCTAGGCTGTGGCCTTGGCTTTGTCACCCACCAACCATATGTCCTTAGGTATCTCCTCTTTTACTCTACTGGAAGATATCTTAGCTTGTCAGACTTCCAGGTGATATGCTTGTGCCCTGTTACCTAGCTCTGACAAAGAAGATGAACGGTTTTATAACATTACTATAATTGTGTGTGTGTGTTTAATGAAACAAGGTGCTGGCCTTTTAATACTGTTGCAAACTGATCTTTATTAGCGTCTCAAAACTCATTATTTTTTATTTCCTCAAAATAAAAAGTATGTGTGTGTCAAAGGCCACTATCAAGAAAGTGAAAAAAGACAATCTACAGAATGAGAGAAAACATTTTCAAATCATATATCTGATAAGGGTCTAGCATCTAGACTATATAAAGAATTTTACAACTCAGTAATAAAAAGACAGCAACCTAGTTTTTAAAAGGGCAAAAGATGTAAATAGACATTTCTCCATAGAAGACGTACGAATGGCCCATAGCACATGGAAAGATGCGCAACATCATCAGTCATTAGAGAAATGCAAAGTAAAACCACAATGAGAAACCACTTCACGTCCACTAAGATTGCTATAATAAAGGGGGAAAAAAAAGGAAAATAACCTGTTTTGGTGAGAATATGGAGAAATCAGAATCTTCATATATCGCTAACAGGGATGTAAAATGTGGTGGCACTCTTGGAAACAGTTTGACAGTTCCTCAGAAAATTCAACGTAAAGTTAACCATATGACCCAACAATTCCACTCCTAGGTGTATACCCAAGAGAACTGAAAATGTGTGTCCACAGGAAAACTTGGCACACAAATGTTCATAACACAGTTATCATAATGGCCTAAAGGTAGAAACAGTCTGTCAGCTGATGAATGGATAAATGCAATGTGATATATCTATACAATGGAATATAATTTGACCGTTAGAATAAAGTATTGATACATACTACAATATGGATGAATCCTGAAAATGCGCTAAGTGAAAGAAACCGATCACAAAAGGCCATATATAGTATGACTGCATTTGTATATCCATAGAGACAGAAAGTAGATTGTTGGCTGCCCGGGGATAGGGGACAGGAATAAGATGTGACTGCTAATGGGTATGGAGTTTCTTTTTGAGGGTATGCATATATTCTAGAATTAGATAGTGGTGATGGTTGCATAACCTTGTGAGTATACTAAAAACCACTGAATTGGCATTATTTTTAAATAGTGAATTTTATAGTGTGTGAACTATATCGCAATTTTAGAAACTTATTTTTGTCTTTCCTGGAGTAACCCTTAAAGTTTCAAATTATTATTTCTTTAAACTATATGTCATGTAACACAGTGGTATCACAGACACTGATTACTTTAATACTATTACTTTAATTACTAATTAAAATATATATATATATATATATATATATATATATATATCTGCCTGCCTAGGTACCTTTTTCAGCTGTTGCTAGCACCATTTCTCTGCTCTGATCTCCATCTTATCAAATTTCAATAGTAGTTTTTTATATTACTTAGCCTTTCAGTAGCATTTGACTTATTGATCACTTCTTTTTTCTTGAAATACTTTCTTTACTTGGCTTCTAGGACACCACTTGCCCCCAGCTTTCCTCCTACGTCAACTAGTCTTTGTTGTCTTCATTGTTCTTTGGTCTTCTTCCTGACCTGTGTAAATATTGCCAGTCCCTGAGCTTATGAGCTTATTACCCCTGGCCCTCTCCTCTGTCTACCCTCATCCCAAGGTGATACCCAATGTCATGACTTAAATAACATGTAGAAGTTGCTGACTTCTACATTTATATTCTCAACCTGGACCTTTCCTATAAGTCCCAGACTTTTCTGTCCAACCGCCTACTTGTCATCTCCACTTAAATGTCTAAAACATGTATCAGGCATCAATAGCCAGAGCCAATCTCTTGATTTCCGCTTACCCCTCAAAGTGCTTCTCTCCCAGTCTTCTTCATTTCAGGTAGATACCTCCATTCATCTAATTTATTCAAACAAAAACCTGAGAGTTACCCTTGATTCTTCTCTTTGCTTTGTACTCCACAGCCATCTCATTGTCGTATTTTCCTGGCTGTACATCCAGAATCTGACCACTCCTACCTAGAGAGCTGTAGTAGCCCTTTCAACTGGTCTTCCAGCTTCCGTGCTTGGCTCCGTTACATTTTGTTCTCCACACAGCAGCCAGACTGATGTTTTAAAACATAGATCACTCACTCTCTTGCTGAATCTCTCCAGTAACTTCCCATCTCAGTTAGCTAAACTCCAAATCCCTAATTGTGGCCTATTTTATAGCCCCTGCATGTTCTTGATCCTGCTTGTTTCTGTCATCCTCATCTGTCAGTTTCTGCTTGAGTCATTATACTCTGGAAACCCTGGCTTTTCTGCTGTTCCTCAAACACGTTAAGCTTGGGGGATTTTGGTGTACTGTTTTCACTGGGACACTCCAGATTTTCTCATGGGTTACTCCTTTATTCAACTCTGCTCAGATGTTAACTATTTTCCCTCACTATTTTTTAGTCTTTTTAAAAACTCTATTGCATTTTTCTGTATAATCTTTTTTAGAGCCTGGAATTATATGCGTATTTGTTTACTTTTTATCTTCCATACAAGAAGAAGCTCTTTGAGTGCAGAATTTGTCTTGTTTATGACTATATCCCTAGTGGCTAGAACAGTGCTTGGCACATAGCAAGCAGCCATTCAATATTAATTTAAAGAAAATAAAGAGTGTAATTGCCATAAAGGTTGTGTTTAAAAATATTATTTTTTTCTTTTAAAAGAATGTCCAACACTGGAATGAATTGCTATTGAGAGGCTTGGCAGTTTCCTTAAAAAGAAAAAGAAACCCAGAAAAGTCATATAACAGTTAATATTTTTCCAGGCAGTAGGAGATGGATTTCAGATGAAACGGCTGTATGGTCCTCTCCCTGAATTTGCACTCAGCTGCATTTTTCAGAACTGATTGCATGTAATTCTTAAATGGAGCACGTGATCTGCCACCTTTCTAGAATAAGGACTCATCGCACATCTGTATCAATGTAGTACATTCCTAGCCAGTCTTCGTGCCTTAATTCAGGTCTTCCTTGGCAGCATCCCTCTCTCTTCCAACCCTCCCCAGTCAGCTTTGCTGCAGATTGATATCCCTGAGGAAATAGGTAACATTTTATCCAAAATCTTTTTTGCAGATCCTTGAACTTGTAGTGTGCCCTTGCCCCTCTATGTCTACTTCTTACCATTTAGCACTTAGCATAGTTTATAATTCATTGTAAGTATAGGATTTTCCTTAACTAAATTGTAAAGACCATTTTTTTTGTATATCTGATTTCTTGTCTACCCATTGCAAAGGTAAGAAATTCATACTGGATGATTATGCCAACAATTCAGTCAGACTTTAGAAGATGTTAGTTGCTAGTAGTGAAAGGATTGTTGACTACATTTCAGTTTGCTGGTAGAAAAAAATACTTCGTTGTTGGAGCATTACTGATTAATATGCTGAATCAAGTTGTTTTAACTTTAAGCTCTTTTCAGCCTTAGATCTCACACTTACTGGGTTCAGTGGTGGGATGTTTAAGTCATGGATCCAGTGATCTGGCCCTCAAAGAGCTTCAGTCATGTAGGCTTCTCTATTCATGGGCTGGGTTGATGTAGAAGCAGCCCCGTCACTGCTAAATGCAGTTTGTGGTGGAGTAGAGAAGGCAGTGTAAAACCTAAGAATCAGTTTCTCTGGGGTTGTCACTAATGTGTGTGCTCATAATTTAATTAACACATGGTAATTTCCTAACTTCTAACTCCAGTGATGAATGCAGTCAGTAATAAGCACTGTTAAGCTAGTAATTTTCTTTGCAGTGTATCTTGGCCATTTTTATAAAAAATAGATTGAAATTGAAGATTCAGTGTGTTGCTAAGAGCATAATCTCTTTGAGATACCATGTTTTTGCTGAATTGGGATCTAAATTAGATGACAGTGCACATTCTTAAGATAGACATCATTTTCTTCCCAAACTGAACATTTTCCTTTCTTGCTAAATATGTGTGTGTGGGGGGGATATAGGCACTATATATTTCCAACTGAAATTGTAATCTCAGCTTCTGAGTTTGCCATCAGTTTTTATTATCTCCTTATTTTAGTTTAGAACTCCACATATACAAATGGGTATTTATCCTTTTTCCTCCTGTATTCTTCTTCTTGGAAAATGACATGATGGCTCCAACAAGTCATCCAAGCCCTAATTCTAGTAGGTGGTCATCTCTGTCTCTTCTCTTTCATGTTCCTTATAACTAGTCTGTTACTAAGTCCTGCCAATTCTACCTCAGAATACTCCCTTTCAGTCCCCCTACTGCTGCTCTGTTGAGCATTGAGGCTCTGCACTTACATCAGGCCCCATCTGCATCTCTATGTCCAGTGTTACTCCCCTCCAGATCATCTGCCAGGTTGCCACTAAAATGACTTAAAAAAAAAACGTAAATTTGATTGTTATTCCCATGCTTAAAATACTCTCCATTGCCTGCTTCAGAATAAAGTTCAAGTTCTTTAGCCTAATAACTAGGAAATGGTTTCTCTCGGATGCCTCATCTCCTACTACTTTCCCCCTTTGCAGCTTCTGTCTACTTTCTAAACTGGGATAAAGGAGAGAAAAAGTTTATTTTTCTTAAAGCCATGCTCAGTTCTGTCTAAATCAGAACAGGGTCACCATTGACACCACTCTCACCCTTGGTAATTCTTCATCTCTCCAGTGTGAATTGAGGAATCCTTTGAGTCTTATTATCAAGCCAGGGAACTTTATGAAGCAATCCACTCAGGTCTTTTATATCACTGCATAACTTCTGTTTTCACTGTGATTAAAATAAGATAATTGAAGGTGTTCATGTGTCATACTCAAAACAATTTTGTTTTGCTGGACATATCCTAATGACCAAGGATTTTGTCCTTTTGTTTTTTGAGATGGATTCTCACTCTATTGTCCAGGCTGGAGTGCAGTGGCACAATCACGGCTCACTGCAGCCTATACCTCCTGAGCTCAAGCCATCTTCCTGCCTCTGTCTCCCAAGTAGCTGGGACTTTAGGTGGGCACCACCACACCTGGCTAATTTTTTAAATTACATTTTTTTGTAGATACGGAGGAGTCTTGCTATGTTGCCCAGGCTGATCTCAGACTCCTGAACTCAAGCGATCCTTCCACCTTGGCCTCCCAAAGTGCTGAAGTTATAAACATGTTGCCACTGTGCCTGGCTTATTTTGTCTCTTTTTTTGATCCCACCCTATCCCTTTGAGTGTGGTGAGATGCATGGGAACAGAAGGCTGTATTCCCTCAAATGAGTTAATTTGGAAAATGCCTTCCTGTACTGACTACATATCCTTCAGACCTGAGTTGTGTTTAATATCCTTCCTAAGCACTTATGGAGTTCCTGATGCCATACCTTCAGTGAAGTGTCTTTGTAGAATTTTTTATTATTCAAATGTGCAGTGGAGAAACGTAACTGAAATGATTCTTCATAATGTTCTATTAAAGCTATCAAATGCCTGTTTTCTTTGAACTGGTTAGCCAGCCAGCTCTGGCATCAGGTGTGTTAGTCTGACAAAAGTTGTCTTTATCTTGGCCGGGTGTGGTGGCACTTTGGGAGGCTGAGGTACGTGGATCACTTGAGGCCAGGAGTTCGAGACTAGCCTGGCCAACATGGTGAAACCCCATCTCTATTAAAAAATACAAAAATTAGCTGACTGTGATGACACTTGTCTGTAATCCCAGCTACTCGGGAGGCTGAGGCATGAGAATTGCTTGAACCCAGGAGGCGGAGGTTACAGTGAGCTGAGATCGCGCCACTGCGCTCAGCCTGGGTGACAGAGTAAGACTCTGTCTCAAAAAAAAGTTGTCTTTATCTCTTCAGTGGGTGGTGTAGGGGAGTAATTTCTTTAAGATAGTACTTTTTGAGCTCTGTTTTCAGCCAAATTGCAGTTGGTTTTACATTGGGGGGGGAGGTTCAACATTTTTGATACCCTGTGAGTTTTGTGGTCCTATTCAAGATTAACATCTTTTTTTTTTTTTTAGGTTTTTAAAATGTTATTACTAGAGCTTGTTAGGAATCAAGATACAATGTATAGCTGTCACTTCAGGGATCTCTTTGTTTCCTGTTCTTTGTGTTTTTGATGGCTAATAATTCCTTTCCTTGCACTTCATGGGAAAGCAGTGTAGAATAATGAGAGAGCATGGGTTTTGAGTCCTGGCTTTACCACTTTCTGCCTTTCACCTTTGGCAGGTTTTTTAAACCCTTAGTGTTATCTGTAAAAGGAGGATTTTAACTGTTCTTACCTTGTAGAGTTATTGTGGAAATTAAGTGAGATAGTGTATATAAAATACTTAGCACATCCGTAGCACATGTTAGGCATTCAGGAAATGGTAGCTATGATTATACCTTCTGTCTGCCCTCCATCCCTTAAAGAAATTCTGTGAATAAGAACCAAGTGAGATCATTTTGACCATGTTTACATTTGCTAAATTTAAACTGGAGAGTAACATTTTAGAGATCTTTTTCTTCCCTTTTTTTCTTTATAAGGATTTAGACATTAAAAAAAAAAAAAAGCTATTGAGAGTATATTGTGTTCCAGGCTCTGAGAATACAAAAGTGTATAGTCCCTGTGACCCAGTGAGGGAGACAATACATACAGTCAGGTAACCATGATGCAGTGTATTATATAGTTTTATATCATTAATAGCAACAGCAATAGCTAATTTTTATGAAGTACTTGCTAGGTACCAGGCACTGTGCACTGTGCTATGTTTTATAATTACACTATTTACTTCTCATACCAACCTGTGAAATAGATACTTTCACCATCTTAATTTTACAATTTAGCAAACTAATAAGGCTTTAGAGAGGTTAAATTATTTGCCCAGTGCCTTCCAGTATTAAGTGGAAAAGTGAGGATTAAAATAAAGTAGCCTGACTCCATTCTCCCTTGGATAATAAGGATTCACCTTATTGGGTAAGGAAAAAAAGCATTTGCCTACATACATTTGTATTTAGTCTAAATCCAGTCAGCTTGTTTTTTGTTGTTGTTGTTGTTTGTTTGTTTGTTTGTTTGTTTTTTGAGATGGAGTCTTCCTCTGTTCACCCAGGCTAGAGTGCAATGGCACCATCTCGGCTCACTGCAACCTCTGCCTCCTGGATTCAAGTGATCTCTTGCCTCAGCCTCCCAAGTAGCTGGGATTACTTAGCCTGGCTAAGTTTTGTACTTTTAGTAGAGATGGGGTTTCACAATGTTGGCCAGGCTGGTCTCGGACTCCTAACCTCAAATGATCCATCTGCCTCAGCCTCCCAAAGTGCTGGGATTATAGGTGTGAGCCACTGCACCTGACCAGAACCAATCAGCTTGTGATTTGAAGTACAGTACACCTTTAAGAATAAGGCCACAATCTGCTTTGGGATTGAGTTCAGGGATTAAGGCAAATAAAAATAAGTTTATATCACTGAAGAAGAGACAGTTTTATAATGAGCCATGTATTTGTAATTTAGCCCTAAAGAATTTTGTTGGCCTGTCATTTACTATTTGTATGGCACTTAACATCTTTGAACTCTAGTTTTCTAATCTGAAGGACATTGGTTTCTGGATTGAGGGTCTGCTTAGTGCTGCAATAAAAAGATGAGTGGCAATAGCAGTTTTACAGTGGGTGAAAATTGACCTGTGTAAGGGATATCATCTTGAAATTTTAGATACTGGCAACATAAAGAACTTTTTCTAGATTTCCAGAAGGAAAGGTGTTCAACATAAATCACATCATTTATACAAACAGTTGAGGCACAGTGAGCCATTCTTATCACTGAGGGAATGTATTTATATCAGTGTAGGGATTTGTTTTATCAGCCAGCTTGTCAGATACCAGCCAAGGGCCAACCTTGCAAACAAGCCTTGCTAAAGATGGCAGTCTTGGACCCAGGTTCACTTATTTCTGCACACTGCCCTTCTTTTTAATTTATCCTGTGAGGTCCCACATAAAAGAAACTAATTTTTGCTTTCTCTTTTTATTATTACAAAAGGAAAGCAATTTGCAATTAGTGTTGAGGAAGACAAAATTGAGGCAAAAAAAAAAAAAAGATAGCTTTTAAAATACCCGAATTAGTAGTAGAGAGAACATGAGGAGCAGCATACATTTTAGTTGATGAGCAGTTTTTGAGCATGATGAGAAGTAATAATCAGAAAAAGAAGCACCTAATAGCAACTCCCCTTCTTCCAGATGGTTCTCCATACTGTAGTAGAGACATTACTTGCTTCGAAATGGGCTGTGTTGCCGTAAAGTCAAATTATAACCTTTCTTGTGATTTCATGTAATTCACTGGAAATGTTTCTTTTCCACTTACTGAAGATTGCTTCTAGGTACCAGGCAGTGAAGTTAGAGCTGAGGCTATTTCAATACATTGTAATGGCTGCTTCTGCATTTTATTCTCCCAAATTGGTTAAGACATTATCCTCTGACTTTTAAAGGCAAGTTTCTTTTCTGTGATGCAATGCAGGCAGTGAAGTGTGGCTAGGTGTCTGAGAATATGATTTTCCTGTTTTTGAATGACCCATAATTTTTAAATGACTTTATTCTGACTTTATTTCACAAATAATTCAAATGCTATGGTGGATTTGGCTCTACAAGTTGGTTCTTTTGCATGTCTTCAAAGAGGGATTTACTTGACAGTGTAAATGAGCTATCTAGCTAGAAAACCTGCTAATTTCTTTTTGGTTCAGTTTGTATCTTTAAAATTAGATGTCGTGTTTGATTTGTAGGCTGGCAGTCTATGGCAGTCAATAGTGCAGTATGCTGCCATGAGTAATTTTCTCAAAGAAAAATTTTTGCTTTTACAGGGCACCAAGGGGGAAAAAAAACTTGATTGACTTTTAATCACTTTAAGTATGGCTATTTTTAGCTCATGTTATTTCTTCTAACAAACTTCACAGAACAGGTTTTCTCTTTTGTGTAATAATATATAGAATCACAGTTAAAAAAAAAACAAGGTTGATGAATTGTATTTCTGTAGTTGTTTAAAATCTTTACAATTATTTTTATCCCATCTCTTATTTTATTTTTTATTGTTTGTTTGTTTGTTTGTTTGTTTATTTATTTATTTATTTATTTTCAGAGACAAGCTCTCACTATATTGCCCAGGCTGGACTCGAGCTCCTGGGCTCAAGCTGTTCTGCCACCTCAGCCTCCCAAGTATCTGGGATGGCAGGTACTCACCACTGCCATCTCTTTATTTCTTATAGGCATTATCTTTGTACTTGTGCTCAATCCGAAAGATAAATATGACATTCTCTGTCTTTCAGTAAAATAATCCATTCTAAATCCAGATGAACGTTGGATTGCTTGCTGGTTTGTAATTTTTATGGAATACAATATTTGTTCACTTGATCTAAAAAATTAAGAGTTGGCCATTAATGGTCTACAAAAAACAGGTTTGTCAGATTATTTGTAGCACCCTGTTCCTCTTAAGCTATATTTACTTAAATACTTGCATTTGAGAAAATTTTTTACTATGTAATATATTCACATGGTTAAAAAATTTTAAAGGCACACATAGAGTAATCTTACTCCTCCCCGTATTTCTCTACCCTGATAAGATATCTGGATGTACCGTAGTTTGTTTAACCAATCCCCTTGTAAATGAGCACTCGAGTTACCTCCAGCTTTTCACTATTACAGACAATGCTGCAGTGAGTAGCCTTGTATTTCATTTCACATGTATTCAGTTATAGAAACATTCCTGGAAGTGGGAAGTTGAATTCAGGGTGCTAAGTTGGCATTCGTAGGTGCTGTAACATTTTGAACTTCTACATGAGCAGTGAGAGAATTATTTGCTTCTGAATAGCAGTGTTTGGGAAACTTTCTAAACCTCTATAGATAAGGGAAATAGAAGTAGAGTTTGTCCACTCAACTCGTGTTGGGACTGAGTCTGGGACTTGGTTTGTAATTTAAAATGTAGTGTTGTTTCCAACAGGCTATCCTGGAATTGCTATCTTAAAGTTAAGACATGCTGGTAAAATAATAAAAGTTGTTAGCTGACAAAGTGATATTAAAGGAGATCCTCCCCATTTTGTTAGTATCTGTAAATTCATGTATCTGTATTTTCTGAGTTTTGTGGTCACAGAAAGAAAGAATGAACAAATAGAGTAATTTTCTGTACTCACATTTCGGTAAAATGAAGGTGGGATATACAAGTTTACACTTACAGTCTGTGCAGCCCATATACGTTTTCTGGTTCTGGGGTTGTTTTTATATTCTCTGCATGGAGACTGGCAACATCAGCATCACATGAGTACCACCTGACTCTAGTGACCTAGTCTCTTTCAACCTGATTTTTAATTGTTTGGTCTTTTTTGTTTGTTTTTAACTGCTTCTTGCAGGGCTACCCCATAGGAGTGTGCCCAGAATAGCCTGTTTTGTCTTTTAGTTCTGCAACATCAGAAGACAAAGAGTAAATATTATATGTGCATGAGGGATGCTCTTAAAAAATGGTTCATTTTACTTTCAGTAAGAGGCCAGGTTTCTTGATGCACAACTTTTTTGTTTGTTTTACAGTGGAAGATAGATGATAAGCCTGTAAAAATTGACAAGTGGGATGGATCAGCTGTGAAAAACTCTTTGGATGATTCTGCCAAAAAGGTACTTTCTTGAGGAGGGGTTGGTTAGTATCTATACAGCTGATGGCCATCTCTCCTGGGAAATCTTTTCCTTTTGTAACTTGGAGTGACCTTAGTTTTCAGTGTTAGAAATTAAGTCAGAAAGCAGTTTCTAAAATTTCTCACAGAAAAAGTCAGAGGAAGTGTGTTGAAATATCACCAACATGGCACATGTATACATATGTAACAAACCTGCACGTTGTGCACATGTACCCTAAAACTTAAAGTATAATAATAATAAAATTAAAAAAAAAAGAAATATAGATGTTGGCTATCTCAAGAAAGCTGGTAATTTTTTGTTTTTGAGATTAATTAGCCTAGAGCACAGAAGGGTGAGAGAAGATAGGACATTCATTCATGATAAATCATCTCTCCATTTGTAAAAGTAAAACATTTTAGCTGTGGGAAAAGTTGAGGAGTTTAAAGTTTTTTATATGAGGGATTGATGAACTTTTTCTCTTGGTTCTTTATAGAAGGCTTGAGTTTTACTTGTTTGGTGTGGTAAAATCCCAACTGGAGGGAACTACTTGGTAATTCATATGATTCTTTTATCATGGAAATCAAGAATAAAAGCACATACTGGGGAGGAAGTATTCCTATTAGCTTGATTCCTTGTTTTTCTCACCAGGTACTTCTGGAAAAATACAAATATGTGGAGAATTTTGGTCTAATTGATGGTCGCCTCACCATCTGTACAATCTCCTGTTTCTTTGCCATAGTGGCTTTGATTTGGGATTATATGCACCCCTTTCCAGAGTCCAAACCCGTTTTGGCTTTGTGTGTCATATCATATCCTTTATTTATGCTCAGGTTGTTTTCTAGTGACTATTTTTTTAAATCTGCTGATATTTCTCCCTACAAAAAACAAAACGGACTTTCATATTAGGGCTTGCTAATGTTAGAATTCAACATTTTGAGCTGTGATGTTTATATAGTAAATATCTATCAGTTTATATAGTAACTGTCACTGATATTTTATGTTTTGTATGGTTATTTTATCGTAATTCATTTTTGTTATTAATGTAGAGGTTATTGTCCTAATATGAGCACTTAATAGCAAAACACATAGTAATAGTGAACCCAGCTCTTCTCATTTCTAGCCCAGAACTTTTCCCGTTAGACGTGGCTGCTTCAAGCCACTCATTCTAGGATATTAGGAAAGGATCTGATTTTGGAGACTCAGATCTGTATTAAGTTTACTTGAAGCTGAGGAGCTGAACTGGAAAGTACTGAGCATGAGATACAAGTGTGGCTTGTATTACAGTGGAATTAAGAACTTATTCTGGAGCTAGAGAATATGGGTTTGAAATCCAAGGTATCTGTGATCTTGTGCTAATGAAAATTTACTTATTTTTGAGATGATTTGAATACCACTCATTTATAAATATGGGTAGCATTCAGAATTATCATAAAGATTAAATGAGAGATTTTATATTGTATTTGATACATAATCATTTCCTTTCCCCTCTTTTTTATGATAAATGTAAGATCATGGTCGTTGCCTACCCAGCGTGATTTTTTTTCTCAAGAAGTTGAATATAAAGAACTTAATTATACTTCACTATTAAAATAGGTAATTTTGGTTGGTAGTTTACTTTTTTAAACAATGTTACCACTACCTAAATTTTGTTTTGTTTTCTTTTTTTTGAGACAGGGTCTTACCGTGTCACCCAGGCTGAAGTACAGTGGTGTGATCATGACTCACTGCAGCGTCAGCCTCCTGGCTCGAGCAATTCTCCCACCTCAACCTCCTGAGTAGACGGGCACATGCCACCATGTCTGCCTAATTTTTAAATTTTTTACAGAGACAAGGTCCTACTACGTTGCCTAGGCTGGTCTCAAAACTCCTGGGCCCAAGCAATCCTCCCAAAGTGCTGGGATTACAGGCATAAGCCACTGTGCCCAGCCAACCTGAAATATGTTTTAAAACTTCATGTTGGGGATTTATCTTCAGAGGCAGTTAGCAAACCTCTGATAAAGCAGATCCTAGTCAAAAATTGTATTATCCAGATTGCCCCACATTTCCCCCAGAAGTGGCACCAGGTGATCCTTGACTCCTTTCAGTAATCAGATTAATCATCCCAGTATGAATTTTTCACTATTAAGGCAGTTCAGAAGAATAATATTCCATAGGTTCTAGAGACAGTTCCCAGGGGAATTCCAAAGAGATTTGAAAATGATAGCAACATTATTACAAATATCTGGCCTCCCAAGAGAACTACCTTGATGGTAATTCATTTGTTTGGTTATATTTGTTTAATAAAACAAGGTCTTATTTTTGTCATGTCAGTTTTATTTATAATGTAGGGACTACCATTATAAATGTCTTCTGTTGCTGGGCATCGTGGCTCATGCCTGTAATCCCAACACTTTGAGAGGCCAAGGCGGGCGAATCACTTGAGCCCAAGAGTTCAAGGCCAGCCTGAGCAACTTGGAGAAATCTGTCACTACTAAAAATACAAAAATTAGCTGGGCATGGTGGCGCATGCCTGTAGTCCCAGATAGTTGGGAGGCTGAGGCACAAGAATCACTTGAATCCAGGGGGCGGAAGTCACAGTGAGCCGAGATCTGCTACTGCACTCCAGCCTGGGCGATAGAGCAAGACTCTGTCTCAAAATAAATAAATTAATTAGATAAAATAAAAAATAAATTAGCTGGGTGTAGTGGCACACACCTATAATCCCAGCTACTGAGGAAGCTGAGATGGGAGGATTGCTTGAGCCTGGGATGTTGAGGCTGCAGTGAGCTGAGATCATGCCACTGTACTCTAGCCTGGGTGACAGAGTGAGACCCTGTCTCAAAAAAAAAAGTCTTCTGTATCCTAGACTGCATATATCCTTCATCTCTAAATCTCATGATAATTCTAAAACATCAGTATTATCCCAATTTTAAAGGTAAGGATACTAAGACTTGGGGAAGGAAGTTATTTGTTACAATCATACTGATTAAAGGCCAAGATTTAAATCTAGGATTATCTCTACTCTAAAGTCCATATACTTTGTACTATATTTTCCTGCCTTTCCTGTTCATGAAATTTATCTATTTTTTAACTCTTCTTTAATGGAATGCTTCATGAATTTGCCTGTCATCCTTGTGCTAGGGCCATGCTAACCTCTGTATCGTTCTAATTTTAGTATATGTGCTGCCGAAGCGAGCACTGTTCATGAAATTTATTTTTATTTTATTTATTTTATTTTTATTTTTTGATACAGGGTCTCACTCTGTTGCCCAGGCTGGAGTGCAGTGGCACGATCTTGCCTCACTATAGCCTCTGCCTCCCAGGTTCAAGTGATTCTCCTGCCTCAGCCACACAAGTAGCTGGGATTACGGGCCTGCACCACTACATCCAGCTAATTTTTTTTTGGTTTTTGTGGGTTTTTTTTGTTTTTTTTTTTTTTTGAGACAGAGTCTTGCTGTGTCACACAGGCTGGAGCACAGTGGCACGATCTCGGCTCACTGCAACCCTGCAACCTCTGCTTCCTGGGTTCAAGCCATTCTCATGCCTCAGCCTCCTGAGTAGCAGGACTACAGGCATGTACCACCATGCCCAGCTAATTTTTGTATTTTTGGTAGAGACATGGGGTTTCACCATGTTGGCCAGGCTCATCTCGAACTCCTGACCTCAAGTGATCTGCCCACCTCAGCCTCCCAAAGTGCTGGGATTACAGGTGTGAGCCACCACGCCTAGCCTTAATTTTTGTATTTTTAGTAGAAATGGGGTCTCCCATTGTTCCTTGTTGGCCAGGCTGGTTTCAAACTCCAGGTCTCAAGCAATCCACCTGCCTCGGCCTCCCAGAGTGCTGGTATTAAAGGTGTGAGCCATCGTGCCCAGCCTTGTTTATGAAATTTAAATGGCACAGTATACACAAAGCTCTTATGCCAGTTTTTGGCAAACTATAAGTGCTTATTAACTATGGTACTTAATACTGTCAAAAACAATATAATAATAAGTCTATATGCATATAGGAAGTAATCGTAGTACTATTTGACATACTCTCTTATAGTAAACTATTTGGGTCACTTTTCTTCTCTTAATAACCCTTAAAATCAGTTGAACATGGTCAAGTCCACTGGGACTATTCGTTGTTTTTTATAAAGAAATAAGCACTATTATAACAAAGTCTTGACAAACTAGGTATCTTATTATACATGTTGTCTTTGAACATAAAGATGAGAGCTAGTTTATGCTCTGTATCTTTTTCTTTTCTTCCTTTCTGAGGTGTTTGCAGAATTAACCAGAGAGAGCCTTGCTTCTCTTGGTATATAAACATAAGGATGAAAATGAAATAGCTAAATTTTCAGTGTTTTGGCAGCAAGACAAAGCTGTCTTCTTTAGGACTATCATTATGAAAGTTTTTATATCTGTTGCTTGTCAATTTGTGTTACTTCTCTTTTATGTTTGGGTATTTTCCCCTTAACTTTATTTGAACCTATTTTGTGATGATGGGGATTCTGACCATTTATACCTCATATAAGGAGAAGAGCATCTTTCTCGTGGCCCACAGGAAAGATCCTACAGGAATGGATCCTGATGATATTTGGCAGCTGTCCTCCAGTCTTAAAAGGTATGACTATCCTCACAGATTTTTAAATCCTGGTGTTGGATTTGCCCTGGCATGTTGTCATTATCAACAGAAGACTTATTATGTGCCTACTCTATGTGGATCATAGGGCTAGTCATATAAAATGAAGAAAGGAGTATGGATGATCTAGAAGGTTTGTCCTAGCCCTATAGTTCTGAGATTGCGTTATCACAGAAATGCTCTGAGGATAAACTGTGGGAGAAGGTACTTTTTCCTGTGGCCAGTTAACAGAGACGATTAAGCATACAAAAGTATAAAGGCCAAAGATGTGAGATCAGTTATCTTTGAAGAATTCCATTAGCTTCTGTGTCTTCTATGATCCTGTCTTCTCTCCACGAATACAATCAAGAATATCTGGAGCAGTGCACTGGGCAACTCAAAAAAAGCACAATCTAGAGTCTGTTTCTGACCAGTGTCAGGTATAACTTTGTGCAGCTGACACACATGTGTTTTGTAGGTACCAAGAACTAGGTTCATGTTCCAATTCAGTTTCTTTCTAGCTGTATAACTTTGGGTAAATCATATAAATTATCTGAGGTTTAGTGGGGTCAAAAATGATGCCTAGAGTTTCTGGGAAGATGAAATACCAATTATAATAATAGCAAATGTTTATTGAACATTTACTGTATGTTGGGTATTCTGCTAAATGCATTATCTCATTAAGTTTTAGAACACTCATTTTATAGATAAGAATACAGGCCCAAAGTTTAAATCAACTCTTCCAGTATCATATAGCCCAAAAGTGGTAGAGCAGGAATTCCAGCCCAAGTTTGAAACCAGAATTCATACTCGTAGTCACTATCTTAAAAACCTATTATACTTAACTGGTGCATAATAGCCGCACAAATTATAGGTACAATTATTTATATATGAAGTTAAGTGTAGCATCTGTGCCATACAGACTGTCTCATTGCCAACTTGTAGAAGCGCCTATGAGAAAGGGAAGCAGACCTTCATTCTGTTGTTGCAGCTGAGTTCTTGCTTATCTCCTGACAGGGCTTCTAGCTGCCCTTTGGCCTCAGCCATCATAATCTGCATCCTCTACCAGGCCACTGAAGCTGAGTTGCAGAATTCTAAAACCTAGCGGCATTATAATTTCATTATTTTTATTCTGACTTTTGTATTTTTTAAGAACTTTTATATAATTCACCTACCATACATACAGTTCACCCATTTAAAGTGTACAGTTCAAAAGTACCTAGTAGTATTTACAGATATTTGCAACCATTATCACAGTCAATTTTAGAGCATTTTCATCACCTCAAAAAAAAAACCTCTGTACTCTAGCTAATCACTTCCCTATCCTCCCACTTGCCTGAGCCCTGGGCAACCACCAGTCTACTTTCTCTGTTCTCTTTTATGGACATTTCATATGAATGGAATCATACAATATGTGGTCTTTTATAACTGGGTTCTTTCACTTAGTGCAATTACTTCCTATGTATACTGCACACAAGGTTCGTTCATGTTGTAGCATGTATCAGTACTTCATTCCTTTCTATGGTCAAGTAACATTCCATTTTGTTTATCCATTTGTTGACAGACATTTGGGTTGTTTCTACTTTTTGGCTATTATGAATAATGTTGCTATACATATTTGTGTACATGTTTTTAGGTAGACATGTTTTCATTTCTCTTGGGTAATACACCTGGGAGAAGACTTGTATGGTATGCTAACTCTCTTTGTTTGATGAACTGCCAGACTGTTGTCCAAAGTGGCTGCCCTATTTTACAATCTCACTAGCAGTGTACAAGGGTTCTGATTTTTTTCACGTTTCCTGCTGATTTTTACCAACTGCCGTATTGTTGGTGGAGTGGAATGTGAATGTTCTTGCTCTCTTCCCGGCTTTCTGCTGATGTCTTCTCCCTCCCCCACCTCACCGACTGATTTAGTAGCTTAACAGTGGCTGATTCTGATGTCTTATTCCCACTGCCAGGTCATGTGATGTGAAAATGGCAATGAAAGGTTTCACAGACTACTAGTTGCCACGTGCAGACAACACAAGCTATGTGACTCTCTCGCAAAAAGTGATTTTGTCACTCCCCAGCAAATTCATTATACAGTCTAAACTCCTTCAGCATATGAAGTATTACAGCATTCATCCCCTAGTGACATCTCCAGCTTTCTTTTATGCCCCTCTCAAAATACATTCTCTTACTCTGGCAATATTATGGAATTTGCAATATGCTAAGTTATCCAAGTTTCCAGTGACCCCGTACCTTTAAACATATTCTTCTCTCTGGCTTAGCTATCTTTCTGTAACCTGGCTCACTCCTACTTCCAAGAAGCCTTCCCTGACATACCTTAGTCTTCCTTAACATGCCTTAGTCTAAATTAGGTGGTCCTAGTTATTCTTTTTTTTTTTGAGATGGAGTTTCACTCTTGTCACCCAGGCTGGAGCGCAATGACGCGATCTTGGCTCACTGCAACCTCCTCATCCGGCTTCAAGTGATTCTCCTGCCTCAGCCTCCTGAGTAGCTGGGATTACGGACCCACGACCACACCCGGCTAATTTTTGTATTTTTTGTAGAGATGGGGTTTCACCATGTTGGCCAGGCTGGACTTGAACTCGTGACCTCAAGTGATCGCCTAGCCTTGGCCTCCCAAAGTGGTGGGATTACAGGTGTGAGCCACCACGCCCAGCCCATCCTAGTTATTCTTAAAAGCATTTATGCTTACCTCTGTTAGTTACCACATGGAGCTATAATTATTTAATATCTGTGTCTCCTCCTGGGCCCGCCCCCTCCTCCAAAGTGTGAGCTCCTTTACCATTCACTATACAGTAGAAACCTAAGCCCAGGTGGGACTTTCTCACTCACCCCTTGGTAACCAGACCCAGCCCAGGGCCTGGCGTGGCATGTTTTGTTATGTGAATGATTGACATTCATCTGGGCTGGGCTGCAGCCTTGACCTCCTAATTAGTCTTTGCCTGCAGCCCAGTCATTGTCAGCCATCCACAAAGTCCCCTATAACCTAGCCATCTCTATGAACATTCCCTTCTCTTTTTTTTTTTTTTAAACAACAAATTGGATCCACTGAAACTTTTATTTAACTTTGTAATATGAACATTTACCATATAAGGTTATAAGACAATATAAAATCTATCTCATTTCATTTATAGCATAGCTATAAATCAATCTAATCTCTCTTATTAATGTTTTATATATATATATATATTTTTTTTTTTCCTGCATACTTAGGCAATATTTTCCCCAAGGGATATATCATTCTCAGTAAACTACCGCAAGAACAAAAAACCAAACATCGCATATTCTCACTCATAGGTGGGAATTGAACAATGAGATCACATGGACACAGGAAGGGGAACATCCCTTCTCTTTCTTACCCTAAGTGAAACCTGACCATAACCTCTGAGGACATATTTCCACTGCAGACTGCAAGTGGTGGCTGATGTTTCTCTCACAGCCTTCATTACTCCGGTACTACAGGTAGAGATGGGTCTCTCCTTTGCAGCTTCCAATGCGTCCTCTTCCCTAAAATCCCCCCTTTGAATGCATGTCATCACATTGTGCCACTTCTATGCCTCTTCTTTGCGGTTAAACACACACCTAGTCTTTTGAAGATAATTCCTGGCTCATTGGCACTCTCTCTAACATTTGTCCTTTCTTAAGTCTTGGTGATTGCCATATTCACATAGATGGTTATTCTAGTAACTTGGCCTCTCAGTTTTACTTCCTTTCTTCCCATTATCCTGTTTTCTATCATGCCTTAAACATTTATTTTCATAGACATACCCTAGTAGACCTTGCAATTAATAAGAACAAATTACCTGCAATAATTTCAGTTTTAAGTATCCCACCCTGACCATTGCTTCCTGTTACTCTCATTTATTTCCTTCTAGTTCTCTTGTCACGGCATTTCTTCTGCCCCAGTGGCATCTGTAACCCACTTCACTTCCTCCTTACCTGGCTTAGATTCCATGACACTTCTGTAGTCCAGTTACTCTCTCCCTGTCCTGGAGGATCTTTCATATCTTCCCTGTCCTCAAACCTGCTAGGCCTCCTCCCCCATCTTTACTCTCGGTTTTTTGTTGTTGGGAAGATAGAAGCCATCATAAGTCTACCATCACTACTCACCTACTTCCAAGTACCTATCTAAGGCCTTCCCTCCCTTGGGTCTATGGGATTCTATCTCTTCTCTCTTACTTGATGTTTTCCTCTCTGCTGGATCATTCCTTCTGACATACAAATATACTGTAATTTCTCCCAACTGAAAAAAAAAAAGGTTTTCTTTCCCCTTCTGCTTCTCACACAGTCTCCTCATTTCTCTGCTCTCCTTTTCTTCTTGTGCTATCACCTGGATCTGCTCTTGTCTCCTTTACTTGACCTGTCAGCAGCATTTGACATAGCTAATTACCCTTACTTTGTAATACTTTTTTTTTTTAACTAGGCTTCTCAGATACCACACACTTCTAATTTTCTTCTTACCTTAATGTTTGTTCCTCAGTCTCCTTTGTGATTCTTCATCTCCCATTTTTTTACATTTGAAATGCCACCAGGGCTTGTTCTGGAACCTCTTCTCTATGATGAAGATCTCTAAATTTGTATTTTCATCCTTGACCTCTTCTCTGAACTCTAAATATATTCTGGCATTCTTTTTGATGTTGGATCCTAATAGGCATCTCAAAGTCAACAGGTCCAAAACCTAACTCATCTCTCACTCATCCAAACCTGCCCTTCCCTCAGTTTTTCCCACTTCAATAAATGGCAGTGCTGTCCTTACAGAGCTCTGGAGTCATTTTGACTCCTCTTTCTCAGTCCTTCTTTAGTCTGTCAGCAAATCCTGTTAGCTCCACCATCTAAATGTATTGTCCAACCATTTACCATCTCCACAGCTACCATCCTCTCTCACATATGTTACTGTAATGATGTTCTTTTTTTGTTTTGTTTTTTTGAGACAGAGTCTCACACTTTCATCTAGGCTGGAGTGCAGTGGCGCGATCTCGGCTCGCTGCAAGCTCCGCCTCCTGGGTTCACACCATTCTCCTGCCTCAGCCTCCCAAATAGCTGGGACTACAGGCACCAGCCACCACGTCTGGCTAATTTTTTGTATTTTTAGTAGAGACGGGGTTTCACCATGTTAGCCAGGATGGTCTGGATCTCCTGACCTCGTGATCTGCCCGCCTTGGCCTCCCAAAGTGCTGGGATTATAGGTATGAGCCACGGCACCCGGCCCACTGTAATGATGTTGTAATGGACTTCTGCAGCCCTCTCTCCACCCATAGTCTATTCCCAGGACAGCAAGCAAAGTGATCCTTTTGAAACATAAGTCAGATCAACTCAGTCTTTTGCTCAAAACTCTCTCAGAGAAATTGCCAAAATCCTAAGGATGGCTTAGAAGTCCATACATGTCTATTCTCTGCACTCCACACACCGATGCAAACATACCCTCATCTCCTTGGCTCTCATCCTCTCCCACTTCATTCTGTTCACATTAGGCCCCTTTCTGTTCTTAAGACATTTCAGGGATGTTCTTGCCTCAGGGCCTTTGCACTTGCTGTTCCTTTTTCCTGGAACATTCTTTTTCCAGATAGCTTATTCTCTTACCTTTCTTGTCTCTGCTCAGACATCTGCTTAGTGAAGGCTTTTCTGCCCATCTATTTAAGAGAACATCTTCTTTTTTTATACTGTCTGTTCCCTCACACACACTAAAATGAAAGTCCCAAAAGGCAGACATTTATATTATGTTCACTGCCGTATATCCTTACCATCTAAAACTGCCTGTCACATATAGGTAGGCTCAGTAAATATCTGAATTAATGAACATTTCTAAAATGTATCAGGTCACAACTCATCAGATCATGGACTGCCACCAAAGCCATGTAACTGCCAATAAAACTGGGCACAGAAGTCTAAAAATTACTGTGATATCAATTAGCAGTTGGTCAGAACTTGAGAAAATATTTTGAGGTGTTGAAAATAGTTAAAGGAACTTCACTACTAGCTCTCCAAGTTGGGAGTTACTGCCTAGACCAACAATTATTGAGGAGCTGTGACCTTTTGAGCACTAGTTAATGATAGACACTGTTTTAGTCATGACAGTAATCCTGAAAGCAGGTGGAAGTTCTCCCATTTTAAACATGCAGAAATAGAGCCTCAAGAAACTGCTTCATTTAAAGATAATACTAGCTTGACAATCCACTGAATATGTCCTAATAAATGGAAACAGGGTGGGGGATGTCAGCCTACCAGTAATTGGTGTCATTAAACCCTCTTGAATGAATGGACATAGTAATGGCCTTCAGGGTACCTTGAAGTATAGCTAAAGGAATCTCTGGAGTTCATTTAGTAAAGCAGTTGGCATCCCTGGCCTGGGATCAGAGTAAAACCTGGAGCTAGATTGATTACAGAGTGCAAGGACTAGGCACCCCGGGATTGGAGAGCATCCTTGAAAGCAAGGGTTCTTCATTTATTTATAAAAATTTGATTGCCTACTAGAAGCCCAGCTAAGAGTATGAAGCAATTAAGACAACAATCTTTGCTCAAGAATCTCCTAGACAATCCTGATTCAAGCACCAGAAACAAAGGGAAAAGAAACCTCCCAGTCTAGTGAAGAAAGTAGTACACATCATGTCAACAGATAGGTAATTTTGTTGATACCATAAGAGCCTATTATTAGGCCTGGCATATGACAGGAGGTCAGTATTTGAGTTGAGTATTGATTGATGGTACTGTGGAAGACAGAGGAAACACATCTGACCCAGATTGGTAGGCTTTCCCAGAAAAGTTTATGCCCAAGTATAGTGTTAACAAATAAGAACTTCTCAGGTGAGATAGGGGAGAAGAGTCTGCGAGGAAAACCTGTCTAGCATGGCAAATACGAAGTCCAGAGATGAGAGAAGATGGTCCACGTGGTTTAAAAGTCTACAACAAGGTAAAGGAGGTACACAGTAATTAAAGTAGGAAAGATATGTCAACACCTAAGAATCAGAACTAGTATCTTGAAAAGTTAGGAGCCCTGGGGTTTTGTTTTTGCTTTTGCTTTTAAAGGATGTGTTTGTTCCCTGTATCACCGTGCCCAGCTTACTCCTTTTCTTCGGAAACACTTGGTGCCGTATTGTTACTGGTTGAATCTCTGTGTTTGGTTTTTAATTTGTTATCTTTGCCCCCATGCTTAGGTTTGATGACAAATACACCTTGAAGCTGACCTTCATCAGTGGGAGAACAAAGCAGCAGCGGGAAGCCGAGTTCACAAAGTCCATTGCTAAGTTTTTTGACCACAGTGGGACACTGGTCATGGATGCATATGAGCCTGAAATATCCAGGCTCCATGACAGTCTTGCCATAGAAAGAAAAATAAAGTAGCCAATTCTAAAAGTAGCCCTCTTTCTCCTGGATCTTGCTGAATTAGTGGCTTGGGGGGTGGGGGAGATAAAAAGAACTTAAAATGGGTAAAGTAAGAAATGTTAAAAAGTCCCTGTTTTGTCCTGAAATTTTAGTCTATTCTGGGTAAATAGGATTTTCTGACACAGATATGAGAAGTTGTAGCTCTGATGTCTAGCTGTAGTCTCCTTGATCTGCTGATTGCATTATTTTAATTTGCTTTTCTGGGAAAGCAGTTTTGCTAAAAGCTGTACAGACTTTTTCTTTTGTACCTAGCAGTACTTTATATAGTATAGCTTTGGGCCATGTAGCATTTTAAGACTCAATTTTAAAAAATTATTAATCTGTTGCTGACTCTTAATTCCTATTTCAATATGTGTTTCCTTGAAGAATTCAGGATACAACTTCTTGTGTATGACAGCTTTCCTTCACACACTATTTTTGTGGGTGTGTATATATCTGATTTGGGAAGAATTTAAAAAACACATAGCTTTTTAATTTGTTTGAAACAGACTTTCTGCCTGTTACATTTTTGCTTTTAACCAATTAAAGAAGCCAATGGCATTTTAGTTTTATATTGTGTTTTCCACTAGTATATCCCTGTTGATTTGTTTGTGCCTTTTATTAACTGCCATTTTCTAAAATTTTTTTCAATAAAAGGAAGGAAGATGTGAAAAAAATGGAGTCATAGTTTTGATGGAGAGAACAGAGAAACAAGTGTTAACATCTTTCTACTATAGGTTTTTTTCATTTTTAGGCTATTTTACTTGTCAAAGGCCCCTGAGAACCTGTAGCTAAGGAACTCTTAGCTTTCCAGTGATAATAACAATAATAACAACATTCTGTACTTACTTTGTGCCAGAAATGCTCCAAGTACTTTACATGTGTTAATAATGCTCACAGCAATCCTAAGAGGCAGGTGCTGTTATTATCCCCATTTTACACATGAGGAAACTGAGATACAAAAGTTAAATAATTGTCACACAGCTAGTGATAGAACTGGGATTCAAACCTGGGGAGTCCGGCTTCAGAGTTTGTGGTCCTGCAGAGACAAAACAGCCGCTTTTCCAGTATTTTCCCAGTATGGTCAGAGAAGACCTGGGTGCTTGCCAAGATCCTTTGACCTTTAGGAATATTTCCCTACAGCCTTACAAAACATCAATTTTGGCTGAGCCTAGTACCCAACACTATATTCAGTTTGTAAGAAATTACCATTATCACATTTCCTGTTTGTCTTGGAGAGGTTGTCCTATCTCGCACCACATGGTAGGGAATTGTGAACAACACTGGACAGAAAGTTAAAGCCTTGGATTCTGTACTCTTCATTCCTGTAAACCTTGGGTAAGTTTCGGAATTCTCTGTGAGCTTCTTAAAGTTTTTGAAAGCATGTAACCGGATAAGTGTATTTTTACAATGGAGGAGTTACAGTCATCTTGGTATTTGTGGGAGATTGGTTCCAGGATCCCCAAGCATACCAAAATCCAAGGATGCTCAAGTCCCTTATATAAAATGGTATAGCATTTGCATATAACCTACACACATCCTCCCATATACTTTTAATCACCTCTGGATTACCTATAATACCTAATATAATGTAAATGCTATGTAAATAGTTATACTGCATTGGTTTTTTAATTTATATTTTTTGTTATTTTTTAAAATATATTTTTAATCCATGGTTGGTTAAATCTGTAGATATAGAGGGCCAACTGTACTGTTAGACACAAGGGTCTCGAGGCTTGCAGATAGAGACTGAATAACCCTCTCCATGATGATCCCTTAGAGTTCCCCCACTGTGCCTTTTTCTTTACATGTGCATGCAAACATGTGTCTCCACATACATTTTTTTTAACAAAAATTGAATTATGTTGATATATGTCCTGTAATTTGTGTTTTAAACTTAATATATCTTAGGCATTTTCCCTGTGTGTGTGTATAATGCAGCTATTAAAAATGAGTCTGAGGCCAGGCATGGTGGCTCACGCCTTTAATCCTAGCACTTTGGGAGACCAAGACAGGTAAATCACCTGAGGTCAGGAGTTCGAGACCACCTTGGCCAACATGGTGAAACCACATCTCTACTAAAAATACAAAAAATTGGCTGGGCATGGTGGCAGATGCCTGTAATCCCAGCTACTTGGGAGGCTGAGGCAGGAGAATGGCTTGAACTGGGAGGCGGAGGTTGCAGTGAGCCGAGATCACACCCTGCACTCCAGCCTGGGCAACAAGAGCAAAACTCCGTCTCAAAAAAGAAAAAAAAAAGAGTCTGACATACATATATATAAAAGAAACTGTTCTAAAATACCAGAAGTGCAAAGGCAGGGGACCAATTGCAACAAGTAGCTGGGGTGATAACCCCTATATATATATACACATAGGTCAGTCTCATTTTTAATAGCTACATAATATTCCATAGTATAAGTGATTTTACTTTAATACCCTATTGATGATAATTTTTCCCCAGTTTTTTTCACTATTCCAGGAAGGAGTATGGATTGAGGAGAGGGGAAGAAAATAGGTCCTCAAATGAGAGACAAGAAACCTGGGTTGTTAGCAACTTTTTTCTAATTTGTGACCTTGAATACATCCTATTCCTTTTCTAGGGTGAAGTCTCTTGTTAAAAAAAAAAAGTTTTAGAGAATGTATTTTGAGATTATGAAGACTCCTTATTCCCTGGGAAATAAAAAACATCCCTTATGATTACAAAGAATGTTGGGTGCCATATCCCCAATATCTGCCTATAAGGCTCACTGGAGACTTCTTGGACTACATGGATCTATTTTAAGGTTTTTCCCTGACTCCAGAAACCAGTTGAAGCAGTTTAGATTTGTTGAAGAAGTGGGTTATCAGCCCAGCTACATGTTGCAGTTGGTCCCCTGTCTTTGCACTTGTGGCATTTTAGGAGTGTCTCATCACATGAACAAAAAGTACCCTCTGCAGGCTCAAGCCTCAGCATGGGCACACTTTGTAGAGCTGCAGAGTGCCTCTGGCCAGCTTCTGACACATGCATCTACTGAGTGGCCATTTCAGCCCAGTCCAGAAGGCTGCTGGGCTGCTCTGTACCCTCTAGTAGGTCTGCAACACCCTTGCCACCAGGAAACCCTGACACCCATCACATCATCATGAGTGAAGTTCTCAGTTCCTCACACTTACCTCAGACGGACTTTTTTCTAGAAAATAGAGGGCCACTGAGGACAGTGGAAAAAGATCCTAATGTTTTTTCATTATTTGCAAATTTCAACTGCTAATATGTATTTAATGTTTGTCATGCTTTTATATACGTGTAGAAACAATCTTTGCTTCAGAACAATTTCGGGGAATGGAAGAAGATGCAAAGTCCCTTTGCATACACACAAGTTGTGTTTTTCTCTGGACCCAAGTTCCTCCTCAGCTTGGAGCCCGATCTCTCACTAACTCTACCTTATCCACTCCTGGCTAGCCCCACCCACACCCCAAACCTTTTCTCCATGGTGGAAGTCATCAGAGAAAACTGTTAATAGCACGTTAATTTAGACTTTTAGAATATATCCTGTCCCCACTGACAGCCTTTTTTGTTATTAAATAGAGTATTCCTAACAACCCAACCCACCCTATGGTCCCCTTCTCAGAATAATGTTTTAAATACATACACATATCATTGTCTGTTAATAAGGAACTGGGGAGGTGGTTCCAGAGTTACTGGAACAGATTCAAAGACAGTTGCTGAAACTATGTCCTGGTTGTTGCTTACTCTCCTCTAGAAAGAAGTACTTCCTCACTAATCTGGCTTTCAGCCTCAGATCTGCCCCATTTTAACTGCTGCTACTAACATTCTTCCTCTATAGGCAGCAGGTTCTTCCTCCTTTCAGACAACAGTCACAGAGACACGTACTTACATGAGCTTGAAAGAAGGGAAATTCCTTATTCCTGTGGGCAGAAACCAGGTGAATTGTTAGAACTTTGGTTTATCGACTTGGGCATAGAGGGATTCAGGGTACATAATGCTTGTTAAGGAAGAATGGCAACTGTTGGGCTGTCTTACAGCCAACCCCCTCCTACAGTCTGTCATGCCAGGCTTAGACCCATGCAGACACAACAGGAAAAGTCTCAGATTTTTCTTGGCTGCCATAAAAGATCATTAGCCCTTTCAGAGGGATTTCTCTGTGACAAACTGTTCTGGGAAGCAATTGATGAGGATTGAGTAGTTGTCAGGCTCTTAGTGCCACAGAGTTGGTTAATACTGTCAAAGGTGACCCACTGGAGAAAGAGAAACTTGGGAGAGGCAATCTGCCATGAGCCCTGAATGTTCCTGCATGTATATTCTTGCCTCATGTGAATGTAAGACTGACCATTCTTCTTGGGCTGTACCTCAGTGTTCTGTTAGCAGTAAGCTACCTTGAAATGAGCAAATTTGCCTGTTGCTCACTGTAAAAGTTTTGAGCACCCCTCCCCTCACAAGCTGGGGGTCTGCATATGTAGTCATCCATCTAGGCCTACCCTGTGGCACTTGGGGGTGTAGGCCATGGGCAGCTGGTGCAAACATCATGCTCATGTTGCTGGCTATACCATAAGTAATAAAGTTATTTGTCTCTGACCCAGGAATCTCATGTCTTCTGGCAACATCCATGAAAGCATCGCAGGCTAACTTGTTAGCTTACAAGTAGGATAAAATTCACAGATGTGAAAATTTTAGTAATGAAAATTGGATCCTGACCAACATGGTTTTCTAGAAGAGAAAGGACAAAGGCCTTTCATGGGCTGGATTAGGGGATAAAAGAAATTTGCTGGGATCTGGTAGCAAGTCAGATATTCCCAAGTGAGGGAGGAGGAAAGAGTCCTGAGAAAAGTCCTACCTGAAGAAAGAGTCCTACCTGAGAATATTTTGAGGCTAAGGAGCAAGAGGTAGGATTGAAACATGCTGCCCAGATTGTACTTAGGTTGTTGCTCAGTCTCTAGGCAGGAGGCAGAAAAGATGTTTTGACAATGAGGCAGCAAGCTCATGGCTCCAGCTGAAAGGCAGTATGGCCATGGCTGATGAATGATTTCCCAAAGATGAAATAAATGATGGCAGTGATAAGGATATAGAACTTTGAACTAAAAACATTAGCTGTTTGTTGAGTCCAAGTAGGTAGCCACTTGAATTGAAAGTAAATACATGGCCTTGCTGACTGACACAAAGCCGTTCTCCTTATGGCCTACACCCCCAAAAGTGCCACAAGGTAGTCCTAGATGAATGCCTACACATGCAGACCCCAAGTTTGGTAGTGGGGGTGGAGTGCTTAAAACTTACAGTGAGCAATAGGTAAACCTGCTCATTTCAAGGTAGCTTACTGCCAACAGAACACTGAGGTACAGCCCAAGAAGAATGGTCACGGCCTTAAATTCATATGAAGGAAGAAAATACATGCAGGAACACTCAGCGTTCCTGGCAGATTGCCTCTCCCAACAGTGTCTCCAGTGGGTCACCTTCGACAGTTTTATCAACCTACTCTAGAACTTCTGATCCCTCTCTCTCTACAGCTTTAAGGAAAAAAAGCTCCCCATCTTTGGGGAAGGGAGGAATGCCCCTTTTACAGCTCCGTTCAATATAGGCATCCAAATCACTATCCTCCTTGGCCCCATGGGGACAGGGAAATCTGCACATAGAGGTGGTCAAAAATGCCAAATACCATGGGGCAGATCTACAATAGCATGCAGGAGAGCAGCGAAAAAAAAGGAGCCCTGAGCCCTGGGGGTGCTTGTCAGAGCCAACAGGTATTTGAAGGAAGAGGCAACACTGTTCTGGGGCAAGGAGTCAAAGTGGGATTACTTCCTAGTAACAACTGTCTCCTGCAGGCTAGCCTCTTCCACCTCCTCCTTCCACCACCTCTCACACTTCTGGCTGTGGAAATAACATCATTTCTTGGCTGTGATCTCCAACATACCTATCTTAAACTGCTTGGTTTGGGTGCCCATAGGGGAGAAAAAGTACCTGAATTCAACTGGTAGGGTCTGTTAGCTTACAAGTAGGATAAAATTCACAGATGTGAAAGTTGTGGTAATGAAAATTGGATCCTGACCAACATGGTTTTCTAGAAGAGAAAGGACAAAGGCCTTTCACGGGCTGGTTTAGGGGATAATTGCATGGGAAAGGAAAATTAAAATGACCTGTGGATGGAGCCTCTAAACATTTAATGTACTGCTGTTTTATGGCTTTAGCATCAAAGTGTGTTGTTAATACCAATATACATTTAATTGAACTAGGAAAGTTTATAAGTCTCCCATTCAGGGACTACTGCAGTATAGAGAGATGTAGTCTAAAAGAAACAACATACAACCGCAAGAGGAAAAGAAATAAAAGCACAGGTTTAGTTGAAAACTTAGTTACTCCTGTAGTACTCAGGCCATTTTCCATTATAACCAGCTATGTGGACTTTGCAGTCACCAAGGTGAAATATCCTGAGTACTCCAAGAGTGACCTTTAAAAAGATAGGCACCTCTTAGGCTGCTACTGAGCTCTTGAGGAAACAACAGCGGCCAGAGGAGCTTCCTGAAAGCGTAACTGATTCATTTATGCATACTGCAGGCAGTTATCACTATCCTGAGAGTCATCCTATTGGAAATGTTGATAAGGAATTTGTTCTTGACTTTAGCTGCAGTCATCAGTGACACCACCTCAGCTCTGGATGGCACTTAAGTCAGCCTCAATTCATTGGCCAGGGTGGTTATGGGTGATAGAATTGCTCTTCCTCTTTGTGGGCCAAATTGGAGTCAGTGCAATCACTAATACATCCCACTGTGACTGGATTAATGTCTCAGACCGAGTACAGGGTCAATACAGAAACTTGAGAATGCCACTTGGCTTTCTAAGGTAGATCCTGATGGTTTATGATTGTTGGTTTTTTTTTCCTACCTTGTTGGATACAGGCCCTTGGATATGGCTGAAGTCAGTACTGATTGGTCTTATCCTGTTACATAGAGTTCTGTTGATAGTACCTTTAATTAAATGTAATAAAATACTTTGAATGGACCTGGTTCCAGTTTCTGTCAGTTTAATTAGAGTGACAGGTGGAGTGGCATACTTATGGGAGAATTCATCAAAAGCCAAGATGGCATAGAAATGAAAGGTGCATATCGTTGGGAGACAATTCTTCATGGGTCTCTAGCATTTCTGCATATTTTGCAAAGAGAGGCACTGACTATCTTTGTTCCAGACTATTTGTCCAGGAATGTTTGTATAGTAAACAACCTTAGAAGGTATCAGAGCAAAGGGCGCACATGCTCACTGCCCATTATTGAAGATTCAGGTTCCCTAACCTCAAAGTTCCTCTCCTTTAAGGCACTTCATTACATGTGCAGGTATCATCTGGCTCTCTGCGTCATCATATGGGAATTGGGGCTCAGAACTGGAACAAATGCTGGTACTCTGGCTACTGCTATTGCTGTAAGTAACAAACTATCCTTTTTACAGGTAGTAACAGGCTATCTTGTTAGCTTGCAGGTAAGATAAAAATCTCAGACCCTTCACAATTCTTGACAGCCCCACTCCTACTTCTGCCTGTCCCATATCTTGGAAGCTCCCTAACTTCTGTAACAGGAAGTTCCCCCGATATTCCTGTGCCATCTTACTTGATCGCATTACTTAATACCCTTCTGCATCCCTCTTCCTTCAAACTTTTATATAATTCTGCTCTGCTAATACGGGTGCCAGGCCTGATCCCCTCGCTTTAGTTGCTCACAGTCTGCTGAGAGTGTCAGACACTTAGACAATCTGAACACAGTAGAAGGAGGTGCAAAGTGCTATGGGGGCTTGAAAAGGAGTATTTGTTCTAGTATGGAGGTCTGGGAGGTCCTCATACAGGAAGTGAAAACTGAACCATGAGTGAGGAGTTGGGCCATTTTACAGATGAGGAACCTGAGGCACAGAAGTTAAATAAGTTGCCGAGATCACTCAGCTAGGAAGTGGGAAGAGAGGATTGGAGCCAGGATTCTCTACCTCTAAATATAGAAATTGCTCTTTAACTTCACTTTCTCAGGCATAAGATGAGACCATCTGAGTTTACCTCAAAGAATTGAGAAAGATTTGGTATTAGCTTTGGGTCTATAAAATTTGAGATCCACAGAGTTGGTGATTGTGAACTTGGAGAAGTCTGATAAAGAACCCCAGGACATGACCCGGTTTTTATAAAGGAAATATTTCAGACAAATAAGGCTTAAAGAATAATAAGATGAATATTTGTGAACCTACTGCCATTAAAAATATATATATTACCAATACAGTTGAAGTCCTCAGGGTATCCTTAATCATATCTTACTTCCTGCACTTTCAGAAGTTACTACTACCTGGAATGTGGTGTTTATTATTCGTAAGCATTTTCTTCATACATATGTGTCCATTATATATATGGATATATACAGATATATAGAGACATATATGGTTATTTTTTAATTTTATTTTTACCTCCTTGGGAGCTCTTATACAATATATATGGTTATTGTTTTACCTGTTTTTAAACTTTATATGTGGTTTTTGATTGAGAGTCTCCCAAACAACCCCTGTGTTCAGGTATTTGCTAGAAGGACCCACGCGACTCAGCATATATGACTAAGATTTATTCTTCGATAAAATAAGGACACATCTGGATCATAAGGGAAAAGGACACTGGCAGAGTCTGGAGGAATCCATTTGCAGGCTTCCTTATGCTCTTCCTCCCATGAGGGATTGCAAAGAGCCCACTTTGCCCCAACAACAAAAATGCAGCAACACGTGTGTAATGTTTCTGTCCAGGGAGCCCATTAGAGAGTACCCACAGTTTATTGAGGTTTGGTCATGTGGGCACCATCTGCCTAGCACATAATAAAGACTCCTAGAAAGCAAGCAGGTATCCACCATAAATCATACTGCAATCAAACAGTCTACATAGTCAACTACCCTTTTCAGTTAACTGGTGACTGGGAACACTTTGAGAGCCAAGTTTCCAGACACCTGTCAAAAAACACCAACCTTGCAAGCAGGCCTTCCTAAGGATAACCTGTTAGGCCTGCTATGGTAAATCTGCACAAGTACCATTCTCTCTGTATTGTGCAACTTGCTTTTTTGTTCAATATTTTGTTTGTGAAGATAATTTAGATTGATACCTGTAGCTACAATTTATTCTATTTCACTGCTGTATACTGTTAAACATGACAGTTTATTTACCCTATTAATGGACATTTAGGTCTTTTATAATTTTTCACTATTAAACATTTGCTGCTATGAGCATTCTTGTATGGACACATCTAATACAGGTAGTGGGATTCCTTGGTGGGAGAGGATATACATTTTTACTTTTCTAGGTATTGCTAAATTTTCCTCTAAAGCGACTGTACCAATTTACATTCCTTCTATTAATGAAGGAAATACAAGATTGGAATAATTGGGATAGTTGTGTTATCTTTGTGAATAGATTTTAAAATACTGATTTAGATTTTTAAATAGTTGTAAGACTTCACATTTTCCATATCTTAGTTTGGTAACTTTTTCTAAAACTGTATTAACTTTATCTAGATTTTCAAACTTAAGGAATAAAGTTTGTTTAATATTTATTTCTCATCTCTGTTGTATCCCTGCATATAGTCTCCTTTTCATTAATATCATTTATAACTTTTAAAAATGAGTCTTGCCAGAGGGTTTGTCCGGTTTATTAGATATGTCAAGACTAATATTTGCTTTTGTCAGTCCCCTCTATTGTACTTTGCTTCTTGTTTCATTTATTCTGTTCTTATTTTCATCATTTCCTTTTCTACCTTTTTGGGATTTATTCTGTTCTTCCTTTTCTACATTCTTAAGTTAGATCCTTAACTCATTACTGTTTTGTTGTTCTTATCTCCTGGTATAGGGTCTTTATTTGAGTTCTCCCAGAGGCAAGTTCTGAGACCAGGACCTGAGGGCAATAGTATATGTGAGAGATGCAGGGAGTGCCATAATGAGGTGGGAAAGTAGGAAGGGAAGAAAAGGTGAGCAATAAGGGTGTAGCTTTTAGTAGCTATTGATAATTGCTGTCTAGATTCATTAAATTCATTTTGTCATTAAAGGACAAAATGATGAAATTCTATCATTCATTTGGCATTGGTCAGTTAATTATTTTATGAAGGAGAACTTTTCCCCATCAACTATTTAGTTACCCAGAAATAGGGTTTGTACAGGAAAGGCAGAATAAAAAGCTGCTTTCCTTAGCAAACTCTGAGGTGACCAAAGTGACATTTTTCTCCATATGTCGATATGAACTTTCTTTGCAGTCCTTGTTCTTTTTGATGTTCTAATTTTTCCATATTTGGCCAGTGGAATCACCTTCAAATTGATTCTTACCTTCTTTTGACATGACCTGAAATAGTCTTTTATGGCTTTCTTGCTTTCTGTTAAGATGTTCTAGGCTAATCTTATAAATTTTCTTCCCTGCACCTAAAATCAGCCATTTTTTTCATGGAACCCTGGTTCCTTTGGGGACAAAATAGTATTTTAAGACCCATTATTGCCAGGCGCGGTGGCTCACGCCTGTAATCCCAGCACTTTGGTAGGCCGAGGCGGGCGGATCACGAGGTCAGGAGATCGAGATCATCCTGGCTAACATGGTGAAACCCCGTCTCTATAAAAAATACAAAAAATTAGCCGGGCGTGGTGGTGGGCGCCTGTAGTCCCAGCTACTCGGGAGGCTGAGGCAGGAGAATGGCGTGAACCCGGGAGGCGGAGCTTGCAGTGAGCCAAGATGACGCCACTGCACTCCAGCCTGGGCGGCAGAGACACACTCCATCTCAAAAAATAAAAATAAAAATAAAAAAGACCCATTATTTGGGCTTATTACGATGAGTTGGTCTCTGGTTCTAGGCCTTTTTTTTTTTCTTTTTTTTTTTTTTTTTTTTAGAAAAATACAGCAGGTTGTATTGAGGTTGGCACCTATGTTCTTTCAAAGAACCCTCATCATTTTGTGAGTTCTTTCCTTGTGGCACCACGATGTTCCAGGCTCATCTTGTATGTTCCCTGCCTCAGCACAGGATTTTTTTTAATGAGAAAAATATCACGAATTCAAATTTACAGAAGCTTTACATTTTTATGTCCTCTAAGTTAGCAGTCTGTCTTTCCTTTTATTGGCGTTTGTAAAATTTCTTCTTTTTAAAATTGTTATATTTTAGAGACAGGGTCTCGCTCTGTCACCCAGGCTGGAGTGCAGTGGTGCAATCACAGCTCACCACAGCCTCCAACTCCTGGGCTCAAGGCATCCTCCCACGTAGGCCTTCCAAAGCGCTGAGATTGTAGGCATAAGCCACCAGGCCCAGCCTATTACCTTTACGTTGTACTTAGTCCCAGATAAAAAATGACCTTAGATCAGTCCTTTCCTCTTTGGCTGGGGAGAGGGGGGCTTAAATTCCGGTACTGTGAAACAGAAGAATGGACTCAGTGCTATGTGACAAATCTATGTATGTAAATGTGTGTATATACACACACATAAATTATATATATGAATATATTTTCATTTTCATATTTTGCAAGGAGAGTAGCCAATGCTCTGGACCTCTGGTCCTTTTTGTAGGGTACCCTCTGAGGCCGGGAACCTTTGCTCAACTCTCAGGCTGTCCAGGGAAGCTTTAGGCGGTGATACCGAGCTACAGACCAATATAAGAGCTCGGGGCTGTGGCACTGAAGAGAGGAGGCGGCCGTTGGGAACTGAGGTGGGCCCAGGGCTTGAGCTGAGTTGGCGAGGGTGGAGGTGGTGCCGGTCCCACGCCGTGGTGGGGACCGAGCTGCGGGCTGGAGGGAGGGGCAGCGCCGAGGGGGCGGGACGGGGAGGGCTCGCGGAGTAGGCCAACGGTTGGCCCCAACCGCCACTGACTACAGCCTGCGCCCGCCTCTTTTCGTTGCCGTTACCTGTTTCCGGCAGTCGACACGCTCTTCGCTTCTCGGGGCTTGTCTCCGTGTCCTCCGTCTCAGTTGTTTCTCCCTCTCTATCCTCCTCTGTCTCAGTCTCCCCAGCCTTGGGGCCGGTGCCTCTTCCGGGCTTCGGCGAATGAGACCTGCGGACCTGCCCCCGCGCCCCATGGAAGAATCCCCGGCGTCCAGCTCTGCCCCGACAGAGACGGAGGAGCCGGGGTCCAGTGCAGGTGAGCGGGGTTGGGAGACAGGAGAGCTCCCCGAGGAGGACTCAACTGTGGGGACAGGTTGAGCAAGACCATCTGCGTTTGGGAAATCCAGCCTTGGATTATTGAGACAGAGCCACCTAGTCGGCTAGGATCTGACCTGGCCAGAGAATTCTTGGCTAGTCCTATTTTTATTCGTTCTCACAGAAGCCGAACTTAAACCTCAGAATTATCACTCCAGAGATGAAAGGGAACTGAGACTGGAAAAGCCCTGCTTACCAAAGGTCTCTGGGCGGCAGAAAGAGCCCTGAGCTTCAGTTTCAACTTAGGAGACCTGGGTCTTGGTCCAGATTTTACTGTGGAGTGGCGTTCAGTAAGCTTTGTCCCCATCCCGGGCCCGAGTTTTCCCATCTATACCATGAGAGGGTTTAGACTACAGATCTTCAAAGGTCTGGCACGTGGTAGGTGCTCCTTAAATATTACTTGTTAGGAGTGAATAAATGAGATAGGAAGGCCTCCTGGGATTCACTGGAGGCTCATTGGGTTAGTTGGAGGCTGTGGAATTACATTATTATAGTCTGAGAAGTAGGCGGTATTATCTCCATTTTATAAGTGAGGAAACTGAAGCTCAGAAGTAAAGTGACTTGCTAGTAAGTGTCAAAGATAAGTCAGACTTCAGAGTCCATGCTAGGCTATACTCTCTCCCAGTAAGAAAGCGGGAAGGACTTGATGGGAAAGTGATTATATCGAGCAGCAAGTAATCATTTGAATTCTCTGCTTAAATGAACCCCAGAGCAGGCCCATATCTGATTATTTTCTATCCCGTTTCCAGCACCTGATTTGTGTGAAACGTTTTGGGTGGCAATGCCAGAATCACCATCTATATTACTTCTGTCATCAACACGATCAGCATAATTACAAAAATTAATGGCTCTAATTGTTATAGTGATAATAAAGCATAAATGAAATTGTGAGGACATCAAAATTTATAATTAAAGACACCTATTAAAACAGCAGTTTAAAATTTATAAAACACTTTTGAGTGGTTCTTCATATTGATCTGCTTAGGTAGGTATTATTATCCATAGTTTACAAGCAAGGAATCCAAGACCTAGAGGTTGAGTAACCATCAAAACGTCATGCAGCAAGAAATGGAGCTGAGACTTGAATCCAGCCCATGTGACAAGTTGTGCTTCTCCTTTGGTGATTATTTCCCTATTTCCTCTCCATTTCCTTTTTTTTTTGAGATGGAGTCTTGCTGTGTCACCCAAGCTGGAGTGCAGTGGTGCAGTCTCGGCTCACTGCAACCTCCGTCTCCTGGTTTCAAGTGATTCTCCTGCCTCAGCCTCCCGAATAGCTGGGATTACAGGTGGATGCCACCATGCCTGGCCAATTTTTTTTGTATTTTTAGTAGAGATGGGGTGTCACCATGTTGGCCAGGGTGGTCTCGAACTCCTGACCTCAAGTGATCTGCCCACCTCAGCCTCCCAGAGTGGTGGGAATATAGGCATGAGCCACCGCACCCAGCCTCTTCCTTTCCTGTTCTGAGCCCTAACCCGCTCCATGCCTATCCTGTGCTCCATTCTTCTTATCACCTGGAGAATTCCTGTTTAGATTTAACTAATAGTCACATGTTGACTGATGATAGTAGTGTTGGTTTAACTTGTAATTAAGGTGTTAAGAGTTTAAAGTATGTTCTCTTTCAGCAATAAAGGGGGATTTAAATGTTTTTAAGAAAGGGAGTTGTAATTGTTATTATTGTCATTGTTATCCACAGGATTCAAGGAATAAAACTAGAATATACAGTAATTGGTAGTTTAAAAATAATAACTGTCATATATTGCACTCATACTATGTCATAGGCCTTGTAATAGCCACTGTAGTTAAGCATTTTATTTCTATCACCTACTCTGCTGAATTGTATAGGGGAGGATCCTGAAGCATAGAGAAGTTGAATAACATGCCCAAGGTCACATAGTCCTGGCCTGGTCCAAATCCTATGTTCTTAACCATTACACCAGCCTGGCTCAGAGACAGATTGTTTGCTTAGAACAAAGCCTGACCCTCCCGGGGAGGAGAGCCTGAATTGAGGGGAGAGAAGTATGCTCTAGTATTGAGTGAGAAGATGGTCTCCCCTTGCTTATCTTTTGATTCTGCTGTTGAGAGCCTGGGATTGAAATGAAGGGAGGCTTTTCTTCTGGACTCAGCAAGGCCACTCTCCCAGTTCCCCTCATGATACTGAGCAATAGTTCTTTTCCCTTCTTCAAGTTAGGAACAAGTGACTAAATATTCATATGCTATTGATAAAAGTTTGTCTTGGTTGACACTAGGAGGCTGTAGCCAAAAGCAGTGCAACTTTGCCGTATGGTTCACTGTCCTGAAAGCTTCCTGGAAGATTGGTCTAAAATCATCATGCCATTCCTCTGTCAAAAATTCTTGAGTGGTCTCCCATCTGTGGAATAAACACCTTAATAAGTTATCTAAGCCTCCCAGGATCTGGACTGTGCTGACCCCTTCAGTCCCACCTCTGCCCCCATCCCTTGCACTCCACCTTACTGTAGTCACACTAAACTACTGAGAGGCCCCAAAACTCACTGTTTTCTGTTGCCTATAGGCTTTTCACATCCTTGTCCTCTGCGCTTCTCCTTTTAACCCTCAGTTGGCTAATCCACTGTTCATTCTTTAAGATCTGGCTCACTGATTCATTCAATCATTCAACAAAAATTTGTTGAGTGCCTATTACTTAATAGGCATAGTTCTAGGTGTCAAGGCGGAGCAATAAGAAAACAGACATACCCTTGCTGTTTCTGGAGCTTCCATTTTGTGGTATGTATTAAACAAATGTAACATAGGAGGCATCAAAGTGTGATAAGTGGTGTGGAGAATAGAACAAGGAAAGAAGATAGGCTGGGGCAAAGGAGTTGACAGAGAAACCTTCCTGATTGGATGATGTTTGAGCAGAGCTGAAGAAGGTGAGGGAGCGTTATGTGGCTATCTGAAACGAGTGTTCCAGGCAGAGCCTGTGACTATATGAGGCAGGAGTTCTTTTGGCTCAATCATTCTCTCCAAAAATCCTTCTCTGGTGCCTTGATCTGGATAGATGCCACTTTTGTGTTTTTCTACTTGCTGTTGTGTTTACCTCTAAAGTAGCACTTATTACATCATGTTATAATTGTCCATGTATATGTCTGTTTCCCTCACTTGGATTGGGTTTCTTGAGAGCAGGAACCTCTGATCCTTCTCTGTCTTCTCAGCATCTATTTTAGGGCCTGACACAGAGGAGGAACCTAGAAATATTTATTGAATCAATTGTTCTTACAGCCTGATAATATTTACAAATGATTTGTAAAATTGGGTTTGGATGACAGTTGGTTTGAGGAAAAAGTAATTCTAAGGCTGCTTTTTGTCTGTCTGGCTTGATTCCCCTTTTGGACCTCTGAGAAGTGGAACACCTGGTTTTCTTTAAGAAGAATACTTGGAGACTCCATTGTGAGCATTATGGCAGGGTAGCCAACCTGTAAAATGGTGGGTAAAATATAACAAAGCCGGCCGGGCACGGTGGCTCATGCCTGTAATACCAGCACTTTGGGAGGCCAAGGTGGGTGGATCACCTGAGGTCAGGAGTTGGAGACCAGCCTGGCCAACATGGTGAAACCCGTCTCTGCTAAAAATACAAAAAATTAGCTGGGCGTGCTGGCGGGCGCTTGCAATCCCAGCTACTTGGGAGGCTGAAGCAGGGGAGTTGCTTGAACCCAGGAGGTGGAGGTTGCAGTGAGCCGAGCTCACACCATTGCACTCAAGCCTGGGCAACAAGAGCAAAACTCCGTCTCAAAAGAAAAAAAATAACAAAGCCCTTTATAGCTGAATTTGCAAGAAAGTAAGAGAAATCTCCAGGGACCTAGAAACCAAGAGTGAACTGAAAACCAGAGTGGTTAGCTCCTTAATCTGCCCTCAGCTGCACTGGATGTCTCACCTAGAAACTTGGACTTTAATAGGCCTGTTGTTATACCAAATGAAGCTATAGGTCCGCATGGGTTAGACTCTAGTGGGTTTTTTGTTGTCGTTGTTGGTGTTTTTTTGTTTTTGTTTTTGAGATGGAGTCTTGCTCCGTCTCCCAGGCTGGAGTGCAGTGGGGCAATCTCAGCTCACTGCAAGCTCTGCCTCCTGGGTTCACACCATTCTCCTGCCTCAGCCTCCTGAGTAGCTGGGACCACAGGTGCCTGCCAGCACACCCGGCTAATTTTTTTGTATTTTTAGTAGAGATGGGGTTTCACCATGTTAGCCAGGATGGTCTCGATCTCCTGACCTCGTGATCCGCCCACCTTGGCCTCCCAAAGTGCTGGGATTACAGGTGTGAGCCACCACGCCCGGCCTGGTTAGACTCTAGTTTTTGACAGAGGATGGCATGTGAAATACTCACATGAAGCTAGGTCCCTTGAAAATCTGCACCCTGTGTAGGGTGTATACCTTCTGATAGGGTGGACTAGTATCTTAATTCACTTTCTGTTGCTTATAACAGAATACGTGAAACTGGGTAACTTATAAAGAAAAGAAATTTCTTGCAGTTATGGAGTCCGAGAAATCCAAGGTCCAGAGGCCACATCTGGTGAGGGCTTTCTTGCTGGTGGGGACTCTGCAGAGTCTGGAGGTGGCATAGGGCATCACATGGCAAGGGGGCTGATTATGCTAGCTCAGATCTCTAGTTTTCCTCTTATAAAGCCCCTAATGCACTCCCATGATAACCCATTCATCCATTCATCCATTCATGAGGACAGAGCCCTTATAACCCTATCATCTCTTAGAGGCCCCACCTCTCAACACTGCCATATCAGGGATTAAGTTTCAACATGAGTTTTAGAGGGGACAAATATCAAACCAGATCTACTAGGAAAAAAAAAAATTCTCCCTACTGACACAGATAGAAGACAAAGAGATTGCCTTTTATCCTAGGCTTTCGTACAGAAAAAAAGTTTTCCCAGAAAATTCTTAACCATAGGCATTCACTCATACAGATACCCAAATGGCCTAGAAACTCCAAGCCAAGAAGTTGATAATAAAAACCACCTCAGGCTGGTAATACCCCTGGATGCTTGGCAAAAACAAATGCAAAACCGCTCTGCTCCAAGATACATACTTGATACAGGCCACATAGAATTCCCACAGGGTCTGGAGTTAATGAAATTCTCATTTGTTAAACAAGAATGTATATTGCTTGCTTTGTGCTATTGAGAGCATATGTTATTCTTGTATAAAGAAACATTTGAATATATCTGTGCCCCCCCACCTTTGCTCTCCAGAAGTGAAATGATGAAGCAGAATTTATATGCAGGCCAGCATCTGGGTATGGACACACATTAAGCTTCCTTCTATCCTTGCAGAGGTCATGGAAGAAGTGACAACATGCTCCTTCAACAGCCCTCTGTTCCGGCAGGAAGATGACAGAGGGATTACCTACCGGATCCCAGCCCTGCTCTACATACCCCCCACCCACACCTTCCTGGCCTTTGCAGAGAAGCGTTCTACGAGGAGAGATGAGGATGCTCTCCACCTGGTGCTGAGGCGAGGGTTGAGGATTGGGCAGTTGGTACAGGTGACTCTTCATCCCAGATCTGAGTCTGGGCCTCAGTTTCTCTTCACAAAGCTCAGAGCTCTTCAGGATCTGTGCCTTTTCTCATCAGTACAGGAAAGCCCTGTGTGGGGAGCAGAGGCAGAAAAAACAGCAAAAACAATGGCTCTCACTGAGTGCTTATTGTGTGCCAGGGGCACATTGGGTCCTCACAGCCATTCTGTGTCGTAGGTACTGTTTTCAGTCATATTTTACAGACAAGGAAACTGAGACTCAGAGAGGTTGCCATTTGCTCAAGGTTATACAGCTATAATAAAGCAGTAGAAGCTGGTTTCAAACTCAGTCGCTGACTCCAGAGACCTCCACAGTTATTTAGATTCAGCTAACGTATGA